>NC_000002.12:229307799-229610830 GCF_000001405.40 Homo sapiens | reverse complement strand
ATGTAAGCAGCGTACACATTGCCATATTGGCATTTGACAGACTTGGAAGCTGCTCTTATGGTTCTTTAAGATGCATAAGTATCATGAAAGGACTGCAGCCTGGAACCCAGTCCTGGTGACTGATCTTCCAGTACACTGTCGGTGGTTGAGGAAATGACACATTTCTGAGCATTGCCAAATGAAGCTGCTCTTACCGTTCTCTAAGATGCCTAAGTATCACGAAAGGACCGCAGACTGGAACCCAGTCCTGGTGACTGATCTTCCAGTACACTGTCGGCGGTTGAGGAAATGACACATTTCTGCGCATTGCCAAACGGAGCAAATGCAAACCCAATGATGGTGTTCCCATGACCCTGAGCCATCCTCATGAACGTCAGCTGCAGGCTCCCCGCTGGATAGAACTGGCCATCTGAATGCGGGTCTCAGTTAAGAATGTGGAACAGTTGCTTTCTGAATAACATTCTTCTAAGTGAACTTACTACTTTCCAGGAAACCGTTCTCTTCTACCGTGTCCATGCGCTGTGAGGCCGTTGAGAGTGTTTCCTGAGATTTCTGCAGCACGACACAGTGGGCCACAAATGCTCCCTTTTCTGTGTCATTTGCTCTCTTCATTGATAAAGGACACTCATCCTTCCTGTTTATTTTCAGAACTTGTGCTTAGGTTTATTGGGCATGGCTTATTCCAAAGTCTGAAAATCTTCCATCGTCAAAACAAATGGTACCAGGGCACAATGTTAATATTTTACGTCAAACAGAACTTAAAACACAAATGACATTAAAATAATCATCTGCAAAGTTATGCTGTTATTTAAATTCCTATTATAATTTTTGCAGGATGGATTGATTTTTCTCATGGCAAAAACTTTTATGTGATAAAATTTCACATTCTGAATATTTCTAGCCAATGGGCTGAATCAGTGATATAATTCTGGGAAGAAGAACATAGTAAAAATATTACAATCCAGACATTACTCCTGCCTCATTGGGAGAGCTCCACAATTATTTAGCCATTTTTATTGAAGCTATAAAAAGTAGAATGTACAATCCACAGAAGAAAATCGTCCTTGCCTTTTCCTGCATTGGGTCATACACATAAGCAGCAATGTGTGACACTGCTGCTGTGTCTATGGTGTTTGTCATTGTGTCCCTCCACCAGCACGTTAGGAACAGAGGCTTTGCATGTATTCAGGGCCTAGTGCAGGGGTTAGCAAACTTTTTCTGTAAAGGGCGGATAGTTAATATTTTCAGCGTTGTGAGCTACAAGGTCTCTGTGGCAACCGTTCACCTGTGCCGTTGCCATGTGAAGGCAGCCAGATAATATGTAAAACGAATGAGTGTGGTTGTGTTTCAATAAAGCTTTATTGATGGGCACTGAAACTTGAATCTTATCGAACATTTACATGATTATTTGGAATATTAACCTTCTTTTGATTTTTCCAACCTTTAAAAAGCATAAAAATCATTCTTGCCTCATAGGCTGTACAGACACAGGTTGCAGGTCAGATTTGGCCTGTGGGTCAGAATTTGCCAGCCCCTGGGCTACAGAAATGCCTGGAACAGAGAAGGTGCTTGAATGATGAAGATCACATTTTTATTTATTTATTTTTGAGACAGAGTTTCACTCTTGTTGCCCAAGCTGGAGTGCAGTGGCGTGATCTTAGCTCACTGCAACCTCTGCCTCCTGGGTTCACGTGATTCTCCTGCCTCAGCCTCCCAAGTAGCTGAGATTACAGGTGCTCACCACCATGCCCGGCTAATTTTTGTATTCTTAGTAGAGATGGGGTTTCACCATGTTGGCCAGGCTGGTCTTGAACTCCTGACCTCAAGTGATCCACCTGCCTTGGCCTCCCAAAGTGCTGCAATTACAGGCGTGAGCCACTGTGCCCGACCAAGATCACATTTTTAATTAAAATCTTTATTATGAACTATTTTAAACCTACAAGAAAGAATGGAGAATAGTATAATTAGCATCTGCCACTGAGATTCAACAAACATCATTCTGCCATATTGGTTTCCAATTATTAAAAATAAATAAATAAAACAGGCAAATACAGTTAAAGCCCGCCACCCTCACTGCCACTACCCTACTCCTCCCCAACCCACTTCCCTCCCTCTCTACCCAGAAACAATGATTCTTCCAAGTTGGGTTGTAAGCTTTCATCTCTTAAAATATTTTTACAATATAGGCATAAAATGTGCACAGACGTATGACACTGCAGGATCCTTTCACAACTTGCTTTTTTCCCACTCACTATGGTGTTTCTGCGATTTGTCTGTGGCTTTCAGATATAGCTCTAGTTCATTTAAATTTTCATGCGGTTTAATTTATTCACCTTTTATGAGTCTTATTTAAGAGATTCTTTTCTATCTTGATGTCAGAAAGATATTGTCCTATATTTTCATCTAAAGCAGGAATGAGCAAACTTTCAGCAAACAGCCAGAGAGTAAATAGTTTAGGCGTTGTGGGTCACATGTCTGTTGCAACTACTCAACTGTGGGAAAGCAGCTTTGGACAATGGACACACTGACAGGTGTGACTGTGCTCCAAGAATACTTGATTTATTAAAATTGGGTGATGGGCCACATTTGGTCTGTGAGCTGTAATTTGTCAACTCCTGATTTAAAAGTTTTGAGGTCGTATTTTTAACATTGTCCTACAAAATCCATCTGGAATTCATTGTGTGTGTAGATGTATGGTATAAGTTAGATATTTATGTCAGTCCCAGGGGTCAGCAATTAGCAATTATTCAAGTATCACTTACTAAAAAGTTGATCTTTCCTACACTACTTTTTTTTTTTTTTTTTTTTTGAGACAGAGTTTCGCTCTGTCACCCAGGCTGGAGTGGAGTGGTATGATCTCGGCTCACTGCAAACTCTGCCTCCTGGGTTCAAGCGATTCTTGTGCCTCAGCCTCCCAAGTAGCTGGGATTACATACATGTACCACCATGCCCGGTTAATTTTGTATTTTTAGTAGAGGTGGGGTTTCATCATGTTGGCCAGGCTGGTCTTGAACTCCTGGGCCCAAGTGATTCGACCACCTCGGCCCCCCAAAGTGCTGGGATTACAGGTGTGAGCTATCGCGCCCATCCTTCCTACACTAATTGTTAATGCCTTCCCTGTTATATTCTAAGTTTCTCTACATGGCAAATCTCTGTGCTCTCTCATCTGAAACATTGTTCAATGTAGTTATAGATTTATAATAAATTTTTATTTCTGGGAGGGAATAAAGCATGTATCTTTATTCTTCTTCAAATTATCTTGAAAATATTTGGTCCTTTCATCTCTCATTTGTGTTTAGATCAATTTGATAAGTCAGAAAACAAAAAAGAAGCATGGGATTTTGATTGGAATTGTACTGTTCTACCTGGATTAGTATTCTCATTATGTTACTAGCTGAAGGACCGTGAACAAGTTAGTTTCTGAGCCTCAGAGATAATATGCAGATAACAGTAACTGCCTCACAGGGTGATAGTGAAGATTAAATGGATTAACATAGGGAGCACGACGAGAACCATGCCAGATATAGCATAAGCACTCAGAAATCTTAGCTATTAATATCTTTAGTAGAAGTCTTCTTATCAAAGATATCAGGACAGTTTAATCAGGTCAGTTAATTAAAGAAGTTGTGAGGAATTAAAAAAAAGTTTTAGATCTACTTTAAGCATCTTATTTCATCTTAAAATGCATAAATATATATTCATGCAGGAGTGGAAAAGGTTTTGTTGACCGTTTATCCACAGTTCCAAGTGCTGATGGTGGCTTATTTCCTTGTATGGTTTGTAATTTTTTGCTGTGTGCTGATTTGATAAGAGTCTGTGTGTACACAGGCATGTGCGTGAGTCCCATGTGTCCTGTATTGTGAAAAGTGTCACTCCACTTCTGTACTGATCCTAAACACGTTTTTGTTGTTGTTGTTGTTGGTGGTGGTGGTGTTTGAGATGGAGTTTTGCTCTCGTTGCCTAGGATGGAGTGCAAATAGCACCATCTCAGCTCACCGCAACCTCCGCCTCCTGGGTTCAAGCGATTCTCCTGCCTCAGCCTCCCGAGTAGCTGGGATTACAGGAGCGCACCACCACGCCCAGCTAATTTTTGCATTTTTAATCGAGACAGGGTTTCACCATGTTGGTCAGTCTGGTTTTGAACTCTTGACCTCCAGTGATCCTCCTGCCTTGGCCTCCCAAAGTGCTGGGATTACAGATGTGAGCCACTGCGCCTGGCCCTAAACACATTTTTTATGTTAATTTTTGGTTTAGGATGTCCACATGAAGGAGATGTTGTTAATCACAGGGGACATTCATATGGGAGATTTTAATTATTCATGGGAATTTTATTTTTTTTTAATCCAAAGACTGTAGAGATGTCAGTTTTTCTGCTGTTACCTCGGGACTGCTGGTGGATTTCTCTAGTGTCCCTTCTGCTCTCTCTAAACAGACAGGAGGCTCTAAGAGGCTTCATTTGTGGGCTCAGTTATAGTTGCCTCTCCTTTCCTGTGCTCAAGGCCCCATTTGAGTATGTGTGTGTGTGTGTGAGAGGGGCCTTCCTGTAAAAACCAGAAAGCCTGCTAGACAGATTCTAAAAGAGCTGGAACACTCCCATGTGATTTTTAGAACCCCAATTCCCAGAACTGTAGGTCTTATTTCCAGCTCTGTAGGCTGTGTGGTCAATGCAGTGTCATCATGTGCTAAGTTCTCTGGTTGTGAATTTTCTAATCATTCCTGAAACTTGAGGATCCCCCTTTTCTTCCACCCCTTTTTAAAGCTTACCTCCAAATGAAAGCATTTTTAATTTTATCTAATTTTTTTTCCACCGGAGAAGGGCCTGGCCATCAGTTCAATTAAAATCTTGAATGGTGAAATTTTCCATCGAAGTTTCTGTTGTATGGATGCCTATGGCATTTGCATATGCAAGGTAAGTCACGTGTCTATGATCTTTGTTTTTGAGACAGGGTCTTGCTCCATCACCCAGGCTGGAGTGCAGTGGTGCTATCTTGGCTCACTGCAACCTCCGCCTCCTAGGTTCAAGCAATCCTCCCTCCTCAGCCCCTCAAGTAGCTGGGACTGCAGGTGTGTGCCACCATGCCCAGCTAGTTTTTGCATTTTTTTTTTGTAGAGATGGGGTTTCGCCATGTTGCCCAGGCTGTTATGGTGTCTATAATCTTTATACACTAACAATTCACATAGTTCAACATGGCAAGCATTGTTAAATGGGATTGATTTCATCAACATTCTAAAACAGTTCAGAGGATGCTCTGTGTTCAAAAATTGTTAGCTTGAAAAGCCATTATGGATATACTTTTCTGACAGTTTTCCCAGTGGGTTCTTCTAGCCTTCTAATGTTATGCCTTAATTGGAAATGCTAAATATTTGCATTTAAAAGAGATAATTTGAATGATCAGTACTGTAGAGTGTCTTCAAAGCTACAGTACCTTTGCCATACTGCTTCATTAGATACAATTATACAGGTTTCTTCTGCTTCCCTGTATAGCTTATATATAGTGTCCACAGAGCTGCAGAATTAAGGTGGTGGTGGGTTTCTGCCCTCATCCCTTTGCTTCCTGTCTGAACTCCTAGGCTGCAGAAACTCCCGTCTCTGTTGTGACCATCCTTGTTTCTCTGCTTCACAATCCATGACTGTTTCTAGTTGGTAGGGCTTTTACGGGTGACCTCTTCCACTTTCAGCCCTGTTTTTTGTTCTGTTATTATTTTTTTCTTTTGTTTCTTTTGTCTTTCATAACTACGAAGGTCCTCTCAGCTTCCTCATGGAGAAAAAAAAATAAAACAACCCTGGCCTTTGAGCAGATTTGCTAGCCAATCAAAGATCCTCTTTTTAATCTTGCAATGAGACAATCTGAACACACGTGCAATTTGTGGGTCTTTGGCTCTTGTTGATTTTAAAACAATTGGTACTGGATATCTAGGGCCACCTGCTCTTTTGCTTGAATTTTTCCTCATTTTCCTTTTTAGTTTTGTTCCTAGTGTAGCTGTCTATATGAAGCCTGCTGTATATAGAAGGCTTATCTCCAGATAAATGAAGTTGGATACCCAAAGACTTTAGAGTTATCTGCAGAGCCACTGATTTTTGTCCTATTCCCGGGAGCAGATGGGTATTAAAATTAGAGCAGCTGTTTCCAAGTAAGGTTAGAAAAGCTGAAAAGAGAGCAGAGGGAATTTTGTGTGCCTGCAGAGAGAAAAACACACATCAAAGCAGTCAAGAAGCCAGGCAGGTACACAAGAACACTTGGCACTTGGCGGATCAACCCAAAGCCTCCCCCGACTTTTACTAAACAAGGTGACCCTGATTTTTCTGCTCTTGCACCTGGTTTCACAGGCACTCATAGATTTCTCTCTCCAACTTCTCTTAAGGATCCCAGGCCACCGAGCCTAACAGATACAGAAGAACACTCTTCCTGGTAGGGAATACTCTGAATAAAGAATGATTTAGAAAGCAATGGGGTCTCTTCTTTGTTTCAGACAAGAAATATTTTTTGAGAGCCTACTATGTGCCTGGTTTTCCAACTCCCTGCTACCCCACATTGGTGTCATTTGTTCTTTATTTATTCTTTAAAAATAAAGAGCATGTCATTTGTCCTATTTAAAAATAAAGAAATGAGAACATTTAAAATGTTTGGAGTCCCTGTCTTTGGAGTCCCCAACAAAAGTGGAAAGTTCTTTTCAAAGTGCTACTCTGACTTGAGTTTCCACCCCTGTTTGGCATGTTTCATTGGCTTTCTGTGTCTTCTAGAAGGAAGGTCAAAGTCATTAGGAGGACACAGAGGCTGCTGGATTTTGGCTTCTGCTGGCCCTCCTGGTCCCTGTGGCTTCATGTGGCCGCGGTGCTGGAGGGAGAGTCACTCTGGAATCTGTGTGCCATTCTTACCTGGGAGGAAAATCAGGAAGGAACCTTATGGTTACTTTTGGGTAGAGGCAAGTTAGTTTCATCATCTTTCTTAAATATGACAACCAAGGAACAAAGAGTATGTCAGATATGTGTATATGGTAGGTGTTTTAAAAACAATTTTCCAAAATTGCAAAGCACAAAATATGCACAAAAATTGCAAAGCACAAACTTGCAAAGCACAGAAAAGCACCCCCCCAAAATATGTACAGCTCAATGTATTATCATAAAATGAACACCTGTGTAACCACCACTCAGATCAAGGTTGACAATGTTGCCCTCCAGCAGCTTCCTCGTCCCCACCTCTCTCAGCTCTGCAAAGCTAATCACTCTTCTGACTTCAAGCATGGGTCACTTTTGCTGTTTATATTCTTTACACAAGTGGAAAAAACATTGTGTTTGGGGAATTTGTTCTACTTGTTGTATAAGGCTATAGTTCTTTCTTTTTCATGGCTGTATAGTATATTTTATCAGTATACTATAACTGTTGTCATCCAGCTCATTAATATTCTTTTTTGTTTTTATTATACTTTAAGTTTTAGGGTACATGTGCACAACATGCAGGTTTGTTACATATGCATACATGTGCCATGTTGGTGTGCTGCACCCATTAACTCGTCATTTAATATTAATATTCTTATAGTTAGTACTCTTTGTGTTCTGTTTATTAAATATTTGTTTACTATAAGGTTATACAGATATTCTCTTCTATTATCTTTTTGAAGTTTAATTTTTTACCTTTCAATTGGATCTACAATCCAATTGGTGTTTATTTTTGCATATGGCTTGAGAGAGGGAAAAGTCTTCATTTTTTTCTCATTGGATATCAGTTTATTGAAAAGACTCTATTCTAGAAGTCAAGTGTCCCTGTGTGATCCTTTCTGTTTCTTGTCTCTGTTCCATTGGTCTATTTGTTCATCTTTCTGCCAGTGTCATGCTATCCTAATTACCATAGCTTTAAAATTCCTGCTTTCTAATAGAGCAAGCCCTCCCACATTGTTCTTATTCAAGCGTGTCTGTGCTATCGTGGGCCATTTTACAGAAGCACACAAATGTTGTGATTTCTGTTGTAGCAGCATTGAATCTTGTAGGTTAAGAAAAATTTGAGTCTTTCTAATATCAAGTTTTCTAATTCATGACTGGAATATTCCCCCTTTACAATTATCTTCATTGAGATCATGCATTTTTAACATTTGATTTATTACTAGGAATTTAATTTTTTTCATCTATTATAAACTGTACCTTTGAGAAAAGGATCTTTAGTTTGCTGCTGATACATGGAGATGCAAAATATTTTTATTTTTTGGTAAATTTTGATCTTGCATGCAGCAAACTTGCTGAAGTTCCATATTTTAATAATTTATCTGCATGAATAATCATACAGTCTGTAATTGACAGCTTATTTTCTTAGTGGATCCTTATACTTTCTTTTTATTTTTGCCTCATTGCACTGTGTAGGACCTTTAGTGCAGTGCTCAATGGAAGTGGTATTAGCAAACATCCTTGCTTTCTTCCCAGTTTCAGAGAGAAACTGTTCTACCTTTCACCAATAAGTATTATATTTGCTGAAGGTTTTTTGTAGATACTCTTTATCAGATAAAAGAAATTTCCTTCTATTCCTAGTTTGCTAAAAGTCTTCACTCTACCTAGATGTTAAATTTAATAAGAGTTTTTTCTGCATTGGTTGAGATGATCATACAATCTTCACAGGAAATTTAATTCCCAGTTTGCCTGCAGCCTTCTTTTCCTGAGTACGAAAGAGGCAGAAGTCGACATATTTCCTGTATTGATGGCATTGTGGTTTTGTAAAAAAGTTTGATAGGATGTATGAGTGTCTCTGATGAGAGGCGAAACAAAAATGTGTGCACTGGAATTGTTCTGCAACTTTTTTATTCAAGAAATTGGTCTTTGAATGATTAAAAGTGAAAAAAAAAAAAGCATTTCATTTGAGGCTGGTGTGCCTATGTCAGTAAGTGCAATTGAGTGCTATCTCTTAGGACTTAGTTAAATATGGAAACCAAGGGACAAAGGGAAGATCAGGTTTTTGAAGAACAATTCCTTTAATTCTTGATATATCTGCAGCTGAGCAGGGCTTATAGATTCATCACTATGACTTATCACTATGTGTTAATCAGACTAAAGCAATTACCTTGAGATTTCAAGGTAATTTCCAAATGCAGTATGTTTTAAAGAGACAGCATGAAAAAGTAGGGAAACAATATGTAAGAGTTTATTTTTAATGGATTCATTTTATAGCCACGTTTCAATTCTGCTTATAATTTCCTTTTAGCCTACTTACAAATGTGACTCAACTCACATACAAAAATCAGGACAAGCTGGTTTCAAGAAAGCTGACTCAGAATTGAGGGAATAATGGACTGACCAAATTAGTCTTGGAATAATTTTTTGAATTGATGTAGAGTTTCTAATACAGAAGTAAAGACCTATCAAAACATGGAATGTGTATTTCACTAAGACATATAGTTCTTGATTCAGTAAAGCGAATGAGCATTTTTATTATTTGGATTTGGGAAAAAAATCTTGGGATGCATTTCTTGGCTGAGTCTACTACTGGCATAAGCACTATAGTGATTTTTTTTTATATCTTTATTCCTGGTGAGTAAGCAGTTGGTGTTGGAATATAGTTGAAATCCTTATTGAAGAAGGTGGGAAAAATTTCTTTTTGAGACAAAAATACTGTGACAGTTGGACCCCAACATTGTTCATTTGCGTTTCAGAAGGAAGATGACATTTACAACCACTGCAATTCCTGTTTTGGACATAGAAACACAATATTAAGAACTTAAACGCCTTTAGAATGTTCTAGTCCCATCCCTTCCTTTTACAGTTGAGTGTGCTGAGCCCCAGGAAGCTTTCTTGCCTTGTCCAACATCACCTGCAAATGAGACTGGAACCCCAGTCTTTCTCTCCCATATCACAGTACCTCCAGGTGGCAATTGTTCATTCTAATTTCTCCAGTAACCCTAAGCTATAAATTCTGGAGTCATCTTTGCTGTAGTCCCCCTCTCCAACTGGCAGACAGAGTCACTCTCCTGCTATTTCAATATCCCCTTAGTCTGTGTGACCTTTCCCCATCCATCGTCTTCCATGGGTCCACCTAGTTCTATATTTAGCCTTGGCATGGGTTGCTCATCATTCATCTCCATTTAGTTCAGCTGATGGATGGAAAGGTAGAGGGAGAATTTCCATATTTCTTCTAGTGAAGGAAAGGTAGGGGTATGACCCTTCATTGTGTTCTTGCTTCAAGGTGGACTATCTAGATGAGCATTCTTTTCATAGTACCAAGATTTATTCTGCAACCTTCCTGCACATAATTATGACTAAAAGAATATCTGGTCCTTTAAGTTGTTTTGCCAAAGGTTCTTCTGTTATTTAATCACTTGCTGCACACCAGTCCAATTAGGGAGTTGCATGGGGGGAGAAAATAGATGTTATTGCTATCAAACTTGTAGGGCCCAGTTCAAGATAGTTTTCTTTTTTGAAGTCTTTCCAGGTGACCCCCACCTACCTGTTTTCCCTCTTTTGTGAACCCCAAAGTCTGTACTGTCTAGATCAGGGACTGGGAAACTAAAGGGCCAGATAACAAATATCATATAGGCTTTGTGGGCCAGGCGCTTTCAGTTGTCAGTACTCAACTGCTGGTGTATTGCAAAAGCAGTCAGCACATAAACAGGTGGCTGTGGTTGTATTCCAATAAAGCTTTATTTACAAAAAACAAACCAGATTTGGCCTGTGGTTGTGATTTGCCAACCTCTAATTTGTACTAACAATTTCTAAATTTTGGTTTTGGGGCCAGGTGCATCAGAATCATCTGGGAAATGTTGAAAGATCCAGGTTTCTAGGCTTCACCTTTAGAGTTTCTGATGAATGGCCTGGAGCTGGGGAATCTGTGTTTTAAAAGTTCCCTGACTGATGCTGCTGCTTAGACAAATCACTAAAACAATGGTCCATTCTAGTTACCTGCTTCCCTTCTTCATTCTTTCCTTTTCTGTTTTCCTCCCTCCCTCCTTTCCATCCTCCAGTAAATATACATACAAATAAATACATAACATTTTATTTGTGTTTAAGATTGTATAAAATGGCATGATTCTGTAGACTGTTTATTTTGTAGATTGCTTGTTTATTTCTTTGCCCTTTTCGCTGAGGCATTTATCTTGTATTTATCCTAAAAATTCTTTCTATAATAAGGGATTTAGTCCTTTATAGTATGTTGTACATTTCTTCCTTCATGATAGTGTTGCATTTTAAATTTACTCATGGAGTTGCAATGATTAAAAATAATTTTGATGGAGTGAAATGCACTGTTCCCTTAAGGCAGTGGTCTCAATCAGAGATGATCTTTCCCCAGGGGATGTTAGCAATGTTTTTGGTTGGCATAACTTGGAAGGAGGGATTCTACTGGCATTTAGTGAGTAAGGACACAGCATGCTGCTAAACATCTTACAACATACAGGGGAGCCCCCAGTGATAAAAAAAATTATCCAATTCAAGGTGTCAAAAGTACCAATGTTGAGAAAACCTGCTTTAAGGCTATTGTTTTTGTTCTTTGTTTAATAAGACACTCCCTCTTCCTTTAATACTAATATCTCTATTAAAGTCTGTATTAAAAGTTTTAAAATTGATTCTGCCACTCAGACAAATTACTAACGTAATGGTCCACTTTACTTCCTTCTTAATACCATACACAAATTCCCCCTGTTCTTTCCCATCCTTGCCTCTATCTTCTTCTCCACTTCTCTGTAAGTATCACGAGTCCCCTGTGTCCCCTCTGTGGCCAGCGTCGTGCTGGGTCATATAATGACAGTGGTTCCCCACCCACTGCCCAGAATTTGTAAGTTCTCCTCTGGGGCTTTGTCACATTTGGTTTCCTCAAGCACCGTCCCATTCCCCCTGGATGCCTTTGCCCACTTAGCTTGGGTATAATATTGGAGGAGCTGACCTCTGGTCGGCTCGGTTCTTCCCTGAACCTTCTGAAAACTGCCATCAAGCTTAGTGGCTATCAATAGAATCTTAAGTCTTCAAGCTGGAGGAGGCCTTTCGAGATGCAAACCCAGCTCCTCCCTTAATGCGTGAGGGGTGTGTGTCCAGAGCAGGTGAGCAACTTGTCCCACCCACCTGTGAAGAACAGGGCCAACGCCAGGGCACTGCTTGCTCAGCTGGCTCCATTTCTCATTGGAAAACTCCCAGACCACCTCTTCTTGGTGGAGGCATCCAGAATTGCTGTCTTTGTTTTGCCGAAAGCTGCCGCTATCATTCTAAAAGAGACTGGTCCCAACACCTGCTCATAATTTCGTTTCCTATTTGCTATGATCAGATCCATTCTCTCCCTCAGCATTAAAAAAATGTAAGGTAGTTTAACATAAAGGTGTTGGGGTGGGTAACCTCAATCAAACAAAGGATCCCAATAGCTGACATGCATACCAGCAGGGCAAGCAATTGATGAGCCGACTGCTCAGGGCAAGTCCAAGTTAACGTCTCTGACTCATCTATTGGACTGTGAGCTTTTCAAGGGCCAGGTAAGGCTTTATTCATCTTCCTGACCCCTATTATAGGCATCCTGCCTTGCACATCATAGGTGCTTGATAAATGTCACATGAATTGCTGAGTGGCCATATTGAGTTGTCTGTAAAAGTACAGAAGAGGCAGGGCTGAAGCCCATACATTTTCTAAACTAGTATGGAAGGGAAGTTAGTCACCTCTGTGTCTCCCCAGGCCCCACCATCATCCAGGTAATGCTGATGCAGGTGTCCACACTTCGAGCAACCCTATTAGCTTTGACTTACTATATCTAATGACCCTATCAATGGGCCTTTTTCATGCCTTTTAAAGTTGGCATTTCGTCCTTCTGTTTGTACGCCGCAGAGGATATGGGAATTGCCAGAAACATGGGTAGCAGAGAATTTAAGGAAGAAAAACAGGCCATGGCTAAAGGGTCACACTGCTACTGCCTTTGAATCACAAGTCCCAGGAGAGGCTGGCACCCTCGCTCAGGTCTGGCCTCCCATTTTACTCAGTCCATTCCCCCAGAACTGCTCTTGGTTAGAGTAGACATTATTTGACACGGGTGAAAAGTCTAAAATAAAATGTGGAAAATAGTTTCAGGTTAGTTCTATGATGTGAAAAAATGTGGCTTAAGCAGATAAATTGATCTGATGCAGCAAGCACACGGCATTTAATAAATGGGCCTGTTGGTTCACTGTAAGCAGAAGACCATTAACCCATGGGCTTTCTCTTTCCTCTTTATTATAGCTGGTATTACAAAGGCTTAATCATTTTTCCCCATCATTAGAATCTAGAAATTATAGCTCGGAAAATATCATGTATTACATTTTATGCATTCCCAAAGTTAGGTCTACTAATTCTGATATTTTGCCTCATTATGCATTTTGGCAGTTTGGTTATTACCTGCTTATAGTTCAGATTTAATGGGACGCAAGAGCAGATGCGACCTCTGCAACAGGACCTTTTCCTTAATGAGATAAAATACAAATACGAACTTTAAAAAAATCTTGACTGTATACAGAAACGTAGGACTTAAGATAAATATTTATGATTTGCTTAAAAGTTAATGATTGCACCTTATCTTATATATGCTGTTATGAATTGAAACAGATAGCTTTCCCAAAAAATAAAACTAGTCTGAAGAGTTAGAGAAAATAATGGCAGAAAGCTGCCATTGTTAATGAAACAACTAATATACACGCCAAGGAAGTAGCATTGGGATAAAATTATTTTTAAAAAGGGCCCAATGACCCTGCAATGCATTTAATTCTCTGCCTCGTACTCCTGTGTGTGTGTGCATGTGTGTGTGCATGTGTGTGTGCATGTGTGCACACATGTTTGTGTTCATTTGTGTGTGCGTGCATGTGTGTACATGTATATGTGTGCGTGTGCATGTGTGTGTGCATGTATATGTGTGCGTGTGCATGTGTGTGCGCAGGTGTGTGCATGTATATGCGTGCATGTGCATGCATGTGCATGTGCGTGTGCATGTGTGTGCATACACACTCCATCACATTATCCACTACTTTGAATCCCCTTAGAAATTTATGCAACTGACTGTTTAATTTTTAGCTTTTGTCCTCTCTTCTTCACTAAGAGTGTTTCTCCTGGCCTTCCGTGTCAGTCATTCATTGTTTCATCCCACATGCTATTTGTGCATTCCTCTCATCTATGAAGCTCAGACAAGAGCACTTAGGGTATTATTGATTCTCATCATATTTTCTTTCTGGCTCTTTATCCCCTTACCTGGTGGGACTGACTCCTGGATGTGGCAAATTGAACATTGCCATGGGACCTGCCCTTTGCCACTCAGCTCCATCAACCAGCACCTCTGACACTTCCCACTGGGGTGAATGGCTTCACAAAGTGGCTCCCAGAGATGGTCTCCGAGGACCAGAGAAAGGTGGCTTGGCTCACTGTGTTGAAAGCCACCTGTGAAGTGGGTCTGTACTCTTCCTGCCCTCATCAAGGCTGAGGCTGCAGGTTGTGCTGGTTCTGTCTTACCTCTCAGGTCGACAGAGCTTTTACTCCTTTTAAAGCAGATTTAAAGTTATTTAATCACTTTAAAACACCACAGTGGGACATTTAAGGCTCCGCCTTGACTTATGTTCTCAAGACCTGAGACTGGGCCTTGGAGAATCCTGATTCCATTTAACAAGGCAGTACACTTCATAGGCTCTGGCAGCTGCGTGTATATAACATCATTCACATTCATTCACTCACTCATTCATTCATTTAGTAAATGTTTATCCAGCAGCTCCCATGTGCTGGGCACTGTTCTAGGGCTGTGGATACACAAGTAAATTAAACGGAAAACAGAAATTGGACCTCAAAAAGCCTACATTCTAGTGGGGAAAGAAAAAAATGAATGTATTAAATAATTTAAAATTTGTGTGAGAAGATGATGGATATTTTAGAAAAAAAAAAGCAAGGAAAGAAGGGTCAAACGTCAGCATCATGCAATATACCCAGGTAACAAACCTGCACACATACTCCCTGAATCTAAAACAAAAATTGAAAAAAAGAAAGAGGAGTTGACATTGACAGAGGCTGGAGACCTTGCTCTGTTAAGCAGGCTCCTCATCAGAAGATGGCATTGGAGCAAAGACTCAAAGGTGGCTCAGGAGCAGCCTTGAGAAGCAAGGCATTCCCGGCAGAGGGTACTGCCGGTGCAAAGGCCCTGGGGCAGGAGAGTGACTGGAGCATTGGAGGAGCAGTGAGCAAGCCAGTGTTTGTGCAGTCAGTGAGGGAGGTCAGGGGCAGGAGGTGAGGTCAGGGAGACTAGGGCAGGCACATTACAGACAGAGGGCCTGTAAAACTTGGTGAATACAGGCTGGGCACAGTGGCTCATGTCTATAATCCCAGCACTTTGGGAGGCCGAGGCAGGTGGATCACCTGAGGTCAGGAGTTTGAGACCAGCCTGGCCAACATGGTGAAACCTCGTCTCTAACAAAAATACAAAAATTAGCTAGGTGTGGTGGCAGGTGCCTGTAATCCCAGCTACTTGGGAGGCTGAGGCAGGAGAATCGCTTGAACCTGGGAGGCAGAGGTTGCAGTGAGCCAAGATGGCACCATTGCACTCCAGCCTGGGCAACAAGAGTGAAACTCCATCTCAAAAAAAAAAAAAATTAGTGAATACTTTGGCCTTTATTCTGGGTAAAAGTCAGTCATTTGTGTAACACTGTTAAGCCTCAACTGTAAAATAGAATAATAAATGTACAAATGTACTTACCAAAAGGGTTGCTGTAAGGATGAACTAAAATAAGAAATGTAAAACACCCAACAGAATGGCAGGCGCACAAATAAGTATTGTGAATAGCAGGTAGGACTAGGTGCTTTTTGTGCTTGTACTAGGTTACTAGATGTAAACTTTTAGTGCTTGTACTAGGTTACTAGATGTAGACTCTCTAGGACAGATTTAGAGTTTTTTTTTTTTTTTTTTTTTTTTTTTTTTTTTTTTAAACAGCATTTTATACCGAGACCTGGTACAGTTCTTGTCATAGTAAGTCCTCAATCAGTGTTCCTTGAGTATTACCATTATCATACATTTTTCTCAAAAAAGCATTCAGGCAGTCTTAATTGGCCTACATTTAATAGCTACTTGTTTTCTATTGCTTACAAAAATATAACCCTTACCTTCTGCCTTCTCTACAGGAATTTTTTTTGGCATGATAATAACATGATATTAAAGTTGTGGTGCTGTGTTATGGAAAGAACTCTTGGCTGAAAATCAGAAGACATGGTCTCCTAGTATAGTAGCTGTGAGAGGTCATTCAACTCCTCTGCCTGTTTTTTTTTTTGTTTGTTTGTTTTGTTTTTTTTTTTTGAGATGGAGTCTTGTTCTGTTGCCCAGGCTGGAGTGTAGTGGTGCAATCTTGGCTCACTGCAACCTCTGCCTCCTGGGTTCAAATGATTCTCCCGCCTTAGCCTCTCTAGTAGCTGGGATTACAGGTGCCCACCACCATGCCCGACTAATTTTTGTATTTTTAGTAGAGATGAGGCTTTGCCATGTTGGCCAGGCTGGTCTCAAACTCCTCACCTTGTGATCTGCTTGCCTTGGCCTCTCAAAGTGTTGGGGTTACAGGCGTGAGCCACCGCGCCCGGCCCTCTGCTCTTCTTTTTCTCAGAAGTGATATGGATTCAGAAGATCCTTCTCCATTTCAGTGTTGGCATGAAGAGAAGTTACTCTATGGAGTGTCCTTTGAAAACTCAAAACGGCTATCTTGGGGAGGGTAGGTGTTGTGCCTGTTACCGTGGGAAGGGTGTGTACACGTGCTTAACTGGTTTCTCTGAAGGAATGTGGACTTCTGCTGTGCTCAGTGCCCCTTTTGAGGAGGCCTCTGCCTCTCTGAGGACTGATGGTTGTCAGATGTGGGCTGTGGCAATGGAGCTGAAGCTGTGAGGCCTCTCAGGCCACCAGATGGGTGGTCCTTGCCTTAGTAATGTCATTCTCTAAGCTGCGCAATGGAGGTTTGGACTTTCAGAATTAATTTTTGTATTGATCCCTTGTGGTTTAAATGTATTTCTGCCTTTTTAATGCATGTATTGAAATTCTTATTTGTGACTAGATCAACCTCAGATGTTTTAAAAGTTGATTTCAGAAGCATGGCTTTGAATGTCTCCTTTGTTCACGTGAATAAAATTCTTCTTCTTGTTGCATAATTCTTGGGGTGACACCCGTTCCACAAGGCCTTCCTAAAAATAAATCAGAAACAAGATAACAACTTTGTGACTCAACAAGTTCACATCCCTCCCTCATCACGTGTTGCTTTCCAAATGTTGATCAATCTATCATATCTCCTTTTTCCAACAATTTTTTTTAAAGTCCCATCATACAGTCTGTGTTCCTGGACAGGCTGGGAATAGAGCAGTGAACACAGTAGATAAAATACCTGAATTCGTGCAGCTCACATTTTTGTAGGAGAGGGGTAAAGAAGAGATTAGTTTAGATTTCACAGTGAGGGAAGGCTTCTCCTAGAAGGTAGCATTTGAGTAGAGGATGGAATGAGATGAGGAAGAAAGCCGTGCAACGTCTGGAGAAAAAGTGTTCTGGGCAGGGGTCCAGCAGGTGCAAAGGGCCTGAGGTGGGAATCAACTTGGTATAGTCCATGGAGAGAGACAGGGTGAGGACAGTAGGCTACAAGGGAGGAGGAAGGTTTGTGGGAGGAGAGGAAGGGGCCTGACCAAAAAGAGCTTTGTCTGCCGAAGAAGGAGTTTGGATTTTACTTTGAGTTGATAGATTGTGAATATTGTAAATTAATTATTGACAATTTAAATATTCTCTTCAGATACAAATCCATTGACTCTGATCTGAGATTCTGTGAGGGAATTGCCAAGTGATAGCATAGAATTAATGTGGTATTTTTGAAGCTTCATTTGATTCAACCCCAAATCCCTTAATATATTCCTTCAGGAGTCTGTTGGAAGTTGCTTGATAGGAATAATTAGCAGAACGAGTAGCCGTTTTACCATTCAGAATTCTCTCCATGTATGTTTAAGTGTGTGAACTCATTTTAACAAGAGAGTGAGGGTCCCACTTCTCTGTCATTTATTCTCTACTGAATTCTGTTTTGTAGTCAGCCCTGAGAAGCCAGGGGTATATCAGCTAGAGATCTAATTTTCTCCTTATCACAGAAACAAATCCTAATTGAACAGGTGCTGAGAACATGACTGAACCCTTGCGCTATCTGAAGAGGAGCAGGTGATTTTTTCACATTGTTTTGTAGCGTGTCTGCAACTACCAACACATGGCCATTCAGAGGTCAACAGAGAAGGACTCTGAGATAAACACTTTCCCCAGACCATGAGCATAATTGAAACACATATGACTGAGTTCTCATCTTCCATATCTGGCGAGGGAAGGGGTCACATTTCTCTCTAATCACCCTCCAAAATAAAGAAATAAAAAATTTCATAAAATTCTGCTTAAGTCCCCACCACAGTCTCTTCTAGCTAGCAACTGCCATGCAAACTGATCATTTTGGAAGTCTTTAATTAAATAGTACAGTATCACCTTAAAAAGTATTGTTGACCGGTTAGGAAATTGAGAGATACAGGTAAGCACATCTGCAGGGCAGATAAATGGGGCAGTCTTTTCTCATGAGGAGACCTTGCACAGGTCCAGAATGTGGAAAAGGAGATTCCAATTTAGATTCCTAATATCATTTGACAGCTAAAAATGTCAAAGTTGGCATCTTCCTAATGAGTTTTAACTATTTTTGCCCTAGAAAATTACTCTAAATAACTGGTTACTGAAATCGACATTATTGGGTGTTTTGGGTTTTGAGGAGGCTGCTCTCCACTTTGTATTTTCTTGCTGGGTGCCTCTTATCTGTGGTAAGGTTAATGTTCGGATGACCTTGGTGTACACCCCACCCCACAACAGCACAAGTAGTTAAGGAGTGTATTCCACAGGAACAGCATTTCCATTACAGCAGTCGCTCTGAGACACAGAGCTAATTTCCCAGCGATGGCACCACTTTTCTTATGAGGGAATAATTGACCCATTTATGGTCTCGTTTCAGCTTGTTGCAGATCCTTGTGCCAGCAACCCTTGTCACCATGGCAACTGCAGCAGCAGCAGCAGCAGCAGCAGCGATGGCTACCTCTGCATTTGCAATGAAGGCTATGAAGGTCCCAACTGTGAACAGGCACTTCCCAGTCTCCCAGCCACTGGCTGGACCGAATCCATGGCACCCCGACAGCTTCAGCCTGTTCCTGCTACTCAGGAGCCTGACAAAATCCTGCCTCGCTCTCAGGCAACGGTGACACTGCCTACCTGGCAGCCGAAAACAGGGCAGAAAGTTGTAGAAATGAAATGGGATCAAGTGGAGGTGAGAACGTTATATCATGTGCATTTTTACATTAGAAACCAGAAATCTTAAAGTGACTCCAGCGGTTCTAGTATCAGCAATTAAAAATGAAAGCATTTTAAGTTAAATCACGAAGCAAAATATCTCCCTAAACTTATTCCTGTCTGCATTTGTGTGTACGATGGTTTTATAAGTATAAAAAGAGTAAACAAAAAAATGAATCAAATTATTTTTTGGAATGGTATCCACATGTATTTCTGTGAGATAATCTTAGATTTTGGGGAAGACAGCTCAGTGTAGTCATGTAAAGGAACATGTCATAGGACCCTCCATCATTGACCTTATTTTCCTTTCTGGGAGTGTGTCTTAGTCTGTTAAGGCTGCTATAACAAAAATGCCACAAACTGGGTTGCTTATAACCAACACACAGTATTGGTCCATTCTTGAGTGGTTATGAAGAAATACATGAGGCTGGGCAATTTATAGAGAAAAGAAGTTTATTGGCTCATTGTTCTTCAGGCTGTACATAAAGCATGGCACCAGCATCTGCTTCTGCTGAGCCTCTGGAAGCTTACAATCATGGCGGAAGGCAAAGGGGAGCCAGTGTGTCACATGGCAAGAGTGAGGGCAAGAGAGGGAAGGGAGAGGTCCCAGAAAACAATCCAATCTCACCTGAACTCACTTATCACCAAGGGGACGGTGCTAAGTCTTTCATGAGAGATCTGCCCCCATGGCCCAAACATCTCCTACCAGACCTCACATCCCACATTGGAGATCACATTTCAACATGAGATTTGAAGACACAGATCCAAATCATATCACAGACATTTATTTCTCACAGCCTTGGAGACAAGGAAGTCCACGATCAAGGCAGATTCAGAGTCTGGTGAGGGCCTGTTTCTTCACAGCCCGCGTCTTCTCACTGTAACCTCACATGGTAGAAGGCGCTATGGAGCTCTTTCAGGTCTTTTACAAGGGCACTAATCTCATTCACCAGCCCTGTGCCCTGCTGATCTAACCACCTCTCAAAGGCCCCACCTCTTAATACCATCATCATGGTGGTTAGGATTTCACCCATGAATTTAGAGGGGCGCAGACATTCAGACCACAGCAGACCGCAACACTCAACTATTTTTTTACTGTTGTCATTTAGGTTCTATTTTTGGTACCTTGAAGTATTTCAATGGGGTTTAGAAAGAAGAAGCTATCAATGATTTTGACATATTTTTAGAATGCATTTGACAAAGAAACTTCCAAGTTTTATTTATTTTGGCAGCAGCAAATTCTATTTGTTGGAACTTCTCCTATCAAGTTTGAGTTTGGCTGTTTTATCTTCAAGCTCTTCAAAAGTCTTTTCAGTAGACTCCTAGAAGTTGACATAAAATAAATTTGCTGGGTAGAAGAGTTGGGGAACAAATCCAAATCATGAGTTTGAAGTGACACTGGGGAGTGTAATTCCATTCTATATCTTATACTTTATATGTATGACATCCATATAAACCTGTGTCGGTATGTTATTATTACGGGTTTCATCGTTTAAATGAAAAAAAAAAAAATAGATTTTTGCATAGCATGTATTAGAGTCAAGGACTGCATCTAGAAATTTCCTTTATTATAAAAGAGATAGTAGCATTTCTCCTTTTATTTTCTTGAGTAATTCTCACCAGTTGACCCACTTTTTTTTTTTTTTTGTATTACCACACAGCTTATGAAGGCCACATTCAGACTGCAGGGCAATGTTTTTAGCTTACCTAAAAAACTGTGAACTTGCTCTGATTTCAGGCTTTTAATAAATGCTTTGAAGTTATGATGTTAATGCTTCTTTGCTGGATGACTCAGTTCTTGAATGTGAACTAGATTTGATTCAAGTTTATCAAAGAAGTGTCCTTTAAAAGAAAATTTCTCCCTAACCAGCCATTTCAATCTATTTATTTAAAGTCATGTTATTTTACAGTTGGTAAGTGTAAAAAAGAAAAAAAGGAAATGCCTCATCTTCCTATATCATGGATTATTTCTTAGGCTGCTCATGAAGCAGATTTAAAGTGCCAGAGGAAGACATGTTAATATGTATGCCTAACCTGATGGAAACCAGGAGGCATATTATTATCCCCTTTCTGTGAAGTAATGATGCTTTGGAAACATAAAGTTATTTGGAGACTTAGAGGCTTGGGTAGCAGCCATCTGTCATACAAATTTAACAAGTTATACTCACATCTTTGAATATCAGTGGTGGGCTTAATCCATAGAATCTGATTGTAGGGCATTCTGGAAAATAAGATCTAAGTGTGGGCTGTGGAGTGAAATTGCTGAGAGTTTCTGTATTGTTCTCAATTAATTCTGTGATGATGAATACTTTTAATACTGCTTCATTTTCATTGACATGGGGGAGGACAGTAATTGTGGCATGAGGACTAAGTGCATAAATTGGCCAGGTTTATGCTCACTGGACATAGCTCAAGGTTTTGCAGTATGCTTTTTGATGAGCACAGTCCTCCCCCCACCAATTGATCTCCTTTTTAAAAAAATATACATCCATATAATACTTTTGGGAAATAATTTAAAAGCGAAGGTATAGCCTACAAGGAAAAAGAAAGGCAGCGTTCAAGCTCCCCAGCCTTAGCATGTGCTCCTGGACCCATCAGCACACAGAAGAGTCATCAGACCTGATACTGCATGCACTTTGCAAGTCGAAGGCTGGCTTGCCTAGTCATTAGGCTTTTACCTGCTGTTTGTAAGTTAGTCCTTAAAGTTGGCCTCCTGGTTAGCATCAGGTTAAGCATAGTGCAGGGGTCAATGACTGCTTGTTAAATGAATGGAAAATGAGCAGGGAGTGACATCTGCTTCCTGTCCTGCAATATCCTATTGATCAGTTTTAACAATCCCAGGAATTTGTAGATTGCTCTCAGGGAAGCTGTTGCATTTCAGAACATCAAATGACAAAGATTTCATTTTCTTTTGAGTTTGTAAGGCTTCACTTCTTCATCTCCTCTCTAGCCCTACCCCCGCATCATCAAAAGGGATGAAGGAAATTCAGCATGGAATTTTGCTTTATCACATTATGTTATACTATAAACAACCCCAATCATATGTCGTTTTTTTTTTCCCTTCCCAGGTGATCCCAGATATTGCCTGTGGGAATGCCAGTTCTAACAGCTCTGCGGGTGGCCGCCTGGTATCCTTTGAAGTGCCACAGAACACCTCAGTCAAGTAAGAAAATTCTGAGTTACAAACTGTTAAGAGTGATGCTATGACCTATAAGTGGGGTTGTGTCCATCCGCGGACCTGGTGTGTAAGTGGCCTGTCAAGTGAGAATCGTGAACAGATTCCACGGGTAGATGTGGCCCCTGCCATTTGAAAACTAGAGGAAGCGATTTCAGAGGCAATTACAGTGAGGGTTTTCAGGCTGGACAAGTGGAATTGAGAAATTGGACTGGATGAGTCTGGTGTGAGGTGACAAACCGTGAGGCCTTAGATAAGATCTCAGCCAGATTCCTTGTCTCCCAAATGCTTTGCTTCCCAAATTATTGGCCTCTTAAGATTTTATTGGACCATCAGTTACATTCAGATGCATACTTTGCCCCAAATTTAAATTCTACATATTACAATTTTCTCTTTATTTTTTATAATTTTTATTTATTTATTTATTTTTACAGTTTTCTCTTTAAAAGCAAGCGTACAAAGAGAGTGTTTTGTTTAAAATTCAAGCTATTTTAAATGACAGGGTCCATTGTCACCGGTGGGGAAGAGGGAGAGGCATAGGGAAGCAGTGCTGGTTGAGACCTGATATGTGTGGTGCTTTATATGAGGCTCAAGTCAGCAGGTGCCCAGGAGCACAAAGCTGGGGGTGGGGTATGGGCCAGTATTAGGGTGCCCCAGGCCGGCTGACAACCCCCCACTGCCCATCCTTTTCAGTTGCCATTGACTACCACCCTCCCCACACTTTCCATGCAACCTAAGGGGCATTTGCTGTCCAGTCTTTGGGGATTTTTAGAAGACTGGGAACACGTGGCCTGGTTAACCAATCTGTTGCACTGGCTCCCTTTTAAGGGGCCTGCGGGCACTGTAGGTCTCTTCCATGTATCCATCGCCATTTTTGTCTACCTGGCTTTCTAAACAGTGGAGTCCCTGAACATGTTTGGAAGAGGGACTTTGTTACATTGCTCTTGCACCCTGGGTCACCACAGCCTTGAACTCACTCTGGCAGGGGAAGAGCCTGGAAGGGCTGCTTGGGAATTCCTGGGCTCAGGAGGAACGCTCCCATCCGGAGAGGCGGGAGAGGTGAAGCCTGAGGCAGCTTCGAGCTCTACCAGCAGGGGGACCCCGGTCCTAAGCGTTTCTTTCACTGCTCAGACTACAGCTGAAACCCCTGCCGTCCTGGGCTAGTTTTAGGAGCAGGATCTCTAGTTTCCTTTACTCTTAAAACATCTCTCGGCCCTTTCTTGTCTAGATCATATTATCTTACCTTGATAAACCTTTCCAAATTTTCTGGTCTTCTATCTCGTTAAATGCTTTTGTTTTTTTCCTCTCAACAAACCTGCCATTCTCTGAGACTCCCTTAAGCTGCAGAACGGGACCGAATTAGCAGAGTCTGACTCAGACGAAGTGAGATGGGAGTGCCGAATGACCTGAGGGCACTGAATTCACTTGTGGGGGTTACTAGCTCCTTACGCTTTCATTTCCTCATGAATTTAGTCACTGATCAAAGCTTTACTGAGCCCCTGCTGCACGCCAGGAGCCCTGTGCTGGGGGAGCGGATCTGTGCGGAGTCTACTGTGATCTTCTCCAGGAGCACTGGGGAGAATGGGCAGCTGTTGGGATGTTGGGAAGTGGTCAGGAGTCTCTGGGAAGAGGTAATATGTGGGCTAGGAACACATTTCCAAGGTGGAGAAGGAGACAAAGCTTGGGAGGTGAGAAAGAACTGGGTTGGGGTAGCTCGTAGTAGCTGAAGCATTGGGCTGTGAGGAGAAAAGCGCAGGAGGGCAGCTGGGGTTGGGGTTGGGGTTGATGGGCTTTCTGTGACATCCTATTCTCTGTGGGGTGGTTTTGTGTGTTTTTTTTTTTTTTTTTTTTTTTTTTTTTTTTTTTTTTTTTTACCAAAAATGAGCCAGGGGAGGCCTGAAGCATTGGGAGGTGGATTGTATGTGATTGTGTGTGTGTGTGGGTGGGTGGGTGGGGGGTGTTGGGGAAAGGTGACACACTTTTGCTTATTTTGGCAGCATAACTCAGGTGGCTGTGTTGGGTTGCAGTCCACGTTTATGACAAATTTAAGCAAAACTCTTTTTATATTGTGTGGCTATGGAAGGATTTGTCTGAAAGAGAACTCAGTGTACTCTTTTACTGTTCATCAAAGTGGTTACTCAAAGGTGAGTTACCAGTGACTCATTTTGTGGTACACTGTGAACAAGTGGGAGTGTACGCCTTTACAGTGGACGCCCGCGTATCTGTTTATGCCATCGATCTCCTGGTACCTTGGTAGATGCACATACCATCTTTGTATTTATTTTTAATTTGAAGAACTGGTTCTAAGATGAATTTTTCTGAAAGGAGCTTTCTGTTTACATCATTCCTGTTTCCAGGATTCGGCAAGATGCCACTGCCTCACTGATTTTGCTCTGGAAGGTCACGGCCACAGGATTCCAACAGTGCTCCCTCATAGATGGACGAAGTGTGACCCCCCTTCAGGCTTCAGGGGGACTGGTCCTCCTGGAGGAGATGCTCGCCTTGGGGAATAATCACTTTATTGGTGAGTTACCAAAATCTTCTACTCAACACTGCATCTGATTCAACCCAACTTTGGTTTGGTGTTGAGACAGTAGGTAGGGAATTTTGCTCAGATAATCTGAATTCTATCCATCAATGCTATTTCTTTCACTTTGGTAAGGTTTTAGAATAAAAACTGGATTCTAACATAATATTTCTTTTTTTCTTTTTTTTTTTTTTGATGATGGAGTCTCGCTCAGTCACCCAGGCTGGAGTGCACTGGCGCGATCTTGGCTCACTGCAACCTCTGCCTCCTGAGTTCAAGCGATTCTCCTGCCTTAGCCTCCTGAGCAACTGGGGCTACAGGCACCCACCATCATGCTCGGCTCATTTTGCATTTTTAGTAAAGATGGGGTTTCACCACCCTGGCCAGGTTGGTCTTGAAATCCTGACCTCAGGTGATCTGCCTGCCTCAGCCTCCCGAAGTGTTGGGATTATAGGCATGAGCCACTGAGCCTGGCCCTAACATAATATTTCTAGTGTGGCTCAAAGTGGAAAGGCATGGGCTCTGGAATCCAGCGACTGTGTTCCAGCCCTGGCGAAGGCATCACAGGTGTGTGATCTTTGGTACTGAATGCTCTGGCCATCAGTTTTCCTTTGGAATCTTTCATCTGCTTCTTTTTCCAGAAATTGTGGAAAACTTGAGGTGTTGGATGTTGGTCTCTCAGGATAACCTTTGTTCCCAGTTGATTTTGGCCTGACTTAGGGCGTTCAAACACAGCACCTCACAGTGATTTGCCACTGCAGGGTCCCCAACTCAGAAGTAACTGGTGGGATTATAGCTCTCTTTGGGGCCCCTCTCCTCCATAACCACCCCTCCTGCATCAGTCACTTCTAACTTTTTACTCTCTCTTGAACTTGCTTCTGTAGTTTAACCTTCTCAAACTACCACGTGTCCAATTAACTGTTTTCTTTTCTTTTTCTTCTTCTTTTTTTTTTTTTTTTTTGGGACGATCTCAGCTCACTGCAACCTTGGCCTCCCAGGTTCAAGCAATTCCCCTGCCTCAGCCTCCCAAGTAGCTGGGACTACAGGCATGTGCCATCACGCTCAGCTAATTTTTTGTTTTGTATTTTAGTAGAGACGGGGTTTCACCATGTTGGCCAGGATGGTCTTGATCTCCTGACCTCGTGATCCACCCGCCTCGGCCTCCCAAAATGCTGGGATTACAGGCTAATTAGTTGTTTTCTAATTCCTCCGCTTTGGCGTAGAAATGGCCGCCAGAAAGAGAGACCCTCAGTATTCCCTCCCCGACCCACTGCCTCTTGCTTGGACACTTGGACAGTTCCCAGAGGATCACCTTTCCCCTAGTTTAGCATTCTGTGTCCTTTCAGTTGTCTTTGTTTCTCATCCAGCATATAGTACCTTTGGGGTTGGAACTTGGAACTCTGGTGCCTTCGTGTGCTGACATAATGTTCCACCTTGCAGCTCAATTCAAAGGCCTGAGCTCAAGTTTAGAATCTACCCATCCCAGTCCAATGCACCCAGGCAACTTCTTGCATCCTGCTGTTAATTCCTTCTCCTGTCTGACTATATATTGCAACCATCCTCACCTGGAGGATGGGGTAGGCATCCTCCTAGCAGCACCTGTCTCTCAGGGTTGTTTGTCAGCTTAAATTAGATAACGAATGTACAAGGATAATTGACAAATGTTAAGGATTATCCTAGGGCATTTTCTCTATTTTTTTCTGGTGTACACTAAATATTTTGCTAAATGGAAAATATGCATTTAGACTCACCCTCCAAAATATGATGCAAATATCATAATGAAGATAAAGGGATGTAAGAAAATGCTCAGGTCTCTATAATTTATATTGCACTTTATGTTTGACTGACCCTCTTCTGATGAGAAGTTCTTTTTTTAATCTTTGGAAGTCCAGCTGGGGGAGCAGGAATTTTACTGGGTGAAAAGAAGGTAAAGAGAAATTTATTTCGGGAATGAACATAGCTTGACAAAGAGACGAGTGCATTTCACTTCAGACTGGTGTTTGACTATCAGGATGAATGACAGATAATCAGAAATTGTGTGATAAAGACTTGTCAAGAATCAAATCTGAATTTCACTCCCCAATACATTTGAAGTAACTGTTATTTACTTCCATATCTGCTGTAAAGATTTATCTAAAAGGATGTAGTTTCTGTATTTTGATAGTTTTATTTTATATTGAATTTAAGTTTTTCTGTTTGGTATCACATGGAGCTAATATTTCAAGAAAACATATAAAGTATCACTACTCTTTAAAATGTCCTTAACGTTACCAGAAGATACTTATTTAGCATTCAGACAGTCTCTGACCTACGCTGGTTCCACTTAATGACTTTTGACTTTACAACAGTTTGAAAGCTATTAACATTCAGTATAAGCTGTATTTCAAGCACCCGTACAGCTATTCTGTTTTTTACTTTCAATACAGTATTCAATAAGTTGTATAAGATATTCAACACTTTATTATAAAACAGGCTTTGTGTTAGATAATTTTGCCCATCTGCTGGTCAATGTAAGTGTTTTGAGCACGTTTAAATTAGGCGAGGCTAAGCTATGAGGTTTGCTAGGTCAGGTGCATTACATGCATTTTTGACTTACAGTATTTTCAGTTTACACTAGGTTTATTGGGATATGACCTCACTGCAAGTTGAGGAGCATCTGTATAAGTTCATATTTTATACTACTTTTGATGGTAACATAACTATGACCTTAGACTGACATTGAGATTGAGGATGGGGATTAATTGAGATGGATTTTCCAGTATTAATGTAAATTTATTCTTTTGGGATAGAAGAAATCTTGTGAACTCGTACATATTTTGAGCTCATTTTGCTAATCAAAAATTTTGTGGAAAAAATTATCTTTGGATGAAACGTATTATTCCTTATGGGAATAATCTTTAAAACTTTGATATATTAGGTCAGGCGCGGTGGCTCGTGCCCGTAATCCGAGCACTTTGGGAGGCTGAGGCGGGTGGATCACGCGGTCAGGAGATTGAGACCAGCCTGACCAACATGGTGAAACCCCGTCTCTACTAAAAATACAAGAAATTAGCCGGGCGTGGTGATGGGCACTTGTAGTCCCAGCTACTAGGGAGGCTGAGGCAGGAGAATGGTGTGAACCCGGGAGGCGGAGCTTGCAGTGAGCCAAGATCACGCCACTGCACTCTAGCCTGGGCAGCAGAGTGAGACTCCAACTCAAAAAAGAACTTTGATATATTAATAACTATGTTAAGGAATTCTTTTCCCCAAATTATACTTTTGATTATGAGGAGAAAGCAATGATTTTGAGTAACATCCTTTATTTTGATAAACCATTTTTTTTTCATTTTGAAAATTTGATATCTTTCTAAATTTTCTAGTTAGGGCTTTCTGGGTCTTTTATGTGGCTTTGTAAGGAGATCACGATCTTTTGGTGTTATTCTCTTCAAAGGTAGCCAGCAGTCCTGTCCCGAGCTCTTCCTGGGGAGGGATGGCCAGGTTCCTAACCATGATAAATCAACTCCACCTCCACACCGCCAGCTGCTTCTCTTACAAAATCTTTTCATCCTTCAGAAACAAGATGTACCTTTTGCAATCTTTGCGGAAGCCTGATGCTCACTACGTTAACATGTGCTTAACGCTCTTTTTGTTTTGTTTTTAAAAAGGAGCTTATTAAAGCAATTTACTTTTACAATCTGGACTCTCCAGACACAAATACGTTTTAGCTCAGACTATTTTTAAGAGTACAGTGGCGTTCATTTAACAAACAAACCAATGTTAGGGTGGGCGGAAGAAAACTTCCACGGTAAAGGAAGAGTAAAGTTTCAGAATTATGTCGCTGTGTTTCTGTCCCTCCTGCTTGTTTTTTAGAGAGAAGCTGAGGCACTTTCAGGAATTGACTGTCTCCTGCTTCCCATTCACTCTCAATAGTTTGCACATACATAACTAAGGACCACAAATCTTAAATTCAGCTGGATAATAAATAAATAAATAAAAATAAACATAACTGATGACCAAAGGTATTTTCCTGTTTCTATGCAACAGAGCAGAGGAGTTCCTTCTGTGTCTTTGGGAGACAAACTTGGTTGCTGTAACCAGATTTACACAAATACTCTTTAAAAGTTTATTGCCGAGAGCCTAATGTTCTACATTCCGGATTAAGAGAATATACTTACATTTGGCTTATTTCCATGTTACTACAGTTCATTTCTTTATGGTTTTCCTTCATGACCACTGCCTTGTTAATATTTATAGTATTTTGCAGAAAGAAAGAGTTGATAGAACTTTTTACCAAGTGTGTTGTTCTTCCCTCTGTGCCTCAACTTCTTTCCTGCTGTGTTGCCACCAAATTTCGACTCTTCTGGCCTCTCTTTACTTATCTGTCCTGTTTACCCTAAATATGTTACTTCCAAATATGTTATTTGCCTGATGCCACGCATTGGGGTAAATATCTAAATTAGCCTTTTGTTTAACATTGCCCGCTTCTCGGGGAGCATCGGAGGTGCTCATTAGTGTCCTGAATGATTCATTTGCTGGATGTTTCGTATTTTCAAAGAGTCAAATTCATTGCTCCAGTCACATTTCCATGAAACAGTTATGGCTTGCCTGTCTTAAGTATGGGATATATATGTATCTTTAAACTTGCTGTTGCTTAGATGTGATGGCCGATCTCAGGGTGAGAGCCAAACCAGATCTCTGGGGTGTGGCTTCTGTGTTAGGAAGCTGCTGAAGGTCACCATTTCCTTTGGTGAAAGCCCCTTTGTGCTGCTTTTAAGGATTTTCCCCATGTTGCCTCCTGTCCTCAGGCATAGTTCTCCTCTGTTCTGCACAGTGGACTTCTACCCTGCAGCTCACTGCCGGCCCCATCCCCACTGGGGGTGCAACCCTCTCCCACCCCCATTCTGTCTGAGCCTCAGACCCCCAAACTTAGCTCATTTCTAAGGCCTCACTGAAATCCCCCTCTTCTGGAGTGGTTTATGTAGAAAATGGCCAGTTAAAATTCTATTCAGCATGCATTCTCAGATCTCCTTTAACTGCTAAATTCCAGGTACCCTGGAATATTCTAACAGTTATTCTCCCTGGAATATTCTCCTTTGGATCAGAGAACTCAGGCAGGGACTGACTGCTTTATCCACACTCCCTGCCTGCCTCAGAGAAACCCCGATTTTTTCCTGCACACTTTTCTTTCTTATGGTTCGTTTTGTTACCTCCATCTGAAATTTTATCCCTTCTCTCTTCTTTGAAGTTATTTTCATTTTGATCCAGTCTATTCCTCTCTCCATTTGTTCCTTTATAGTGGTCTTTCTAGCTTCTTATACTTGCCTTTTTCTCTTCCTTCATTCTGTTCTCCTGCCCATAGCCTACTATTTTTTCAATCCCTTTTATTAGGTACACATTTGTACCATCCTTTCTTACAGTTTCAGTACATTTATTAAAATGTCTAACTTATAACATAAGTGCATGTTACTGTTTAATCCAGACCATTGGTATTTCATGTATGACCTCCTAAAATGCTTCTCTCATAACTTTAGGTCCACTGTAACTTCAAAGGGGTGAATGGTACAACCCATGGCTGATAAGAATGTCCTTGTTGGAGCTGAGGTCATTTCTTCAGGATTATAGCCATCAAATTAACCATGGAACCCTGGAAATCAACAATTTGCAGGTCTTTCTAATTGACGTCTTAACTGGATTAGAAGGTTTCCCAGTCAGCCCATGACTCCTCTGAGCCTCCTGGGAGCTCTAGAGAGAGTGCTTTCAGTTGCCTTGATTCTACATTTCTAGCCTGAAAAGATTCTTGTTTTGAAAATGGTTCCTACGGTAGTGTATTCACTTTGTTTGTTTTTTCTCTTGAGAAATAAGACATGAATAACTAGGTACTTTAGGAGGTACAAGGAGGAATAAGACTTTTCTTTTACTAAAGTAGTAAGACTGTCCTGGTGCTCTGGCCCTTCACAGTCCCCAGGATTTTATTCTTTATGGACTTACCATAAAGTCTTCTTACCAAGCTTCTATCTTGACTGGCATAGTGATGCTTCCCTGGAGATAACAGTGTTTTGTAGCCTAACAGTTTATACTATGTTTAGAAAAAAAAAAAAAGGAATTCTCAATACCCAGCCAACTAATACCATTACTCTTAGGCAAAAGTTCCTAATTTAGGCTCAGTGGGCCCTTGGTTTTGAGGTAGTCATAGGGGTCAAAGATCCACTTCATGGATCTCATGAATCTCCTGAAAATGCACTTTTGTGTATCCATGCATCCTTCTCAGGAGAGAGTCAAAACCTCATTGGATTCTCAAAGATATCTGAGTCCCTAAAAATTGTAGAGCACCGCTTAAAGCTACCTGTGGGAGGATGTATGTTTTTCAGCATTCTCCGCTCACCCAGTGATATTTCCTTTGACAGATGTACCTGCTTCCTAAGTCTCCATATTGAGGAAATTAAATTATTTATTTATATTTGTAGGTAGCAGGGCTGTGGGAAATACTCAGTTCCGTATTAGTTTAGAAAAGATGCATTGCATGCCTCTCATTTTCCAAGCACTGTGGTAGTCTGGATGTGCAAAGATGATTTAGGTGTGGTCTCTGAGTGAATGGGGCAACAAAAGCTTAGACAAGTGCCCAAGACAGGGTTGTATATAAGTGGCCATGGGATTCAGATGAAGAAGCAGCTAACTCTGCCAGAGGGAGGGAAGGCAGGCCAGTATTCTCCTTGGACATACAAAGGGCAGTGTGTGTGTGGCATTTTGATGGCACAGTAGTCTGTGCTATTTAAGATCATTTCATAATAGTGCTAGAAATGGACTAGTGACCATCACAACTGGAAATAGAGATATTTCAACAAGCATGTAACAGAACCTTTGAATATGTCACCTGCCTCCACCCAGCTGCCTCTCATCTTGGATATGAACACATTTATATAAAGGTAGGTGCTCAAGATGTGGATGATATTTCTTGAGTTCTCTGTTTATCTTTCAAACGAAAAAGAGGGATCTTCTAGTCTTCGATGTGAATTTCTGGGTAGTCCTTTGGAATTCCTTAGTAAAGCTCTATTTTCTTATTCTTGAACTCTGCTTCCCTCCCTTCTGGGTAAACTATTCCTATAAGCCTTGTCCTTTAAAATGAAAGTTTCAAAAGCAACTGGAGCTGGGGTACCTCATTCTGTAAATTTGACAGAGAGAGTGATTTTGGAGAAAGTCTTCCTGAAGGCAGGGGGCACCACTGGGGCTGTATTAGCTGGGGTGAGGGCTGCTGGCAGTATTGAAAGGGGGAAAAGTTCCAGTAGAAAAGTAGGGGTGGGGGATGTTGCTAACATCTCAGCTTGGCTGGAGGGCTTCCTGAAGCCAGGCATAGTGGCCAGTGTTAATTTTCTGTGTGTGTCTATTTTAGCTATTCAGGCATCAAGTCTCTAGATGTGTATTCCTTTGTCTCAGCCATTTCTTGACGAATCCTTTTGTTTCCTGCTCAGGAATTAAAAGGAATCCAGAGATAAAAAGGCCAGATCCTGCCACTCCCTAGCTGCCCTCCTGTTCCATTTTGTTACTGTCTGACTACCAGCTCCTGTGACTGCTTCCTGGCCATGTGGAGCAGCTGGGACCTGGCTCCCTGTGGAAGACTCAGGGTGATAGGGACGAGATGGGAGGAGACAGGGCGAGCGACCGACCAGGACATGCCAGAAGAAAGGACTCCCATAGGAAGTGAAAGATGCTTAGCATACGTTTTTCTCTTGTCAGAAAAGCCCACGGGGAGATGCAGAACCAAACTGGAAATTCACCTCTTGGTACTGTGAAGAGCTGAGGGTCTGCGTGTCTCTTTTCTGTACACTCTGACTTTAGGTGATATTTTCCCTGCCTCTAATATTCACTTAAGTTGAATTTCACTCTTTAATCTTATGTATTTCTATGAGCCTCTCAGATCTTATAGAGTAAGTTAAGATATAAAGAAATAAGATAGTTGGCAGGACACTTAAATTTTTGGAATATTCTTTAACTTGGTAATATCTTTATTGATTATATATTTTTAAGGATCTTTGTTTCCCAGCTCTGATGCAGTGAAGCTGGGTTGATTCTTTAAAATGTGTTAACTCATCTTTTGTAATCCATCTTTACTGAATGTAAATTCTTACTAGCACACTGGCACCCTGGAATATTCAAAGAAGTTATTCTTCCTGGAATATTCTCCTTTGGATCAGAAAACTCAGGCAGGGCATATCTGCTTTATCCACACTTCTTTGTTTTTTTTTTGAGACAGAGTCTCTCTTTGTTGCCCATGCTGGAGTGCAATGGCACGATCTCTGCTCACTGCAGCCTCTGCCTCCCGGGCTCAAGTGATTCTCCTGCCTCAGCCTCCTGAGTAGCTGGGGTTACAGGCTCCCACCACCACGCCCAGCTAATTTTGTATCTTTAGTAGAGATGGCGTCCTGACCTCAAATATTCCTCCTGCCTCAGCCTCCCAAAGTGCTGGAATTACAGGCATGAGCCACTGCGCCCAGCCTATCCACACTTCTAGAACTGCCCATTTTCTATAACTGCCCCTTTCATTCTCATAATGTCAGGCCCTGCATTCTCCAGACCTACCCAGTTACATGAAGCCTCTAGTCTCTGATCCATTCTCAAACAAGCCTGCAGTACTTTATTAGCTTTTATTGGTGGAGGGAGTTCCCATGTACATCTTACCATTCAAATCAATTTTCCTGGGGTCCCTGGCCCCTTGGTTGTACATTGAACTGGAATATTCTCCTCTAAATGCATAGACACTAAGCTTCCTCCAGCTTCCTGGAGCAAAACCTGATTTCCTTAGGCATAAAGTCCCACTGCCCACAGTCCCAGCTTCACGACCCTTACCCTGACCAGCTGCTTCATCTGTGGTAGGTCCCCTTCTCCGTGGTCTGGACCCTGATTTCATGATAGTCCCATTAGTTCTGCCTTGGACCATGCCCTCTTCTTAGATACCAAGGCCAGCTCAGATTGGGGCTGTGTCTTTCCTGCCTCTGAACCCTGTGGTTTGGCTTGCTGGGCAGCCTTCCTAGCTGTTCACCTAACTCAGCTCTGCAGGTTTCCCACTGGTTCTTCTCCGTGTAGCTGGCGTCATTTCTCTCCACTCTGATTCCCTTCCCCTTCTTTTATAAAATCTTTGCTTTACCAGTCATGTGTCTCACATTACTTTCTGCTAATCACATTGACAGCCAGTATCACACAAAGTAGCATCAGAATGTTCTCCGTTCCCCCCCACAAACCTTTTCTGGCATGATGATTTTATATGTTTAATTAAACTGTAAACTTCTAGAGAGATTGGACCATGCCATAGCTCCTTGCAACCATGATGACCACATGTTCGTCACTTGACTGGTTAAATTTTGTTCCTATGTAAAAGTTATTCTGCCATTTCCTAATGCCATGTGAAGAAAATTCCCAGCTGCAAAATGTCAACCTTAAGAATTATTTGTAGGTTTTCACAATCTACCTCTGTGACATTTAAATCCTCATTCCCCCTTTTTATTATATTAAAAGTATTTTAGAGTATCAAATGCCAAAAAAAAAAAAAAAAAAAGAGAGAGAAACTTTCATCATTCTTTTGGGAATGTTACATTTTGTCCTCTAAGATACCCTGCTCTGGGGGCCAGGGGTAAAACAGTTGAAGAAAGTTTGGAAAAGATATCATCTATAGAATCATTAACATCTTTCACTGAAAACTTAAGATTTAAAAAAAATGCAAATATTTCACCTTTTCATGGTCATTTTAAAACCACAATTGAGTAAGTTCTGCTGAACTCACTGCAATGGTGGGGGTAGGGAGTGTAGCGGGGAGAACCATTGGAATGTTCCAATGCAATAGTTTGAAAAGAACAAAAGCAGAGGAAATATAAAGCTTCCCTGAATGGCATAATTTACATCAAATTCTTATAGCTCACATTTGCTTAGTTCAAAGATTTCTATGAAATTTGAGTTTTACTTAAATTGAGACCTCATATTAATATTGTCAGCAATCAAGATTATTCTTTTTGATCTTCTATTACTTAATGGATTTTAGGATTTAAAAAAATTAGTTGGCCTGAACTCCATGCCCTATTTCTATATGCCCTAATCCTAAATATTGTCATGGTCAGCATGATTTACTTATTGGTACCTGTTGATTGTGGTGATACCCCGAGCATTCCATTCTGGATACGTCTGTCCCTGGAGCTGGCAGTCTAAGGTCCATTGGCCCTGCTGGGATGGGCTTCCCAGGCTGCGGTGGTGTTGGAGCAGGTGATCAAAGATGGATGAGATGTTTCTCTTCCTACCAAGACTGTCCCTGAAATCAGGTTGGTTAGAAAGGAAGATCCCTGGTCCCCCCAATGGACCTGGTAGCTCCTCAGGAGACTCTTTCACAATGCTCTCAGCCAATTTCTTTGAGCACTAAAAGTTATGCAAATTCTAGGAATTTATCAAGAAGTAAAGGACAACCCTCAGTAGGGTAAAGCCAGTCTGAGTCCATGTGGAAGGGCACTGTCATGAGTTACTAAGATGCTTCTGCAGTTTTTGAGCATCAGTTTCAAAATTTAATAGAACAGAGCAGTTGCAGATATTCTACAATTTGGGCCTGATCCATTACGTGGGGGATTGCCTGGTTTTGAGAAGCAAACTGAAGATATGACTTCAAAGCCATAAATTCTCCTTTTCTCTCCTTCCTCATTCTGCCTCATTTTCTCTCTCTCCCCATCAACACTCTATTTAAAAAAAATAAAGCTAGTGCATTTTATTTACAGGTTAATTTATGAAAATTACATAATAAGTTATTTTTATATTTTAAAGCATTTCTTCTTAATTCTAGAAAGAAATACTTTATCCCTTAATAATAATGAATTTTAACCGAAATCTTGTCTGTGGAATTCGATTAAATATTTCTTTAAAACTTTCCCTTTTTCTTTTAACTTAGAGACAAACTTTCTCGGGGCTTTGCCAGCTTACGGTCAAAAGCTTTTCTTAGCTTCTGTCAGTGCAAATTTCAACTAAGAAAGTAATTTTTTAAATTGCCTTTTTTTATAGCCAAATTTCTGCTCCTTTGTAGCATCTCTTCTCTTTCTTTGGAGAGAGGAAGAAAGAGAAGGAGAGCAGGAAAGAGAGAGAATTTCTCAGGACAAAATATGCAAACTTCCAGAAGTATGCGTTTCTCTCAACAAGGTAATTTATTTTCTTTTGAAGAATGAAAAAGACTCTATTGTCTATTTATTATGAAATTAATATATACAAGAAAGATAAGAAAAACTGGTTTCTTCTCCTATAACCCGCCCCTCTACTGACAACCAGTGTTTACATTTTGTGATATTTCCTTTTCTTTGCATGACAGTGCATGTATATAGACATACACTGTTTTTGGAAAGAAGAATACATTCATTTACTGTCTGGTTATTTGCTTTTTTCATTTAATGTTTCACTGACAATCTTTTATGTTAATAAATATAAATCTCTAACAGTTTTCTTTGTGGTGGTATAGGGTTCCATTGAATCAATGTACTATAATTTATTATCAATAGGCTATCGTTACACAATTCGTTCCTTCCTTTCTTTCTTCCTTTTTTCTGCTTCTTTGGGCAGAATTTCAAATGTTGGTATAACCACATCTTTGTGTCTTCTCGGATGATTTATTTGGGTTAAATTCCCAGATATGGAATTTACTGGATCAAAGGGTTTGTATATTTTAATGGCACATTTGATACACATTATCCAGTTGTCTTTAACTTTCTTCCAGTTTTCGCTCAGGACAGCCAGTTTATCTTCAGAATTCTGTGTTGCTCCACTTCCATCAACCTTCAGGTGGCATTCAACTTGAAATTTACGTGTACTTTTTAGCAACGTCCTTAAGAATCTGAGACTTTTAGGGATCTCCTCAAGGAAAAAACAGTGATCATTAACAGTTTTCAGAAAAAGGACAGTGCAAATCTCCTTAAGCAGAAGATATTTAAGTGGTTTCATCACAATATTGCATTTATACATTGGAGTAATGGTAAATGTAGTGGTTTCATTGTATTACTACATTTGCACATCACAGTCAATGTGGAATGGCCAGGAAGGTTAGGAAATAAACAGGGGGTTGCTGCTTTCATGGTCTTTCATGGACGCTATCACATTGCCAAGTTCTAGTGACATTCCTCTCATTTAATGTTATGCAGAGAACAGTCATATTCCAGAAGATCACAATTCCTGATTTCATTTCCATTTCCTTCTCTGTGATCCTTTTGCTTTTCCACTACAATCTCCTGAAGGTAGATATTTAAGTACCTTTTATCATAGACTTTTTACGAGGTCAGAATGAGTGCATGAGAATGGAAGGAAGGATTTTTCAGAAAATGCAAATGTTTTGAAAACCCATCAGAGAGGTGTTAGAGATGATCATTTACTTTTGACATGAAATCATGGTAGTTTTAATTGTTTCTCACAAAGGTCTTGGGTATAAAACTCAGAGCATCAAGAAAATGGACCAGAGTCGAACATGTCAGCAGAAGAAAATTGTCTAGTTTTTGAAGAATATAAATAATTGGGATTGCATTTTGAAAATGCTGTCTTGCTTTCTCATCTCAAATGCTCTCTCTGACATTTGGGTTTTGAATGCCATGATATTTTTGGTATTCACGTGCATTCTTCACAAGCAATCCTCACATGGTTGTCCTGTTTTAATGCCGTAATTGTGAGTTTGACCTACAAAAGTTATATTTGCTTGGTAGACAAATGGATAATCTCCTTAAATAAATACATGACAAATGCTGTTTGGCTGCATCGCTAATAACAGATGACAGCCTCTGGAACATTCCATGATAAAAAACAGGGATCACGTCATCTGCTCATTTATCTGCATCCTTGTTTATCATCAACTAACATTTATGGATTAATGACTACATGTAGGACACTGTTCCCAGGACTGGGAATACAAAGAAATACCAGGTCCCAATCCCTGACTTTAAGAGATTTTAGCCTCCAAACAAACAAGTTATACTCATTATGTAACTCAGATAAATCTTGTTGTCTCATGTCCTAGTCTTGTTCATAAAGTCACATTCAAGTAACCAAAAATTAAAACACTGTATATGTTTACTCATCTTTTTGAGGGATTATGAATAAGAGTGGAAAAAATGCATTCCTGTCGTGCAGCAAAAAACTGCATCCATCTTATCTTGTCCTTTCTCTTCTCTTAATAGTCTCCATGTGTTTGGCACCTGCTTTCTTAAATTCTCTCTCCCACTATCAAGGTCTGCTTCCCAATGTCTCAGCCTTTGAGGCTTTCCTTTCCTTTCTCTTCTTGTCCTGTTCCTTTAGCACAGTGCTTTATATGTCACTGTAGCCTCTCTGTTTGTTTTTAGTTCTTCTATTTCCTTCCTTACTTGGATTCTCCACTGCAAAGAATTTGACTGGGAGATGACCCAGCAAGCTGGCCTTTCTCCCTTTCAAGCTGAAGTAAGGGGCAATTGCTAACATTCATGTAACATGTAATTGTTACTCTAGTTAGACGTTAATGATTTTGAGATGATGTGGCACATCAAGAGATTAATCGGAAGATCAAGGAGTGTCTATTCAATATTAGATGAACTGTACAGTCCATTTAGGGTCTACATGAATTCACATCGCAAGTTGAGAGTAGTCACCAAGGGGCAAGTGAAGGCTTTAGAACTCGAGGTGTATCTTGAGCTTGGCCTTGAACTGAAGAGCAGGTATGAGAGGGAAAGGCATTTGGGGTAAAGGGGAACGGTGTGAGTAACAACACGGGAGGGAGAATGCTCTGTTTAGAAATAATAGGACAATTTGGCTAGGGTAGTGGAAAGTTATGGAAAATTAACAAAGGGATAGGATGTAAGAGCCAGACTGCAAAGGGGTGTGTGTGCTGTGTTGAGATCTGTATTTAGCTTGTAGGCAGTGGTGATGCAGGGTTTTAAGTAGAGGAGGGGGTGCTGGTGGTGGCTGTGGTGGAGATATAACATGGGGAGTGTTATGGAGTAGCTTTTGGTAAAATGAAGAGCCAGAATCCAGTGGGTGGAAGTGGGAGCAAAAGCAGGCCTATGGGTGTCAGGACCACTGTCAAAGTCAACTCTAGACGTGCTTGTGTGTGAGGGAAGTACTGAGAAACAAGGTGGCAGAATCAAGAGTGACAGACACCACGGTTTCAGGGGGGGAGGTCTCATCAATGGGAATATACCAAGTTAGAAAGAAAGGTTCTTTTCTGAAAAGAACTGCTGCATTGCATTTGGATGTGTTTTTGGCATTCAGTGGGCAGTTAAAAGTGCAGAACCCCAATTCACGGGGAGGCCAGGGGTAGAAGTTGAGTGCAGAGGTGGGAGTCTTCCGTAGGGAGGTTAGAATGGAAGCTGCTGGGGAGGAAGGAACACACAGAGAGAGAAGGCGTGGGGAGCAGAGAGAAGGAATCTGGGTAAACGCGAGTGTTGAGCTATGTGTAGCACATGGGAGGAGAAAGTGAGCCAGCCAAAGAGGAGTAAGGGAGAGGTGGAGCTGGAGACAGATGGTGAGAGGGAGTGGGAGGGGAAAAGCAAATCCTAGAGGGAATTTCAAGGTTTGAGATTTTAGCAGCAAGTAGATTTCAATGGCGGTAAACTCTGAGTGTGGCTTCCCTCTTCTGATGAGGCAGCTTCCTCCTTCCTGCACATCGGGCCCAGGCCTGGGCATCATCCTTAACTTTACTCTTTCCCACATCTATTTATCAGAAGGACACTCGGGCTCAAACTTCAACAGATCTCACATCTGACCTCATTTCTCCACCTTCACGGCTACTAGCATGGCCCAACCCCCAGCCTCTCTTACCTAGGTTATTGCAGAAGCTGCCTCACTGGCCTCCCCGCTTCACCCCAGGCCCCTACAACTGGGACCATATTTGGGGAGGACCATTTTATGTCTCATCTCTGCTCACAATCCTGCAATGGCTCTCATTTCCCTCAGAGCAGAAGCCAAGACTTAAACACAGACAAAATCTTCCATGTCTGCCCCTTAATTCTCTGATCCTGGCTTCCCCTCTTCTCCCCCGTGCTCCTACCACTTCCAGAACTTCCCAGGCATCCCTGTGCCTTGGCTTTTGCACTGGCCACGCCCTCATCTGGACTCCCTCCCCCACCTGCTTTGCCTCTTTGTTTACTCATCACCTTCTCAGTCTAACCTCCACTCTTATACAACTGCAACCCCGCTTCTCCTCTCGTGCCCCTCATACTCCACATGCCTGTGCCCTGCTCTCTTTTCCCCCATAGAATGTATCACTCTTGATTTTTTTTTTTTTTGAGATGGAGTTTTGCTCTTGCCCAAGCTGGAGTGTAATGGCGCAAACTCAGCTCACTGCAACCTCTGCCTCCCAGGTTCAAAGGATTCTCCTGCCTCAGCCTCCCACGTAGCTGGGATTATAGGCGCCCAACACCATGCCTGACTAATTTTCATATTTTTAGTAGAGACGGGGTTTCACCATGTTGGTCAGGCTGGTCTCCTGACCTCAGGTGATTTGCCAGCCTTGACCTCCCAAAGTGCTGAGATTACAGGCGTAAGCCACCACACCTGGCCCACTTTCTAATATAGACTATAACACCTATTTATTACCTGTCTCTTCTGCTGGAATGTAGGCACAATGAATGCAGGGAACTTTGTGTGTTTTGCTTACTGTTGCATCAAAATGACTTATTTCAGTACCTGGTTCATAGTAGGTATGCAATAAATGTTTACTGAATAAATTCGGTAAATATTACATTCCTGGTAAATAGTCAGGAGGAATTATTCTGTAAGTGTGGAAACCCAACTCCAACTTGCTTACAGGAAACAACCAAAAAACCAGCTAGCAAAGGTGATAAGCGAGAATCTCATGCAGTTGAAAGTCCAGGGGTGGATCTGGTTTCAGTAAGTGTTACAGCCAGCTGGAATCACACAGATCTCCTGGAAGAAAATTATGGCCCTCTGAAACGTTTGGTTTCGACTTGTTTTAGATTTTGTGCATCTGATCATATTTCGTAGAATACATTGTGGAGATGCATTGATGCACGTGCTCACACCCATCCATCCATTATACATACAGGCACACATCCATGGGAGCACTTCTGTAAGTGCAGTGAGCCCTCTGAATCTGTGGATTCCACATCTGCCAATTCAACCAACCATGGATCAAAAATATTTGAAAAAAATAAAAAATAAACAATAATAATGTAACAAAAATAATACAAATAAAAAACTAATACAGTGTAATAATAATTTACATAGCATTGACCTTCTATTAGGTATTATAAATAATCTAGAGATGATTTAAAGTATATCAGAAGATGTGCAGATGTGCATAGGTTATATCCAAATACTACTCCATCTTATATAGAGAACTTAAAAAATTTTTTTTTTTAATTTTTTTGAGATGGAGTCTTATTCTGTCATCTAGGCTGGATTGCAGTGGCTCGATCTTGGCTCACTGCAACCTCTGCCTCCCAGGTTCAAGTGATTCTCCTGCCTCAGCTTCCTGAGTAGCTGGGACTACAGGCGTGAGCCATCATGCCCTGTTAACTTTTGTATTTTTAGTAGAGTCTAGGTTTCACCATGTTGGCCGGGATAGTCTCAAACTCCTGACCTCAAGTGATCCGCCCACCTTGCCTCCCAAAGTGGTGGGATTACAGGCTTGAGCAACTGCGCTCAGCCTATGTAAGGGACTAGAACATCTTCAGATTTTGGTATCTGTGGGGGTTCCTGGAACGAGTATCCTGTGAATACTGAGGGATGACTGTATACACAACCACAGATGCACATTCATGTATATGCACACACATAGATACGCATCCATCCATAGGCACACACATACAGAGATGCACAGACATGTATATACACAGACATAGATACGCATCCATCCATAGGCACATGCATACAGAGATGCACATTCGTGTATATGCACACACATAGATACACATCCATCCATAAGCACACATATACAGAGATGCACAGACATGTATATGCACATAGGTCATTTACAAGATTTGGTAGGTATAATAGATCATTATAAAAGAATGATCTGTTGGCTTAGGGCCAGGTGTGGTGGCTCATGCCTGTAATCCAAGCACTTTGGGAGGTTGAAGTGGGAGGATTGCCTGAGCGTAGGAGTTTAAGGCCAGCCTGGGCAACATAGAGAGACCTCATCTCTACAGATAATAAAATTTTAAAAAAAAGGAAACGTATAGCTTGGAGCATTCAAAAGTGAGTGTGTAGGTCAGTAGGGATGCGTAAAAGAAACAATGGTTTGCAAAGAAACATTTAGAATTAGAAATAATGCTATAATTATAATAATGAGTGTATGGCATAAATAGTTAATATCCATGACTACAAAGCAATTGCAAAATAAAAATTATTTTCTATTAGTGCGATACTTGTATTTTATAAATCATTTCCTTTAGAATATTAAAGTGTGATTGACTCCTACAAATAAGCCTGAATCCAAAGCCTGCATTTCCTACTGCGGAGTCAGGTCTCTCTCCTATGCTGCAGGCAGCCCTTACCAAGGCAGGGGCCTAAAAATGACATTAGAAATGGAAACTAGAAGCTGGGCACAATGGCACGCACCAGTAGTGCCAGCTACTGAGGAGGTTGATGTGGGAAGATTGCTTAAGCCCAGGAGTTCAAGTCCAGCTTAGGCAACATAGTGAGACATCATCTCTAAAAAAATTAAAACAATAAAAAATAAATAAAATGAAAGCAGGGGGCCTCTTGGAACACGGCTTAAAAACCAAAAAAGAAATGGAAACTAGAAAAGCATGAGATCTACTTGATATGCTTGATGATTTTTTCTTTCTTTGGAATAGGAACAAAAGTTCATTTTTGTTTAGTTTTGTTTTCAGACATCCGTCTTTTATGCTGTGATCCGTGTTAGATATTCTAATAGTGAAGGCAGTCTGTTCACACTCAGATTGGGATTTTGGACAGTAAAGACTGTGAGGGAGAGGGATTGAATTTTTAATTTGCTGCATTGACTATTACAGAAAGAATTGATGATCAGATAGCGGTACAAGACTTTTGTAGAGACTGAAGCATAAATAAAATCTGTTCTGGACAGATAAGGGAGACTCTTTTCAGCCTACTGAGATGATAGTCACATTGAATTACAGAATTTAATTTCAGGAGAGAGCTGATTGGGAACAGGGACAATCAGTAATTCATTATTTCTTGGTAAACCCTCAAAGCAGGATCGGTGGCATTGTTCATGGTCTGCAGCAAGGCGTGGTTTAGAATGAGGCCTTCTACCTAAATTGGCTTGGGGCTCTGTGCTCAAGATATGTAATCCTGGTTAAGGTTGAAGTTACTTTGCTCCATGGTCAGGGCTGTTTTTGGTGACTGCCTGCACTGAAGCCGTTAGCCAGTTGGTTCTCATCACTACCAGCTTTCTTTTCTGGGTTCCTTGTTTCTCTCTGCCACTTTGTCTCTCTTGTATGCCCATATTTGCCATCACCATAGTCAGCTCACTTACCCTCTTGTATTTGTGTGTTCACATATTCCTCCTTCCCTTTCAAAATGTTTTCTGAGTGCCTACTGTGCACTAGGCACCTGCTTGGAGCTGGTGATAGAGCAATGAACAAATCAGACAAAAGTCTCTGCTCTCATGAATCATAGGTTTTAGTAGGGTGCAGAATAAATAGAAAATTACAACTGTGATCAGCACACTGTGCTATGACTGTAGTTGATAATAAAAATATAACAACCTTGTGGAGGAGGGTTTACTACCTTGGAGAAGGACTATTAGGCTGAGATATTAACTAGGCAATGGGGAAAACCCCTTGTAGGCAGAAGGTTGGAACTGCTTGTGCAAAAGCCCTGTTGTTGGAGGGAGTGCATAATATTAGAGGAACTGCAACAAAGCATGAGGCTGGAGCTTGGAGAGTAAGGAGGAAGGTGGTGGAGATGTGGTGAAGAGGTAGCTTGGGTCAGACATGTTGGGCTGTGGAGGCCATGATGGGATCCTAGTGACAATGAGGAGGCATTGAAGGGAAGGTTGAAAAACACATTTATCCTGGTGTAGGATCCCAGTGAAAATATATGCATCTTAATTTTGCAGAAAAACAAGTCATCCCTAAGTCAATAGCTTCCATACCTGGCCAACAGACATCTGGGGGAGCAGGTAAACCCACAGGTGTCTTGGAGCCTAAGTTACAATTGATTAAATAAACTCTTTAGGCAATTATGAATCACTGCAGATTCTAGGTATTTGTGAGCCTGATGGGAGAGAGGCTGGGTGCCGAAGACCTTTCTGGATCTCTAGCAAGTGGAAAAATAAGGAAGACTGCCTGAGAGCTTCTTGAGGCCTGAGGCTGAGGGTATGACAGCACCCGTGATGCAAATGCTAATATGAACTAGAAATAACCCAGGCTGAGTCAGAGTCAACCTTCCCATACATCTACAGTTTTTCTTCTCTCAAATCATGGTGCACCACTGGGGCTTCATTGCAATACATTGGTTAGTTCTATTTTTAGTGCAATAAATACATGCACTGAAAAATAAAGTGTTATGCATAATTTAAGAAGCAAATGCAACCCAAATGAGAAATCTCATTGAACACTTGAAAATTCAGGTAATTTCTTTCATATGACCTTGACCACTTCAACTTGGGATTTTAAATCAGTGTGGAGCAAAGAGCTGTATTAGAACAAAGACAATTGAAAGATCATGTTCACAATGCTTGCAATAGCCAGGCAGGTAAACATGTCAATCAACAGCTTTTCACGTTAGCTCATCTGAAGACCTGATTCCCGGACTCCCTAACGTTTATGAAGTCATCTGCAGCCCAATTAGCTATGTTTAGAATCTCCCATTGCCCCTCACATCAACACAGAGAAGTTATTATTATTTCGACATTCATAGTAATGCCATTAATCAGGAGGCATTCATTGAGTATTAATGACCAGATGTGGTGGGTGATTGGATATGAGTGCTACAGTAATTTAAAACTGATTTACTAGTATTTGATAAGTTGAAACTGTACTAGTGGGAGATAAAGTGATACAATTTGAACTGATTATGAAAAGGTGATCAAATAGACATTGAAAAAGAGATTAAATAAAGAATTTTAATTGTATATTCTGTGCAAGCCAAAAAAATTTCAAAGGAAAGTGCAAATTAATTTTCATGTTCTACCAATGGGTATTCAGAAACTGGCATTTTAAAAAGGTGTCCTATTATGATGTGGTTCTTACAGGCAATAAGAAAATATTTTTGCTAATTGGAGATTACTTAATGTGAGAAATAGGCACATTGGGAGATTTGACAGCTCTACTTGTAAATTTTGCTTCAAAAAAAGATTTTATAATTTGAATATTTTTATACCATTATGCCAACCAATCTGTCTTGTATTAGTTTCTGGTTATACTTTTTAAAAAAAGTCTTTCAAATCCTATGAATGGTAGCCATATCTTGTTTATTCACATATTTTTTACAACTTTAAGTAATGCCTAGAGCCAAGGCTTTTTAATGGAGAGACGGGGCATGAATTATTCAAAAAGGCAGATAGTAAAAATCATTTACTTGCATTTGAATGTATGGTATGCTTTTATTTGGACATTATTTAAAAATTCTAGCAATAATTTTTAAAGAGTAGCAATCATTTAAACAAATTCCATTTCATAGATTTGAATTGAGAAGGGCTTAGAGGACTCTCTGAATGACCTCCATGCTTTCATCCTGGCATTGCTGTTTTCTCAGGGAGCAAACTTTTCCAGAGCCTCTTCCTCAGACTTCTAACAATTCTAAGTTCCACTTAGGACCTGCCGTACATTGAGTGTTTATTTCCTCCCCAAATTCATATGTTGAAATCCTAACACCGAATATGAGGAGTGTTTGCAGCTGGGGCTTTTGAGAGGTGATGAGGTCACAGGGGCAGAGCCCTCATTAATAGGATTAGTGTCCTTATGAAAGAGACCCCAGAGAGCTTCCTCACTTCTCCTGCTATGTGAGGATACAGTGAGAAGATGACCATCTGTGAGCCAGGAACGGGCCCTCAGTGGAACTCAATCTACTTGTACTTCCCAGCCTCTAGATCTGTGAGCAATAAATTTCCTTTGTTTTAAAGCCATCAGTCTATGGTCATTCATTACAGCCACCAAACTCAATAAGCCAGGACTCCATTTTAAATACATGTTGGTTGCTTATGTTGCTGGTGATGATGATGATGATGATGGTGATGGGGTGATGATGTTGATGATGATGGTGATGGGGTGAGGATGATGATGATGATGGTGACGGGGTGATGATGATGGTGGTGATGGGGTGAGGATGAGGATGATGATGGTGATGTGGTGAGGATGATGATGATGATGGTGATGGGGTGATGATGTTGATGATGATGGTAATGGGGTGAGGATGATGATGATGATGGTGATGGGGTAAGGAGGATGATGATGATGGTGATGGTGTGATGATGATGATGGCGATGGGGTGAGGAGGATGATGATGGTGATGGGATGAGGATGATGATGATGATGGTGATGGTGTGATGATGTTGATGATGATGGTGATGGGGTGATGATGATGATGATGGTGATGGGGTGAGGATGATGATGATGATGGTGATGGGGTGAGGAAGATGATGATGGTGATGGGGTGAGGAGGATGATGATGGTGATGGGGTGAGGAGGATGATGATGATGGTGATGCTGTCATGATGTTGATGATGGAGATGAGGTGAGGAGGATGATGATGATAGTGGTGGGGTGATGATGCTGATGATGATGTTGATGGGGTGATGATGTTGATGATGATGGTGATGGGGTGAGGATGATGATGATGGTGATGGGGTGATGATGTTGATGATGATGGTGATGGGGTGAGGATGATGATGATGGTGATGGGGTGATGGTGTTGATGATGATGGTGATGGGGTGAGGATGATGATGATGGTGATGGGGTGAGGATGATGATGATGATGATGGTGATGGGATGAGGATGATGATGGTGATGGGGTGAGGATGATGATAATGGTGATGGGGTAAGGAGGATGATGATGATGGTGATGGGGTGATGACGATGATGGTGAAGGGGTGAGGAGGATGATGATGACGGTGGTGGGGTGATGATGATGATGGTGATGGGGTGATGATGTTGATGGTGATGGGGTGATGATGTTGATGATGATGGAGATGGGGTGAGGAGGATGATGATGATGGTGATGGGGTGATGATGATGATGGTGATGGGGTGAGGAGGATGATGATGACGGTGATGGGGTGATAATGTTGATGATGATGGTGATGGGGTGATGATGATGTTGATGATGTTGGTGATGGGGTGATGATGATGATGGTGATGGGGTGATGATGTTAATGATGATGGCAATGGGGTGAGGATGATGACGATGATGGTGATGGGGTGATGACGATGATGGTGATGGGATGATGATGTTGATGATGATGATGGGGTGAGGATGATGATGATAATGGCGATGGGGTGATGATGAAGATGATGATGGTGATGGGGTGAGGATGATGATGATGATGGCGATGGGGTGATGATGATGATGGTGATGGGGTGAGGATGATGATGATGGTGATGGGGTAAGGAGGATGATGATGATGGTCATGGTGTGATGATGTTGATGATGATGGTGATGGGATGAGGAGGAGGATGATGATGGTGATGGTGTGATGATGTTGATGATGATGGTGATGGGGTGAGGAGGATGATGATGGTGATGGGATGAGGAGGAGGATGATGATGGTGATGGTGTGATGATGTTGATGATGATGGTGATGGGGTGAGGAGGATGATGATGGTGATGGGATGAGGAGGAGGATGATGATGGTGATGGTGTGATGATGTTGATGATGATGGTGATGGGGTGAGGAGGATGATGTTGATGATGTTGGTGATGGGGTGAGGAGGATGATGATGATGGTGGTGGGGTGATGATGTTGATGATGATGTTGATGGGGTGAGGATGATGATGATGATGGTGGTGGGATGATGATGTTGATGATGATGGTGATGGGATAAGGATGATGATGAAGTTGATGATGATGGTAATGGGATAAGGATGATGATGAAGTTGATGATGATTTATAGTGTCCTTACATAATGCTTGCACTTTCCTAAAAACTATTCTGATATTAAGACCTTTAATCATAACAACCACCCCAGGAAATAGATAGTGCTATTATTTTTATTTTAGAAAGAAGGAATCCAGGACATGAAGGGTATAACTAACTCTCTCAAAGTCACAGAGCTGGTGAGAACTCAGGCCATCTGGTGGCAGAGCCTGGTGTAATCTTTCCATTACCCTTGTGTCAGCACAGGAGCCTGGTATCTCATTTAAATATTCATAGTAAAGCCACTAATCAGGAAGCATCCATTTGGAATTAATGAATGGATATTATGGGCAATTACCACTTCTGTAATGTGAAACATACTCTATACAGAATACATAAAGTGTTAAAAATCGAATTATAGAATATACATGTTTATATGCATATTTCATATATCCCTATTTAATCAGAGGAATGACATTAGACACTTTTGCTAAGTTGATGTTCCCACTCCTCCCTATTCAATATAAAGCGAGCCACCTTGATGACTACTCAGCTTTGTCACTACAAAGGAAGAGGACCGAGAAGGGGATGTGATGGAGTTAGTATTTTGTGTTTATGACTCTAAGTAGTAGCTGAATGGTGATTCTTTCTGGGCCAGGTGGCAGAGGTGGTGGGATGTGGCCCAGGAGGGGTTTTGTGTGATTTATTTACAGGCCTGTATTGTTTAGGGAACAGGATAAGCTGTTGCAATAGAGAGACCTCAAATACAGTGGCTTCAACAAGGTACAAGTTAATTTCTCCCCACTGTTACCATCAAGAGGTAGTTGGTCTAGGACCGATAGAGTACACTTGTGTGCTCTCAACACACAGGTTCCATCTCTGGATGCAAACTGGCTGTCCAAGCTGTCACAATCACATTGGTATTTTAGCCAATAGGAAGGGCGCGTGCTCGGTCCTTGTAAATGTACAATACGGTATTTCTGTACTTTGTCTCACTGGTCACAGAGGAGAAACATACTTTAGCTGCGTGGCCCAGTTCACAGCAAAAACTCCACATCCCATTATTATAGGCATGAGAGGAGAATAGATATCAGTGGGCAATTAGCAGTTATTCCCGCAGTTCAAATACTCAACTAGGACAAATGATTTGACTTAGGACACATAACTTAGTCTAATATTAATGGAGAGAGGAGTGTGGTAGGGTGAATCTTGAAAAAATATTAAACAGAAATGTAGCACGGTGGCTAATAACACTTTACTATGGGAATAGAAATTTCTTTTGGAAAAGTGTAGAATGTCAGTCTAGGAAGGACTCTCAATATAATTTTTTTTTGTTCACTCTTTAAGCCTGTATTTTGATATTAAATAAATTTTAGAGTTTTCTCTGCAGGATGAATAGACAGAGAGTGTACCTGAGATGTTTATAAAGTAGGAAGGTAGTTGTTAAGGATTGCTATATTTGACAGTAAGGTTTGTTGAGAATAAGCCAATCTATCTTCAGGTGATAGCAAGTTGATTGTATGTTTGCTAGGATATCATCACAGTATCTTTACAATTTTTTTCCCTAGAGCAAATGATATTACTTAATATGTAATTTTCATAGTCATTTGGCTAGGTATAATCTACCTGATGGTTTACATAAGTGACAAAGGTAAAAATATTTGGACCATTTCTGGGATGTACTGTTGTGTCTTCTAATTTGGAAAGCATTTTTTGGCCATACTTTACTTAGGAACCCAGAGAAAATGAGAGATTCTGTGTGGGTGAATTTTCCAAAAAGCAATTTGCTCTTTTAAGCATCTAAACGTGCCTTACAAGCAAGCAAGCAAACCACAAGTAACCTTTAGTTGGAAATTTTTAAAAGCCTTTTTACAAAAGGTGAGAATACTCTACATGAAATCCTGGGATAGTTGGTGTGACCAGGCAAGTGACATTCTTCAGTGATGGAGGCATAATTGTGATAGTCCATGGGTGTGGTGACACTTTTTAAATGCTTATTTAATGCCCCCGGCCCCTTTACCTCCTGGTTTGGACTGCGTTCTGCTTACGTGTAATGGAAGGACATCTGAGTCCACACAGCTGAGGTATGTTAGTAAGCCTCGTGTAATCATTGCCACCCTGGACTGGGTCCTGGCTCAAGTTTGCTCTCAGCATCGAGCAATTTTTGCACCTGGCCCGACATTGTCAAGAGTTGATTTATTTCTCCAGTTTTGTTTCCCAGCCCACAAGTATTGAGTCACAAATCCAGGGGGATCCTGACCGGCTTATTAGCTTTGCACTAACCTTATCCCACCTTCTGAAAGAGTTGGCACAGGTGTGCTGTTTCACCCCTGCCTCTGAGGGGTGAGATGCGGGATTGCAGGTGTTTGTCTTCCCCCACCTCCGAGTTAATGCAAAATCCCTGGGTCTTCATCTGGGGATGGAATCTGTGATATTGCAAACCTTTCATGCCTATCTGGTGCCAGCCATGGGACTTTGTGGACTGTGAACCATTTTTTTAGGTTATTGGTTTGTGCCAAATGACTTGTTGTGTCTTAATAGGAAAACTTGGCACAGTCTGTTTCCAACACGTACTGCTCAAATATTTATGGTCAGAATTTCTATTTTCCACTTATGCTTTCCCTTTAACAGGAAAGAAAATGGTCTTTAGCCAAATGGCTGAAGTGAGAAAAGCAAATCCCATTTGCTATTAATCCCAATGAGGTGTTAACTACAAAGTCCATTTAAGACTCTTTAGTATTAATATTAAGGGAGACAAGCAGTAAAACAAACAGTTAATGGCCTGAAGCCCAGCATTTTGTGCTTCCACTGATGCTTGACCACTCCATTCCAGAGATAATGACTGGAGCCCCTTTTGGTTGTCCTCAGCTTTGCATTTGCACCAAGGGAGGTGAGCTTGGCAAAGTCTTGGTTTTAAAAGGGCCATAATGATGGCAGAACATTTCATTGCCATCCTAATGAGCACAGCTTGGAGTTGTGGGCAAGAGCAGAGTAAGTGCATTTGTTTGTGTGATAGGAGAGTGGGGAAGGAGGAGAGTGGAAATGGAAGGAGAGAGAAGGAAACCCAACTTTTATTTGTCATCATAACCAGTTACTCAAGGGTGTTAACAGATCCCTGGATAATCTTTGGAGAAAGTTCCCCTTCATTACAGTTTTAAACTCATTAGGGAAATCTCCCAGTTGTGTAGCAAATAGAAGTGAGCCTCTCAAGTCCAGCACTGTCATTTTTCCTCCTCCCTCCTTCCTTCCCTTTCTTCTGTCTTTTTTTTCTCCAGCATCTAAATGTTGAGTTGAGCTGTGTAGAGTCCTTGAGACTTCCTTTTTTCTGGTAGACCAAAGTCTCCCTCTTCCATGCTAACGTTGCCAAAGGTCTGACCTCCCGAAGCTGTTTATGTTCTTCAGGTCACAGAGATCTTATCTTTCCTTATAACTCTGCTTTGGGAAAATAATGAAGATATTTATGTTTTAGTTGATTTTTCTAGTATGATGATGGTCTGATATCTATGTCAAACTGTTTATATCATGACTGTCAGGCTGTAGAGCTTGGTTCTGGGCCTTGTCACCCTCTATTCTCTCCCTAAGTACACTTTCCCTGTCCCAGTGGTTTTAATACCATCCGTATTCAGATGAGTCCGAAACTGAAATCTTCAGCCATGATGTTTCTAACTACCCATATTCTACGTCCAACCACCAACTTGATTGCTCCCTTTGGGGGTCTCATCAGCATCCCAAATTTAGTACACTAACGATGGAAATCTTGATTCACTTGCCTACCACCACACCCCCCACAAAGTTGCCTAAACTATCTATGTGTAATTTCTTCCCTTCCCTCATACCTCACATCCAATCTATATGAAAATCTTGTTTGTTCTTTGAGTTGTGGTCTTTGAGAATGCACCAGTCGTGTGTTATTCCCCTGCTTAAAACTCTCCAATGGATTCCCATGGTGCTTGGCAAGGAATCCACATCTTTACTAAGGTTCATGAGACCGGTTGTGATCTGGCCCCTCCTGCTTCTCTGCCTCAGCTAAGACACTGGTGACTGGAGCTCTGTCTGACACACTGACCTCCCCAGCTTTTCTTGCTGGCTCATTTTCACCTTCAGGGCTCAACCTAAATGCTACCTCCTACCTTGACCTCGGCAAACATCTGCTGAATGTTGAATGAATGGACTCAGCTCTCCCTCCATCCTACACTGCTCTCCCTCCCACCCCATCCTGCAGCCCAGTCCTTACATGGACTCATGATCTGTTCAGTTAGGGTGCTTCTGTATTTCAGCCTCATAAATGGAATCACAGACTTAGAATATATACAGTTATGATTTAAGCAAATGTTTATTTGTGAAAACTTTGAAATAACTCGAATTTTACATTTTTTGTGGGTTGCAGTGAGGAATATAAGGTTATAAAAATCAGATGATGATAGAATGCCTTTTTATAACAAAAGATATAAGAACCCTTGACATTTTTGACAGAAAGCCTTTATTTTCTCTTTTTTAAAACTTATATTTGAAGTTCTGGGGTACAAGTGCATGTTTGTTGCATAGATAAACTTGGGTTATGGGGGTCTATTGTACAGATTATTTTATCACCCAGGTATGAAGCCTTGTACTCATTAGTTATTCTTCCTGATCCTCTCTCTCCTCCTACCCTCCACCCTCCAAAAGGCGCCAGTGTGTGTTGTTCCCCTCTATATGTCCATGTGTTCCCATCATTTCACTCCCACTTATAAGTGAGAACATGCAGTGTTTGGCTTTCTGTTCTTGTGTTAGTTTGCTAAGGATAATGGCCCCCAGCTCCATCCATGTCCCTGCAAAGGACATGATCTCATTCTTTTTTATGGCTGCATAGTATTCCATGGTGCATATGTACCACATTTTCTTTATCCAGTTTATCATTGATGAGCATTTAGGCTGATTTCATGTCTTTGCTCTTGTGAATAGTGCTGCAATGAATGTACACATGTAGGTGTCTTTATAATAGAATAATCTATATTTCTTTGGCTATATACCCAGCAATGGATTGCTGAATCAAATGGTATTTCTGTCTTTAGGTCTTCGAGGAATTGCCACACTGTCTTCCAAAATAAGCCTTCATTTTCTTTCCTCCATTTCGACTTTGTTTCTCTGTATTAATTTCCTTTTTTTTTTTCTTTTGTCTCCCTCAGTATCTATCTTATGGTTTGGTTTTCTTTTCCCATCACCCTTCTTAGTCTTTCTTCCTCTTTTACTCTCTCTTTTTCTGTCTTTTCTTCTTTCTTTTATAAATCTCTCCTTTCTATTTCTCTTTCTTGCTTGTAATTCACAGCAGGCTTTATTGGGGCACCTTCATTGCCTCCTATGTGGCACCAGTTCTTCAGCCTAAAAAGACCATGGGAATGCAGGTGTTGACAAAAGCCCATTCCCTATTCTCAAACAGCTTCGTAAATGCATCCAGACTGTCATTCTCACTGCTACTTTACTGGTTTTCGTCTCTGATCAGTTGGCCTGTGGATCTTAGAATTCTGAGTATGAAGACAAGTCTTTCTATACAGACCTCTATGCAGCAGCAACTATGCTATGTACATTGACTTCCTACCATTAAGGAAGAGAAAAAGTGAGCATGTGCTCTGCATTTCTTATAAAGTATGTTGGAAGTGTCTATCAGTTTGAGTGCTGTGTCAAAGAACTCACACTGGCTTTTCAACAGCTCTCAAATGATCACTCTTTTATAAAGCCCCAAAGAACTTCCTTCTTTTGAATGAATTCTATTTCATTTCAGATTCTTCCTGCTGCCCCTTTGTAAGGGGCACAGTTCCTGCTCTTGGCATGTGGAATTTCCTGAGGGCTACTTTGCTTCTGACCCAGCTGCAGTTTGATGAAAGTTAAACCGGACAGTATTGCTTTTCATTATGAGGAAATACAGGCATTTCCCCCTAGATGTGATCAAAGGGAGATATAAACAACTAACTGAAATTGCACTTTTACCTGGAAGGAGCCTCCAGCCACTGTTCTTATTGAGTGAACAGCACATTGCTGCAAATAACATGCTTGTCCTATTGATCCACTTTAGGGGATTGGTTAAAATAATTAGGAGTTACGTGGTAATGTGTGACACACTGTTGCAAAGACTGATTTCAGTAATCATCTATTAACAGATTTTAGGACCAAAATACAGTCTTAATAAGCAAATAAAGCTAATACAGAAACCATTTTCAGAGTTGTCTCTAAGAACTTCAGAGACTTATGATGAACTTGGGAATATCAATTTTGTCTAAATATCATCTCATCACCTAGATTTCAAAAATAGATGAGTAAAATATTCCAATTTTAGATGTGCATAAGGTTGCCTTTAATTCAAGGTGATTTTTACTTTAATAATAAAACGCATCACTCATGTGACTTAGATTAGTTTTTGTACCAGACCAGTGGTTCTTAACTGGAAGCACACATCAGAATTACTTAGAGCATTTTTCACAAAAACATGCCTGCCAGGGACCCATCCAAGACTATAGATTCTGAATCACTTATTTTGGAGCCTGGATATACAGGCTTTGAAAAAGCTCCTGCAAACTTTTGAAGCTACTGGTTTCAACACTAGTTAAGAACTGCTACTTTTGCCTGAAAGTTTGGAGTGGCAGAAACCAAGCGTGACTTATCTTTGTAACCTTAGAATTTACAGTGGTGTCTCACTGGTGGACGCGAGTTCAGTAAGTGTTCATCAAGGAAATGGAAGCAAATTATCTAGAAAACTATGCCTTGTATATTTTTAACTACACATTCATTTGCATTATTGCTGGGTAAGTATAATAGTTAAATAGGACTTTAAAACTAATCATTGGAAGAAAGCCTTGTCTATAACATTTTAGATCATTGTGTGGTCTAAATGCTTAGTAAGTAGACAGAGATGATATAGATCTTAATAAATAGTTTAATGTGAAACTAGAGAATGAAGCAAAGGTATGAAAAATACTTTTATAATAACTGATGTCTGATTTTATCTTTATTATTTTATGCGTAAAAGTGTTACTTGGAATAAGAACTGGTAGCATCCCAACATTCTAGCAGGCTCCATTTCTCTACCAAAGGTAATCACCAGTTGGTAAGCAATTTTTTTTTTTTTAGTAAACTGGAATTTGTACATCCAAATGATTGCTGTTCTTCAAAGTGGACATATTGGATGATAAGACATTTTAAGAACTCCTATTTGGGAATTGTCTTTGCTGCTTTGGCTATTAATGTACCTGTATCTTGACTCCCTACTCACCACTTCTCTAAGACTTGTCCCTTGCCATCAAGGAAGCTTCAGTAAAGGTGGTATAAGAAGCCACCCAAGATACAAAATGATCAGGAAGAGGTACATGATGTTTTACGCCTGAGCACAGATGGACATGGTAGAGCTCAGAGTGGGCTAGAATATGGAGGAGAGGCTTATGAATAAGGTGGTCTCTGAGCTGGATCTCAATGGCTGTAAGACTGGAAGAAGGAGGAGTATTCCAGACAAAGGGGGCATTGTGGAAATGTTTACAGAGTTGGGGTGAGCAAGATGTGTAAAGGCTGCTGGGAGAGGTGTAAGGTGTCTACATGGTTCAGGGCCATAAAGGAAGAATAGAAAGCACCACAGAAGAGGCACTTTTGCCTAAATTGTTAATTTCCTTACTTCCCAAAGCCAATTTAAATAAACTTTTCAGTAAGAAATCTTAGGAAGATAGCAATTAGTTCTCTTTGGACATAAAATACCACTCTGCATCAGACCTGTGGTGCCTGTCTTTACTGAGACACCAAGAGATATTTGTCTCCTAATGCCCTACTTGAAGTTGAGGAATGTCTCCACTCACTCTGACTTTTATTAATCTCCTATCATGACCTTGTTGCCCATGAATTTCCTTCCTTCCCTTTCTCTTTTTCCTTCCTTTCTCCCTTCCCTTCCCTTCCCTTCCCTTCCCTTCCCTTCCCTTCCCTTCCCTTTTCTCTCTTCTCTTCTCTTCTCTTCTCTTCTCTTCTCTTCTCTTCTCTTCTCTTCTCTTCTCTTCTCTTCTCTTCTCTTCTCTTTTCCTTTCAGGGTCTTACTCTGTCACCCAGGCTGGAGTGCAGTGGCATAATCAAAGCTCACTGCAGTCTCCCCTTCCTGTGCTCAAGTGATCCTCCTGAGTAGCTGGGGCTACAGGTGTGTGTGCCATCACGCCCAACTAATTTTTATTATTTATTTATTTATTTTTTTGAGACAGAGCCTTACTCCGTCACCCAGGCTGGAATGAAGTGGCACGATCTCAGCTCACTGCAATCACCTCCCGGGTTCAAGCAATTCTTTTGCCTCTGCCTCCCAAGTAGCTGGAATTACAGGCACATGCCATGATGCCCTGCTGATTTTTGTATTTTTAGTACAGATGGAGTTTCAGCATGTTGGCCAGGCTGGTCTCGGACTCCTGCCCTCAAGTGATCTGCCCACCTTGGACTCCCAAAGTGCTAGGATTATAGGCGTGAGCCATCATGCCTGGCCATTGTAAAATTTTTTGTAGGGACGAGGTTTCACTATGTTGTCCAGGCTGGTCTTGAACTCCTAAGCTCGAGTGATCCCCCAGTCTCAGCATCCCAAAGTGCTGGGACTACAGGTGTGAGCCACCATGCCTGGCTGAATTGAACGTCATACTACTTTTTTGAATCCATCTTCTGCCTGTTAAAAACATTCTTAGCATTGATGTAGGACTTTGCAGATATTCTGTCTCCAGATGCTCCCTGGGACATTAAGTGCAGGGTGACTATATTGTCCCATTGCCTGGGAGAGTCTCACTTTATGCCTGTGTCCAGGCATAATTATAAAAAGTTGTATTTTGAAAGGCATCTTAGTTTTGAAGATAAATTCCATGGTCAGCCTACTTGGGTTATTATTCCTACTTAACAATGTCCAGCACATTGTCTTAGCACCTTTTATGAGTAATGCAGGAATGTTTCTTCTAGATAATTGAGGTGTTGATTGTACGTTGTTCATTTACATTCTGGGCTGGCTAAAGTCATAGCCGTGTCTTCCTCTGTCCCAAGGAGAATCAGGGTAAATGTTTCCCATAGCCTCAGTGATGGGATTTGAGGGATCCCACAGGTCTGAGACAAACCCTAGACAATTATGAATAGAGTTGTTATCGTTGGCAGTTTTCTATTTTCTCAACCAGTACAGGGCCCACAGGAGAAACTGGCATACACAATAGAGATTGAAGTACGGAGGAACCTGCGGCTTTTCACAAGGTGTTTGCCTGGGGGACCTAGGCCACTTAGGAACCCACCTGCGCTGGCATGGCAGCCAACATGGGCAGGCCGGACATGTCAGTTTCTCACTCGGCACAGTTACTCGGGTTCTTCCTTGATGGGTTCCCTTCACCAATTGGTTTGTTCCATTTTGGGTCTTATCCCTGTCCTTTGTCTTGTCCCCACTGCTCCCCTGTGTTCCTCTGTCTAACACTCATGAGATGACATCTTCGCAGGGCTTCCTTCTCTCTATGTATGAGTGCCTCTGATTTCCTGACTTTGAAAAAGAGTCAGGAATTCTGACTAATTCTGCATAGAATGTGGGGAACTGGCTTAGCTTTAACAAGACTTGACTGAATGCCCAGGAAACACACAAGTACAACCCAGAGATCAATTGACCACAGCTACTGGAAGCAGTTCTGAGAGCTAGAGGACCTCATCAGATTTGTGCCAATCCCCTGGCACTAAAGGGATCTCCAGGAATCATTGCACATCAGAATCCCATTCAGAGTGTACAGATTCCTTTTGCTCTTCAATTCAAAGCTTGCTTTATTTTTTGCCCTAGGATGGCCCCCATTTAGCATGGTAGATGGTGGGTATCTACTCTCCCTCACCTCTAGGATGCGATGGCCTGGATGAGCTGAGAAGCCATGTAACCCTGGTGGTTCTTCATGCATTGGTGCATTTCCAAAGCACATGGCCACAGCAATTGATTTCATCCAGGTGGCCTTGTCGCAAGCCCGGGATAATAGCTTTTTATAGTCCTCTGGCCAGACAAAGGAGAAGATGGGGTCTGGCTCCTCTCCTCCCATAGTCCAGGCCTAGCTTTTTGAAGCTCCAAAGCCACACAAAACAGTATAGGCAGATGATGGTATGGATCCCAATTTAAGAGAACCCCACCTGTATTAGTCAGTTTTCACACCGCTACAAAGACATACCCAAGACTGGGTAATTTGTAAAGGAAAGAGATTTAACTGACTCACAGTTCCGCAGGGATTGGGAGCCCTCAGGAAACTTACAAACATAGTGGAAGGGAAGCAAACATGTCCTTCTTCGCATGGTGGCAGCAAGTAGAAGTGCTGAGAAAAAGGGGGAAAAGCCCCTTATAAAACCATCAGATCTCATGAGAACTCGCTCACTATCAGGAGAACAGCATGAGGGTGACCATTTCCACGATTAAACTACCTCCCACTGCATCCCTCCCACCACACGTGGGGCTTATGGGAACAACAATTCACAATGAAATTTGGGTGGGGACACAGCCAAACCATAGCAGCACCCTCCAGATTTCTTTCAGAGGAAGCAAATGGTTCTACAGATTTAATATTATTGGGCCAAACATTTACCATCTCAGCCTGAAACACCTGCCTGTAGGTTAATTCCATCCTTCAGGACTTCAGGACTGCCTCAAGGACCGTCTGCATTTCCCTGAATCATGGCTGCGAGGTTCACTGGGCTTCCAGAGTGGTCCCTCAAGCATGCACTGCCTGTCCCATAGACAGTCCTGCTTTTACCCTAGAAGGTAGAGGCTCTTCACAGCCTTCTCAAAGGTGGTTGTTTGGTTCAAAATTTTTTAAGATCCATTCTGCTCAGTAATCTTCATTGTATGACTGTACTTTAAATTACGTATATGTATTCCACACACGTCTATATTACATGTTCATAAAATGCACACACACTACATATATTTGTATATACATACTTATTATTTTATTTATTTATTTATTTATTTATTTTTTGAGATGGAGTCTCACTCTGTCACCCAGCTGGAGTGCAGTGGTGCAATCTCCGTTCACTGCAACCTCCGCCTCCCGGGTTCAAGTTATTCTCCTGCCTCAGCCTCCCGAGTAGCTGGGATTACAGGCACCCACCACCATGCCCGGTAATTTTTTGTACTTTTAGTAGAGATGGGGTTTCACTATGTTGGCCAGGCTAGTCTTGAACTCCTGACCTCGTGATCTGCCCACCTCTGCCTCCCAAAGTGCTGGGATTACAGGCATGAGCCACTGCGCCCTTCCTTATTTATGTTTTTTTTTAAACGGGGTTTCACTCTTGTTGCCCAGGCTGGAGTGCAGTGGCACGATTTTGGCTCACTGCAACCTCTGCCTCCTGCGTTCAAGTGATTCTCCTGCATCAGCCTCCCACGTAGCTGGGATTACAGGTGCTCACCATCACGCCTGGCTAATTTTTAAATTTTTAGTAGGGATGGGGTTTCACTGTGTTGGCCAGGCTGGTCTTGAAATCCTGACCTCAGGTGATCCACCTGCCTCTGCCTCCCAAAGTGCTGAGATTACAGGCGTGAGCCACTGTGCCTGGCCTATATATACTTACTTAATGTGGGCACTTCCTATTAAATTTTTAGAGGCTCAATCTGTTTTCAGAAGGGTTATTAGTCATCGTAGATATTTGTGATATCATTTTTATATCTTTCCCCAAAGATAATAAACAAACAGAAAAGACAAACAGAAATAGCTGAGAGGCCATGAGAGAAGTCTTACATTTATGAAAACTTTTAAAAGAAGTATGAAAAATGAAACAATGTAGGAAGTCTGTCCTGACTTTTTAAGCCAAATTTCTCAAAATATCCTTCTCTTTAAAAGTATGAAAAGTGAACCTGTGTCAAGCAATACTTTGAGTAAACCTGTGAAAACAGGCTTTAGGAGTGTGCAACACCTTAGTGTGCAAGGACTTCAACATTGAGAACATTGAAAATATTTGGGAAGTTTTGCTAATTTGTTGTCAATAGAAGCAGCATGTTCTCAAGTGACCATCAGTTAATGAGGTGATGCTAGGTACCATGCAGGCAAGGTGAACCAACGTGGGCTCTGTTTCTATCCAGTTAATTATTACTTTTTAATGCAATATACTTATTTATTTATTTATTTATTTATTTTTTGAGACAGAGTCTCGCTCTGTCGCCAGACTGGAGCGCAGTGGTGCAATCTCGGCTCACTGCAACCTCCGCCTCCCGGTTCAAGCGATTCCCCTGCCTCAGCCTCCCGAGTAGCTGGGACTACAGTCACACACCACCATGCCTGGCTAATTTTTTTGTATTTCATTAGAGACAGGGTTTCTCCATGTTGACCAGGATGGTCTCGATCTCCCGACCTCATGATCCACCTGCCTTGGCCTCCAAAAGTGCTGAGATTACAGGCATGAGCCACTGCGCCCGGCCAACTTAACGTACTTATAAGAACAAATTGTGAGGAAACGTCTAGAGAAGGTGACCACAAAGTCATTTTGGGACTGTGTATTCTAGATTTCTGGATACTAATATTTTCCTAACCTGTTAAAGCCTGTTTGAAGTTGTGATGCCTGAACTATGATAATCGAAATAAAAAACTTGGTTACACAATATTTAAAATATGCATAAAATTGGCTGGGCATGGTGGCTCCTGCCTGTAATCCCAGCACTTTGGGAGGCCGAGGCGGGAGGATCACTTGAGGCCAGGAGTTCGAGAACAGCCTGGCCAACATGGTGAAATCCCGTCTCTACTAAAACCACAAAAATTAGCTGGGTGTGGTGGCGCGTATATGTAATCCCAGGTACTTGGGAGGCTGGGGCACAAGGATTGCTTGAACCTGGGAGGCAGAGGTTGCAGTGAACCAAGATTATGCCGCTGCAGTCCAGTCTGGGCCACAGAGTGAGACTTTGTCTCAAAAGAAAAAAAAGCATAGAACTATGGAAATGAGTATAAGATTTCATTGTACACAAGATTTAATGTTTTGCAAAATTTGCTCTATTATTATTATTATTTTGAGACAGAGTCTCACTCTGTCACCCAGGCTGGAGTGCAGTGGCACGATCTTGGCTCACTGCAACCTCTGCCTCCCGGGTTCAAGCGATTCTTCTGCCTCAGCCTCTCGAGTACCTGGGATTACAGGCGCATGCCAACATGCCTGGCTAATTTTTGTATTTTTAGTAGAGATGGGGGTTTCACCATATTGGCCAGGCTGGTCTTGAACTCCTGACCTCATGATCCACGCGCTTCTGCCTCCCAAAATCCTGGGGTTACAGGCATGAGCCACCATGCCCGGCCTATGTTATTAAGAAAGAAATAAAATATTATAGGCTGGATGTGGTGGCTCATGCTTGTAGTCCCAGCACTTTGGGAGGCCAAGACGGGGAGATCACTTGAGGTCAGGAGTTTAAGACCAGTCTGGCCAACATGGTGACACCCCGCCTCAATACAGAAATTATCCAGGTGTGATGGCAGGTGCCTGTAATCTCAGCTACTTGGCAGGCTGAGGCAAGAGGATCATGTGAACCCTGGAGTCGGAGGTTGCAGTGAGCTGAGATTGAACCACTGCACTCCAGCCTGGGCAACAGAGTGAGACTCCGTCTAAAAATAAAATAAAAGTATGGAAATGAATATAATTTTTTTGTACACAAGATCGAATAAGTGTTTTGTGGTATTTGCTCTATGTATTATTAATACATAAATAAAATATTATATAGGTGGTCAGAAGCTCCATCTCCCTGGCTACCCCTATTTCCCCGGATCCTTTTCCTGAATTTGGTGTGTTTCTTTCCATGCATCTTGGTATACTTTTACTGTATGTATACATATGCGTAACAGCGTTTCTTAATGCTTCATAGATTTCAATATTTATATAAGTATAAATAACGTTGAGAAAAAAGCAGTTTGCCAAAAAAATTCTCCATATATTCTGGCAGCTAAGCATTTGCTGGTTTTATGCATTATAAATTTCATTTTCAAGCCTGTGTCTTGTCTACTGTCTTTTTTTATGGTAGCTATGTACATATAATTTAAAATCGGGTAAAGTTAAATTGATTGTTCTTTATGGTTATTATTTTGCCCTTGTTTAATAAATCCCCTATCTTTAGATCAATGAAATAGCCCCCTATATTTTCCACTTGAAGTTTTAAAGGTTTTTTTGTTTGTTTGTTTTTTATATATTTTTTATTATACTTTAAGTTGTGGGTTACATGTGCAGAACGTGCAGTTTGGTTACATAGGTATACACATGCCCTGGTGGTTTGCTGCACCCATCAACCCACCACCTACATTAGGTATTTCTCCTAATGCTGTCCCTCCCCTACTCACCCCCGCCCCTGACAGGCCCCAGTGTGTGATGTTCCCCTCCCTGTGTCCATGTGTCCTCATTGTTCAACTCTCACCTATAAGTGAGAACATGTGGTGTTTGGTTTTCTGATCTTGTGATAGTTTGCTGAGAATGATGGTTTCCAGCTTCATCCATGTCCCTGCAAAGGACATGAACTCATCCTTTTTTATGGCTGCATGGTATTCCACGGTGTATATGTGTCACATTTTCTTAATCCAGTCTATCATTGATGGACATTTGGTTTGGTTCCAAGTCTTTGCTATTGTGAATAGTGCCACTTTAAAGGTTTTAATTCGTATTTAGCTCTTTAAGCCATCTAGATTTACTTTTGTATAGTGTGAGGTGTGAGGGATCCAAACCTACTCTTTTTCCTGATAATGGAACTCATTTCAGTTGCCCTAGAATCAATTCTTTTCTCTCTCTTTTCCCCACTGACTCCTAGTAGTCCCCTTGGTCTTACAAATCTTTTGTTGTAAAACTATCTATGAATGTGGCTTTGTAATGATGAGGCTTTTTAACTTTTACTCTTGACAGAGCTGAGGAAACTTTTTAAAATCATATTCATTAATTTCGATATTTTGTTTTAAAATTAAAAATTAGATACAAATGAATGTTCATATTAGAAAAAAATGCTCACTTAGTGAAAATAATTTAATCCTTGATGCAAAAATACTTATAATATTTATTTCTCCTTTCCAGTTAGAGGCTATATTTATTCATCAATTTATTCCATATTTATTGCTACCTACTATGTATGAATAGCTGCTCTAGGACATAAAGATCATTCAATGACAAATACGGTGTGTCAATGATACTGCAATCCATATTCAACTATGATTAGTCCCATTTTATTAGATGGCTAAAACTGTATGGCTTAACTTGATACTGTGGAGTCAGATTGGTGATCAAGTAAGATGCATATCTTATCAATGATCAATAAACCCAACAGAGAATTTGTACCCATGCTGCATGCCTACTCCAAGGGGACCGAGACTAGGGCAGGTGATAACTGGGTGGGGCCTTTGAGGATTTCCAGCATTTGTGACTCCAAAGTAGCCAGGAGGAGGAGGACTTGGGTAATGCAGGTAAGCTGCTCCCTGGTAGAAGACTGGGGTTCCAAAGCAGAAACTGAATTCTAAGACGCCAGCACAGGGATGGGATTGAGAGACAAAGCAGCCCCCAGAGGGCAAGGGCGGGAGCAAAGCGAAAGGATCTGAGGTGGTTGCTCAAGTGCCTGGTGCTGATTTTGCTTGGCCTTAGGTGTTTCTTATGAGGCTTGGGAGGACCAGCCTGCCCTAAAGTCCTGAGGTCTCAGTGGATGGTGGCCATGTGCTTTATTCCCTTGCCTCACTGCATTTTGTTTTGTCAGACTTGAGTGCTGCCTACACTAAATTCATAGTCTTGTAGAAAGGCTGTTGGTAAAGCTTTCAACACACTGCCTTTAAAGAGGAGACACTTGACAATTTCCTTTTGCCTCATTTTCTTTTAGGTTTTGTGAATGATTCTGTGACTAAGTCTATTGTGGCTTTGCGCTTAACTCTGGTGGTGAAGGTCAGCACCTGTGTGCCGGGGGAGAGTCACGCAAATGACTTGGAGTGTTCAGGAAAAGGAAAATGCACCACGAAGCCGTCAGAGGTAAGGGGATGCCTGGTAGCTTGTAAATACACATATTTACATGAATATTTACCTGAATAAATACATAAGTATGTGTGTGTTCTTACCCCTTTCATCCTTGCTCTATCTATCTATCTGTCTGTCTGTCTGTCTGTCTGTCTGTCTATCTATCTATCTATCTGTCTATCTGTCTGTCTCAAGCCAAGTTGATATATACATTCTTTTTGTTTTTGAGATGGGGTCTCGCTCTGTTGCCCAGGCTGGAGTGCAGTGGTGTGATCTCGGCTTACCGCAACCTCTGGCTCCTGGGTTCAAGTGATTCTCCTGTTTCAGCCTCCTGAGTAGCTGGGACCACAGGCACACACCACCATGCCCTGCTAATTTTTGTATTTTTAGTAGAGATGGGGTTTTGCCATGTTGGCCAGGCTGGTCTGGAACTCCTGGCCTCCAGCCATCCCCCCGCCTTGGCCTCCCACAGTGCTGAGATTACAGGCATGAGCCACTGTGCCCAGCCTGATAGATAAAATTTAACTATTAGAAGATTCTCTCTATTTTCTAATTCCTTGTTGCCCCGTTTCAGCCCAATTAAATTCCTTGCTCATAAACTTAACGGAGTAGTTTTAAAACTGAATGGTGGTTGGACATAGGACATGAGTATTTAGAGACATCAGGACTGAAGATTTCAGTTTGGGACTCATCTGAATATGAATGGAATTAAAACCACTGGGATGGGGAAAGTGCACTGTATACATTAGCAAGAGTGGAAGGGAAGAAAACAGGTGCATTTGCTAAAGAGGTCCTCAGAATGTACAGCTTCAATTATATGCCAGTATGCAACATATAGATATTTAAATCTCCATATGATTTTCAAAGTAATTGTAATGCATTTGTGTAGTGATAGATCCTCTTGCTTTGGTATAAAGTAGAGATTTTGTGAGAAGTAGTGGTCATTATATCCAGTAGTACAATCAAGAGAAATGGAAGAAACAAAAGGTAAACACAGTCATTCACTTACCCGTTTTGGGGACTGTTGTGTGCCAATGTGGTAATTTCCTCCTTAGTCTTCGCATTTCCCTGGCTATGATAATAGAGTTACAGACGTCAGAGAAAAGTAAGAGAAGAAACCGAGAAGAGGCATGGATGAGATGACACATTAACTTTGCTCTTTGTGGAGCCGGCATCAGAAACACTATGGGAACCCTGAGCCCTGTTCCACTTTTTCTTCAGCAGATGTGGCCAGGGCATGGGGGCAAGGCCCGAGTACAGCTTCCTCCTCTGCCTCCTGTTTTCTGTTTCCAGGCAGCAGTTTGGGAGTCAGATGAACAAAGGACCACAGCAGTCACTGAGGTCAAAGTTCATCAGTATAGAACTCTCTTAAAATATATATATTTTTTGAGATGGAGTCTTGCTGTGTCACCCAGGCTGGAGTGCAGTGGCGCGATCTCGGCTCACTGCAACCTCACCTTCTGGGTTCAAGCGTTTCTCCTGCCTCAGCCTCCCAAGTAGCTGGGATTACAGGCATGTGCCGCTGTGTCCAGCTAATTTTTGTATTTTTAGTAGAGACGGGGTTTCACCATGTTGGCCAGGCTGGTCTCAAACTCCTGACCTCAAGTGATCTCCCTGCCTCAGCCTCCCAAAGTGTTGGGATTACAGGTGTGAGCCACTGCACCTGGCCTAGAGCTTCCTTAAAATATTTTGCAGGTGGATCCAGGGTCCACCTGAAGATCTCTAACAAGGAAGACTTCATACCTTACAAGGGGGGCCTGTTCCATTAGGGGACATCTATTCCCCTCACCACTCACTACATCCATCTCCAGCACCTTTTCTTTATTTTTGTCTCTAGTTATACACATATTTCTATTGGAGTTAATGTTCAGTGACAGTGGATTCCCAAACCCCAAAAGAGCATGGTTTGTTTGAGATTTTGAGGGTAGCACAGGTAGGTTTTCTTTGGTGATGCCTTCTTGTGAGAACGTCAGCACATTGGGTACTAGTGGACTTTGATAAGTGTGAGGAGGGGGACTAACAGAAGGAATATTGGCAGAAGCTTTCAAGTACTGTTCTTGTCATCTTAGAAAACCTGTGACTTTCCTGTTAGCTGTAATATTGCAGCTGCTTAAATATAGCATTTTCCGGCCAGGTGCAGTGGCTCACGCCTGTAATCCCAGCACTTTGGGAGGCTGAAGCTGGCGGATCACCTGAGGTCAGTAGTTCGAGACCAGCCTGGCCAACATGGTGAAACCCTGTCTCTACTAAAAATACAAAAAATTAGCCAGGCGTGGTGGTGGGCACCTGTAATCCCAGCTACTCGGGAGGCTGAGGCAGGAGAAATGCTTGAATCCAGAAGGCGGAGGTTGCAGTGAGCCAAGATTGTGCCATTGGCCTCCAGCCTGGGCAACAAGAGCTGAACTCTATCTCAAAAAATAAATAAATAAAATATATAAATATATTTAATAAAAATTAATAAATAGATATATAACATTTTTCTGTAGGATATTCCTTGGAGGAGGCAGAATGTGGTCAGGAACCCGAAAGCATAGTGAAAGTAATCATTTCTGCTAAATCTTTGAAAAAGAACACAAATGGAAACTGAAGCCCAAACTCTCCCTGCTTCTGGGAGTGAGGTGAGCCACTAGAGTGAGGCCAGGAGGTGCAGAGCCAGGAGGCTCCTTCCAGGAGGCCAAGCCTGCCCTTTACATCCTGTGCCCTCCTGTCTATGCCACTTTGGACCAGTCTGCTCTTCTTCCCGAGGAGAAACCTCATGTATCAACATACTTTATGGGAAAAAAATGTGAAGGACACTCAGTGTTCTTCTATGAGAGTCATGGCTAGGGAGGGGTAAAATAACTGGAGAAAAGAAGAGGAGGCTAAGGAGAACATATTTTTTTTCTTTTTTAATTTTAATTCAATTTTTAGAATTAAGTATAGGAAAATGTGAGGTTTGAGGGTAAGGGCAAGTGGGGTGGCGTGTGTGTATAGTTGTGAATTTTCTGATTAGAGATGATGGTCGATGCTGCTATGGAGATGAGACTAATAGGAGGAATTTTATAGAGAAGCAAAAGGGGCAAGAATTGGAAAGATGCATAGTTAGGTAACGGAAGAAAGAGCAGGCATCAATACTCAGTTTTGTCATAGTTAACTCTTCAGTCAGCTCACATTTCAATATAATTTCTTTTTCATATGCAGGACTTGTCTATGGGAGAACGTATTTGATAAGGAGGTGCCAGAAGAGAGGAAGGGTGAGAGACTAAGAAAAGCCACTGGCAGGGGGTGGAGGAGGGGCAGGCCTTCCTGCCTTCTGAGTGAGCCTTCGGGGAGGAGGAGGAGACACACAGATCTTCCCCCAGGCCTTCTCAGGCTTCCCAGTGAATAATTTTGAGGTCTGATTAGCTCTGAAAAAGTTAATATTGGCACGAGAGAAATGTCCTGTAAGAGGAACCAGAATTTTTGATTGATAAAGTGGTGAGATTCATTGTGAGCTTTCTTTTATTACGGGTGGCCCTTCTGGAGAAACGTTGATTCCGTAAGGCGGTCGTCATGTTACTTTAATGTATGTGTGTTGTGGGCTTCTCTGCAGGTAAGCTCTAGCTAGAAGGCTCTGCCTGGAAGCTTCAAATGGACTCATTGAAAAGGCAATAGAGGTAGGTGTTTAGCACCGGGCAGGTAACTTGGCCAGCCTTGTCAAATGTGAAAAAAAGCGAATCAAAAGCCGTGGTGAAGAATCCAAATCAGTTTTAGCAGATCCTTTCAGAGGCAGCGCATCTCCATCAGGGGTAGCAGCTTCTTCTTGTTCTTCTTCTTCTTTTTTTTTTAATACTTTAAGTTTTAGGGTACATGTGCACAACGTGCAGGTTTTTGAAGAGCTTCTGGTGCCTCTGAGCTAACACCTCCTCCTTCCGTGTTGCCTCCCAGTTCCACCTCAGGTGTTTCTAGTAGAGCCTCGGCTGTCATTGATTCTGTATTGCCCTTCAGTGAATTTAAGGAAACTGTGGCAATAATCTTATCTGAGCCATTATTATTACCCCTCAGTGACTCTAAGCAAATGATTAGGCTGGAATGACCACGTCCATTTCATTCTAAGACGCACCACCTTGGCGCACACTGTTAAGTTGGAGAGAAATGTCTGGGGGGACTTGAACTCCCTAAGGCAGGAACAGAGGGAATGGAAAATCTTTTTTTTTTTTTTTTTTTTGCCTACTTGGGTTCCTGTGACTTTTTATGATTGTTGCAATGGCTGTTTCAGTGTCTTAGAAGTAGCTTTCTAGCAATGAAAGACTGTTGTCATCACGTTTTTTTCTTTTTACTGTTTCCTAAAATTAGAAGTTATATAGTCCAACCTTCCACCCAATGTAAGAATCCACTCCATAGCACAAAACAAATAGAACTGTATTTTGTGATTTAATTTTATTGTTTCTCATCATTTTTATGTCTTTTTATTAGATCATCCATCAAAATAAAAGCAATTCTGTTATTTCCACCCCGCTTTCATTTGGTAATGGAACTCATTTCTTTTCTGTCAGAGGCACTTGGGCGAGGGCGTATTTCACAATCCCGAGCTGATGGGTGGTTTGTGATAAAGCTCAAGCTTGCTGTTCTTGATATTGCAGTATTTGGGGGAAGGTCTTTATAAATGTTTACTTCAACATCGCAAGGAGCTCTCTGTTCTTGAAAACTGCTTTCGTGTTACCAAGGGTTGATTCTGATCTTTCCTTCTGCTTAAAAAAAGCTTTAGATCTCTCTCTGAACTTGTTCATCAAGGTTGTTAGGCTACCAGCTGCGGCCTATTGGTGATTGACTCCTTAATTACCTCACAGGTGAGTGTCAGGGCATCAGCACGGGGCTCTTGGTTGGTTTAGGCCTTAATTCTTCTTTAGATCCAAATTAGATTCCATGGACTATGTCTCTCTAGGTCAAGAAATTTGTATTTGGAGGAACAGGAACATTGGATGGCGATTATATATATTATATATTAATTATATAATATAGATTGTATATAATTAATATATAAATATAAATATAAAGTATATATAAATATAAATATAATTTATAAATATAAATATAAATATAATTTATATATACATATAAATAAATATAAATATAAATTATATATAATCACATATATATATATGATTTGTTTTAAGGAACTGGCTCATGCAATTGTGGAGTCTTGGCAAGTGCAATATCTAATGGGGGAGGCCTATAGACTGGAGACTCAGGAAAGAGTTGCAGTTTGAGTCCAAAAGCTGTCTGCATGCAGAATCCCATCTTGCATAGTGGAGGTCAGGCTTTTGTTCTCTTTGGGTCTTTAACTGATTGGATGAGGCCACTCACATTATGAAGGGCAATCTGCTTATCTGCTTTTCTTAGCCCATTTATGCTGGAGGATACAATTTTTTTGAATTTTTGTATGAGTGAATAATCAGACCTTGGCAATGACCTTGAGCAGTAGGATATAAATAACTCCCACAGGCTTAGCGTTCCAATAATGGAACACTAGATATATTAAACTTACTGATTTCAGTGTAAACCTCATCCAAAAACACCTTCACAGAAACATCCAGAATGATGTTTGACCAAATATCTGGGCACTGTGGCACAGCCAAGTTGATACATAAAATTAACCACCACAAGATTCTCTTCTTCTTCTAATTCCCTATTGCCCCCTTTCTACCCAGTTGAATCCCTTTCCCCCAACGTTAGGTTTTCCCCTGGCAAAAAGTCATATTCCAGGTCCTTTGCTCAGCTGTGGATGCCTTTTATTGGGCAGCAGGGTGATTCTGATGCCAGAGCAGATTGTGGACAACAATTCTGAAAACAGAGGCCTCAGAAAAATGCTTCTCATCTCCCCCTTCCTGCTGACTCCCTAAAGGATAGGCACAACATCTTTTCATCCAAGGATTATGTTGTTAATCATTTCAAGTCCACATGGAGTTAGTAATAAAGATAAATGCTAGGCAGTGATATAATGGTTCAATAACAATCCCATAGTTTTCCTGTTGATTGGCTCTGGCCTATGTTGATAGGTAAATGGGATCAGGCCTCCACTCTGAGAAGACTCCCTAGAAACCTCACTGTCTCTTGCCTTAGGAACCCACCATCCTTAATCTATTAGGATCGGATACCAGAGCTGACTACTGAGACGTTGTTTTGAGAGACAATTGAGCTGGCATCATTTTCAAACCTTCTAGAGCCCAGGGGTGGGCCTATCTCTGAGAGAAGCTCTTGCATTTCTGGCCCCTGACGAGTCCTGACTTCTGTGACATCTCTTCCTACCTTTGGAATTTGAAGGCTCAAGCTCTGGGAAGTCCTACTCTTCCTACCTACAACTGAGTTCTTTCAGTTGGGTTTGGTTTATTGGAAATGATCAATGACTCGAACCAGTTACTTTGTCCATTGCTTGATAATACCCACTGTCCTTGTTCTATAGCCCATGTGGCCAAGTTGGGAGACACTGTCCTTTCAGGTCCATGTCTGCCTCATATCTATTTTCTCCTGTTCCGAAACCATGTGCCTCCTTTTTAGGGCTCCCTGTAAATTATCATTTCTTGGGCTTGTCTATTTCCAGGTTCACTCACTGAGTGACACACACACCATAGCTGATGTATGAGCAGCTACTTCAGTGTCTGACCCCAGCCCCTCTCACAACCCCTGCACCCCCAGTTCCACCCTCAAATCTCTGTGGTTTTGCTCATGCTGTTCCCCATCTGGAATGCTTATTGCCTCACTGGCCCTGCTCCCCCTGAGTCTCTACCACTTACCCTTCCACCTCCCCAACTATTTTTCAGGCTCAGCTCAAAATCTTCCTGCTTCTAGAAGCTGTCCCTAATCTCCAATGGGAAGTAGGTCCCTCCTCTGAAGTACTGTAGAATTTTCCTTCTGTTGTGGGAACACATGACTTTTGATTTATGCTTATATGTCTTTATATTCATTATTTTTTGCATTCCCTTCATTGCAACGTTATTGAGCACCTGCTGTGTGTCTGGTACCCTCTAGGCTCTGGAGGATACATACTGGTCTAGCAAGACATAGCCTCTGAGAAGCAGTTACAAGGCCGCAGGGACAGGGTGCTGGATGAGTAACTCATAGATTAGAGAGCAGTGTGTTGTGTGCTGTGGGAGAGGTTTGCAAGTACATTTCTGAGAGCCCAGAGAAATGTCTGACTCAGATGTGAGATCATGGAGAACCTCCTTTGGAATCTCGGAAGGTGAGCTCTTCGACATTAGTGACTGTGCCTGGTTCATTCAGTAACTGTCGTAACAACTAGCATGGTGCTTTCCAAATGGGATGCTCAGGAACTGTCTATCAACGGGACGAGAAAAACAAATAAAAGAACGGAAATAAGATAGGAATCCAGTTGTCTGAGTTTTGAGTTAGATCTGTACTTTAAGTTCGATACTTGCTAAATATGGGAGCATGGAAAGTAAACGGTGAATTTAGTTTTACAAAATAGTGAGAAAATATTCTCTGATCTAAGGCCATCTCACAGATTGTGTGACCCAGAAAGTTGTAGTAACCCTTTGGGAATATTTTAAGCAGCATTGCCAGTTCTTCCTTATCATTTCAAAAAGAAGTAGGTCAGGAAAATTTGAACCCATGGATCTTTGATGCTCTCCTCTGTTGGTTTGAAAGCATCAGTGAACTCCCCTTCAGATTCGGAAGTGGGAATGTACAGAAGTGCAAGAGAAGATGTCATCTTCACTCACCCATCACTTCCCTGAGAACTCATTCCTCTACATCATTAATGCAACACAAAGGTCCTCATGAGACATTGAAAAGGCACTGTGACCTGGTTGGCTTATAAGAAAGGAATAGGATGGGAGAGGAGTCGAGGGAGCCCACAAAGAATCAAAGGAAAGACCTTTCCTGCATCCTTTTCAGCACCAAAACTGCAGCTTTCAAGGAGGACATCAGAACATACAGTTACTTTGTAATCGTTCTGTTCAGTGTGTGGTGAGCTTAGGTGCCCAGAGCTCTGCCAGCACTCTGGAGGAATTTCTCCTTTCACTAGGGAAGAAAGCAGTGAGAGGGGGTGCAGAGTGGGATAGTGGATGGGAAATACTTGATAAACCAGTGGCAAGTGTTATTACAGATAAAAGAGGCTAATTTATTATAAGAAATTATTTTTCTTGGGCCGGGCACGGGGGCTCACGCCTGTAATCCCAGCACTTTTGGAGGCTGAGGCGGGTGGATCACCTGAGGTGGGGAGTTTGAGACCAGCCTGACCAACATGGAGAAACCCCATCTCTACTAAAAATACAAAATTACCACAAAAAATGATACCTATGTGACATAATGCTTATGTTAGTCTGATTTATTCATTCCACAGTATATACTTAAAATTTGTTCTTAGCAATTTTCAAGTATACATCATCATTAACTACAGTCACCAGGTGGTACATTAAATCTCTTGAACTTAAAAAAAAACAAAAAACAAAATTAGCCGGGCAGGGTGATGCATGCCTATAATCCCAGCTACTCAGGAGGCTGAGGCAGGATAATTGCTTGAACCTAGGAGGCGGAGGGTTTGGTGAGCCGAGATTGCACCATTGCACTCCAGCCTGGGCAACAAGAACAAAACTCTGTGTCAAAAAATATATATACATTTTTCTAAGAGATGAGGGAAACCCTTTCTTTTGACTAAATAGCTTTATGACAGTGTTCGTTAAACATTTTTGAGTCAGAGAGTGATGCTCCAGACTTAATGCTAACGTGAAGATGTCTGAGATATGTTTATTTGCTAATAGCAGGGTGATCTCTTCCACAGATTTTACTTGCAGAAACTGCTTTGTGGACCTCTGAGAGAGAAAGTGCTTTTATGAGTAATAAAAGTACAATAATAATTATTAGAAACACATTAACCATAGAGATCATAAAAGTAAGTGCAGCCCAGCTGTTGCTTTTTTTTAACGAGTAAAGAATAAGCCTGTCTAGATTTTCATTGGCTTGTGTTTGAATTATAATTCTTGGTACTAATGTAATTAAAAAGACATTGCTGCATTTTACGTTACAGAACAGAAGGATGATTGTATCATCGCCTGCACAGAAAATGCAATCACATATTTGAATCATTTATTATAAATTAAAAAATAATTCTGCTAGATGACGAGTTAGTGGGTGCAGCCCACCAGCCTGTCACATGTATACATATGTAACTAACCTGCACATTGTGCACATGTACCCTAAAACTTAAAGTATAATAATAATAATAATAAAAAAGAAAAAAAGAAAAATAAAATGACCTCCCAAAGGATAGACATCTTGTCATGTTTCTATTTCAGAAGGTTGAAATGTATGTCCCATGCGGACAGTTATAGAAGCATTGGGGAATGTTGGTGGCATGTTAAATATATTAGGGCAAGGATTGTATCATGGGTGACATTTTCAGGGTCAGAGAATTTAGAGTAGAAGGGGATTTTAGAGGTCTCTCCACCTATTTTATTTTAAACACCAGGAAATCAAGGTCTAAGAGATATTTAAGCCGTTTATCCAAGGCCCAAGAGCTAATATATAGTAAAGGTAGGACAAGAATGAAGTGAGATTTCTGGACTTTTCTCTGGGGTTCCTACTGCTGAGCAACACTGCCTCTAATGCCTTCCACCCCCAGCAGTGTCCTCTAGGAGGATATTCAGGATTATAGCAGCCTTTGTAGCCCATTCAGTGTCCTTATGCAAAGTTTTAATGTTCACTACGAGAAAAAACAGGCAGCAGGTAGAAATACATTTTTGGGTTTTTTTTGGCGGGGTCGGGGGTTGACCTTATGGCATTTTGGTGCAGCATTCTCAAACCTTAATGTGCACGTGAATCATATGAGGATCTTGTTAAATGCAGAATGTGGCCAGAGGGTCTGGGATGGCCCCGAGATGCTACGCAAGCAATGCCTACGCTGCCAGCCTGGGGACCACGGACCTTACACCAACGCACTAAAGGCAGGGGTCTCATGACCTTTCAGAGAGACTTAGAAGATTCAGCCCCTCTCTTCCATGGTCTTATTTGGCATGTGTTGTATTGGGGCACAAAACTCCCTGGGTTTCTCTGTCTCCAGAGCAAAGTTTGAGAAAATGAGGGTACAGGTGAAATCAGTAATTTGGGGAAAGAGAATTCCCATGGGTGTGGCCTGCAGCCTTCATACGCCTCCAGGAACTGTGTGTGGCCCGATTTCACACTTCATTTGCTACAGATTTTAAGTCTTTACAAAGAGGAGAGATACTCATGTCATAACTGTATGGGAGACATAACTATTGTTCTTAGATTTTAATCCATAATGTTTAACATATAGAAATAGGCCTCTGGCTGGATTTTTATGCCCAAGAGCAGAAAATGATCGCTTTGGAGCTTGGTGGGTCAGCTTTCCTTGTTCTTCCTCCCCCTGGAATGCTTATACCTTTGTCCTATTTTTCAGTTCATAAGTCAGTGTGTATGTGAGAGCCACTGGAAATAAATGGCTGTGCCTGGGGTGGGCACCCATATGGGGCTGCTGCTTCATTGCCCCTCTTTAGGGACCTGAAAACCATCTGCTTGCTCCCAAAGAGGGATCTCTTCCACTTATCACCTTGGAGGATTCATTCATTTTCATTCTCTCATCCAGTGTTTCGTGAGCATCTCTTCTCTGTGAGGCACAAACTAAGCCCCAACCAAACCAGGGTGAGGACACGGATGCGTCCCTGCTGCCCTGATGTTTCATGTCAGAAAACTGTCATTGGAAGCCACTGACCTCCCTGCTTATCTGAGGCCTAAATCTCCTGTAAACCATTTCCAACCTCCTCAGCCTTCCTCAGCCTCTAACTATGTAACTAGCCAATGACCATCAGATGCAAGTTGGTACTTCTTTCAGATTTTGAGGGAAAAACTTTTAGCATTTCCCCACCATGGTGTTCGGTCCTCTGCACCCACTCCAAATATGACTTTAAATTATAAGGAGACTCATCTGTTTCCCTGAAGTCTGATGAGATTAGACCTTTAGTTTGTCTCATGGTAATTGCTCCATTCCTTCTTTGAACTCATCTTAGATTTTAAAAATCAGTCTGGGCCAGGCGTGGTGGCTCACGCCTGTAATCCCAGCACTTTGGGAGGCTGAGGCGGATGGATCACCTGAGGTCAGGAGTTTGAGAACAGCCTGGCCAACATGGTGAAACCCCGTCTCAACTAAAAATACAACAATTAGCTGGATATGGTGGTGCACACCTGTAATCCCAGCTACTAGGGAGGCTGAGGCAGGAGAGTCGCTGGAACCCGGGAGGCGAAGTTTACAGTGAGCCGAGATCATGCCACTGTACTCCAGCCTTGGCAACAGAGTGAGACTCTGTCTCAGAAAAAAAAAAATCAGTCTGGCTTTACAACATCTCCTTCCAAGCTGTGGGGTGTCAAGTGGCTTCTGAGTGACCAGTTACATGTGTCCAAGGTTGCTGCTATTAGAGGATAGTATAGTAGCACTTTTTCGAAGCACCAGTGGACTCTGGGCATTGGCAACTAATGAGTCTTAATGGCAGGCAGGGTTGGATTTGGAGGCTTTCTCCAAGGTATTAGTTGAGATCTACTGGCCCTCTGGACAAACATTACCGCCCTCACTGGACTTCCATAGTGCTTTTGTTTTCAGAACTTGACCCATTTTCTGCCTATTGAGTTATAGACTCGAAGATTTGTCTACTGGGTACTGTTAGTCGTTTTATTTACAAAACTGTTTGGCTTCACCTAGCCTTGTGGTTTTCAGACATTTTGGTCTCAAGATCCCTTACATTCTTAGAAATGATTGAGGACCCCAAAGAGCTTTTGTCGATTGGGTTATATCTATTGATATTTAATGCATTAAATTAAAACTGAGGAATTAAAAAATACAGCCAGGCGTGGTGGCTCATGCCTGTAATCTCAGCACTTTGGGAGGCCGACGCAGGCCGATCACCTGAGGTCAGGAGTTCAAGACTGGCCTGGCCAACATGGTGAAACCCCGTCTCTACTAAAAATACAGAAATTAGCTGGGCATGGTGGTGGGTGCCTATAATCCCAGCTACTTGGGAGGCTGAGTCAGGAGAATTGCTTGAACACAGGTGGCAGAGGTTGCAGTGAGTTGAGATCGTGCCAGGGTACTCCAGCCTGGGCAACAGAGTAAGACTCCATCTCAAAATAAAAAAAAAGAATTAAAAAATATAAATTCATCTTATTAGTAAACCCAATAAACTCATCACCTGTTAACATAATAATACCTTTTAAATGAACAATAATTATAGTTCTAAAACAAAACAATATAGAAGACTGGCATTGTTTTCAGTTTTACAAATTTCTTTAATGTCTGTTTTAAAAGAAGACAGCTGGATTTTTACATTTGCTTTTGTATTCAATCTGTTGCAGTATGTTGTTTTGGTTGAAGTCTAAGAAGAAAATACAGCCTCAATAGATACTTAGTTGGAAATGGGATACATGTTTTAATAGCCTTTCAGATATTTGTGTATATTCTAGAAAATACTCCAAAATTTGACATGTGAAAGATTCTTAAAGGTTAATTCAATGTGGACTCTGAAGCCATGTCAAACGCTTTCAGTCTGTTTCATTACAATCTATTGGTCTGTTTCATTACAATCTATTGGTCTGTTACATTACAATCTATTGGTCTGTTACCATTACAATCTATTGGTCTGTTACATTACAATCTATTGGTCTGTTACCATTACAATCTATTGGTCTATTTTATTACAATCTATTGGCCTGTTTCATTACAATCTATTGGTCTCTATATCATCACAATCTATTGGTCTGTTACATTACAATCTATTGGTCTGTTACGTTACAATCTATTGGTCTGTTTCATTACAATCTATTGGTCTGTTTCATTACAATCTCTTGGCCTGTTTCATTACAATCTATTGGTCTGTTCCATTACCATCTATTACGATCTATAATGTCTGTCTTGTGTTTTGGATCTTTTGCCCATGAATGGGTTTGGTAACATCACACATCAGTCCTTTGGAAAACATTGGATCACTGAGTTATACAGAGCTTCCAAATGTTGATGCATTTCATTTTACAATATCAAAAAAGTCACTTCTGGTCATCAGAAAAGTCTTTAAGTATTGGGAATCTGTCAAGCTTGTATAAAAGTTTTCCAAAATTCTAATTTGCTCTTGAAAGCTCAGATTTTATCTCCGATAACAAAAACTCTTGCTTATTTTGCTTGAAGTGACAGGCTCACTTTGTTCATTTGAGAGAAAATATCTGCCAAATAGCCATGTCTGAATAACCACAGTTTGTCTTTTGGTCATTTTTTTTGAGGAGAAAGGGTGTTCCATGAAAAATGGACGACCTCAGGTCACGGTGAACGATGGCCCAAGTGCACTTCCTTGAGGGAGCCGTAGTGCTTCCCGTGTGGAGCAGAAGGGCCTGGTACGCACATTCCATTGTCAGACAATGTTGGAAAGATGTGCACTCCAGGGTTGAGGGTTCATTCATCAAATTTTAATTTTTACTGCCGCATCAAGGACATTCGAGGTGAAATTGACATTTTTTTCCCCTCTGCAAATGTCTGATGATGGTGATGATCCCCAGTCTACCGCTTCAAAGCCGCGGCTTTGCCTCTTACGGAGGTATCAGCAGTTTCTCTTACTATTGTTTTTACATCTTTGGTGTCCATGTCAACAGAGTGGAAAAGGCACATCATGTCTTAATATTATTATAAAATCATTTTGACCTCATGGACCTCCTGAAAGGATCTCAGGGAGTCCCCGGAGGTCTGGAAATCACATTTTGAGATCCTCTGTTCTGGTTCAGGCCATGCCTCTAACCCTTTTCTTCTAGATTTCTGTTTTTACTTTGTTTACCTTTAACTTATTATTCTGAGAACCCTTAATTTAGTTTTGAATAATTCAGCCTTTTCTCGCTTTGATCTTGAAAACCCACATTGTAGTCTCTCATCTGTGGTGATTCTTTGAATGGCTTCCTTGTAACAGCTCTGGGTCAATCTACTAAAAGCAGATTTGACAAACTCCCCATCTTTGTCTGCTCCTCGATCCCCTCAACCCCTTCTCTTCCATTTCCACCCACACCCCCATGCCCAGCCCAGGATCAGCAACTGTCTCCCTTATTATTCCCAAGGCACTTTCTCTCCTTTTCCTTCTCTGCCAGCAGCCCACAGGGGGCCAGGTTAGAAGTGAACTGAACATTCCCCCAAGTTCTGTTGAAAAATAAAATGAAAGCCAGCCAATTAAAATTATAGAAATCTTCTAAAGTGGTTAAAACCAACTTTTTTGATAAACATTGTTGAAAGCTTTCAAGACAGTAAAAAGAAACAAGGAAATTGAGCAGTTGCTTTCCAGGAAATTGGTCGGCTTCCCTGGGCTTCATTTCTTGGGTTCCACCCAGGGCCTGGGACCTTCTCCTTGTGGGAAGGCCTGATAATTTGCCCCTGGATCTTTATGTTGAGAAGACAGTGATGATGGTGGGGAGGAAGCCAGATTATAGGAACCAAGGAGGAGCTTTGGCAATCTGTGTGGCTTGCCTTTTTGATAAGTTTGGCATTGAAAAGAAGGACAGAGTGAGATGGTACCTGAGTGGGAAATTCGGTCAAAAGAAAGGCTTTTGCTTCTAGAGCAGAGGATACATCACATTGAAATAGGCCGAGGGAAGGAAACTGGCACCTGGGGAGGTGGGAGCTATCAGAATGGTTAGGTGGGGTGTAATTAACAGATGAAGGTCTTGGAGGGGATGGAATTGACAGAGGTAAGGAAAGCTGCAGAGAAGGGGAGGAAACCTTCCTTTTCTGAGCGAGTGATGTCAGGCAAAAGACTTGACAGAGGTACTCTACATTTTAAAAATGGAGGTGAAATTCAAATGACATAAAATTAACCATTTTAAGGTGAACTATTCAATGGCATTAAGTACATTCAGCTTCATGCAGCCACCACCTCTGTCTAGTTCCAAAACATTCTCATCACCCCCAAAATAAAGCCTCATATTCATTAAGCAGTTACTCCCCATTTGTCCCTTCCCCCAACCCCTGTCAACCACCAATCTGCATTCTGTCTCTGTGGATTTACTGCTCTGGACATTTCATATAAATGGAATCATATTGAATGGACCTTTTGTGTCTGCTTCTTTCACTCAGCATAATGTTTTCTGGCTCATCCATATTGTAGCATGTATGAGTACTTCCCTACTTTATATGGCTGAGTAATGTTCCATTGTATGGATATACCACAAGGTCCATTTATCACCGATAGACATTTGGGTTGTTTCTACCTTTGGCTATTGTGGTTAATGCTGCTATGAACATGTCTGTACAAGTATTTGTTTAAGTCCTTGTTTTCAGTTCTTTTGGGTGAATACCTAAGGAGTAGAATTGCTGGTTCACGTGCTAATTCTATGTTTTACTTTTTGAGGAGTTACCAAAGTGTTTTTCACAGTGGCTGAAGCATTTTGCATTCCCACCAGCAATGTGCGAGTGTTCTAATGTCTCCACATACAAACACTTGTTATTTTCCATTTTTTTTTATTCTTGCCATCCCTCTGAGTGTGAATTGGTATCTTGTGCTTTTGGTTGCATTTTTCTAATGATCAATGATGCTATGTTAATCAGAGTTTTATGAAAAAAATATTATAGGTGCTTTATGTCTTTGGAAAAAAATGAGTTTCCCCAACAAAACTGAATTCCAACCATATGCTGTTTGTGCATGAAGCAGATCTGGGTTACAGGGCAAGAAACAATGGTGCACGTCACTTCGTTGAGTTGATTGAGAGCAGCACTCCTGGAAATACTGGGTTGCTTTGCTTTGGATGGAGGTGGCTGATTGAGTTTGCCTGTGCTGCCTTGAGTACTGGCCTAGGCTAGGGCAGAGCTGACATATCTGCTCATTCTCAGGTTATGCTTTGTCTGAGAGTCTTTTAGAAGTTTGGATTGTTTCTAGGGAATGTAAAATAAGGCAAATTCAGAGAAGATGGTACCCTAATATTGCCTTGACCCAAAAGGAAGCCACCACCACTGTGGGAAAAGGGCAGGTCACACCTCACCCCCAGCATCTGTCAGGCTGTCATGAATGCTCGTATGGGTTTCTTCCTTTAGATTGCTTTTTCCTTGTACTGCAAGAATAATCCCAAGAAACTTGGCCTACACCCACATATCTGTTACTGATCGGTAACAGGGGAATCATTCCATACTCAATTTTCTTTCACATAATGAGCATTTGAAGGCTAAGATCAGCATTTAATTGTGCCACAGGCATTAGTTCTTTCCAAGTTCACGGCAGAGGAGAGTTTCTAGTTTAATGATATTTCTGTGGTTAAATAGGATATTTCCAAGTCAATAAGGGATAGAGAAACTGACTCCAGAAGGGAATGAGAAAGCTCCCCCTGGAATTCGGCAGCTGCTTAGTAATGGACAAACCCAGCAAGGTTGCTACAGGCCCTCTCGGGCCATTGCCGTGAATACAGTCATCTCTCTTCTGTGTGACTGTAGTTCGTTTCCATGCAATTTCTGGGCAGAAAATTTGAGCTGTGGCTCAGTCCTCAGACAGAAGTGGTTATGTGATATGTGCAATGGGATATCGTTTAGGGCTCAAATGGAGAGAGAAGGGCACAGGAGACTCTAGCATAACAGTCTTCCTGGGAATCTGAAGAGGCCCTGGCAAATGTGGAATGTCCCAGAGTTGCCCAGAGTTCAAAGGTCATTAATTATGTAGGACATCAGTGCTGTCATTTATGCATTTTGTTTTTGCACAGTGGCAATATTTTGGCAGGAATCTGGGGGAACATTGAAGTATATGAACAGAATAAGTACCTGTAGCTGCTTATAGAATACCATTTATATATTTCATAAATAATTATGCATGTGTGTTTAGGTCTATATCTATAGAAAAACTTAAAATTTTTTTTTGCTTTTTCTCTCTTCATTCTATCTCCCCATTATAGTTTAATAGGTGCTTTTTAAACTCCTTTAGTGTGTTTTTCATTTTTCTTTTCTATTAACCTTCTTCATTTTTTTTTTAAAGACTTGAGGCCTCACTCTGTCACCCATGCTGGCATGTAGTGATGTGATTACTGCAGCCCTGACCTCTCAGACTCAACCAATCCTCCCGCCTCAGTCTCCTGAGCAGCTGGGACCACACGGGTATACCAACTTATGCCCAGCTAATTTTTTATTTTTCGTAGAGACAGGGTATCCCTATGTTGCCCAGGCTGGTCTCGAACTTCTGGGCTCGAGGAATTCTTCTGCCTTGGCTTCTCAGAGTGTTGGGATTACAGGCATGAGCCATTGCACCTGGCCTCTTCTTCATGTCTTTACATGCTTTCTGGTTAGCATTTTACCTTTACCTTTTTTTTCTTGTAATTCTCTGGTCTTAGTTTGGTTTCCTATAGATGTAAGTGCTGGTAAGCAAAGTACTACAGGTGTGAGTAATGGACAGTTGAACAAAATCATACACGTTAGCCAAATTAAATGCTAATTCCAGAAGTATTAATGTTGGGTTGAAAGTAAAATATTAAAGGGATGAGTTATATATGTCATGAAAGCACCAGCTGAAGTGATGATGAAACAATCTTCCGAGGAAGTGTGGTAGGGGTCTTGGATGGAAAAAGAGCCTTTGGTAAGATGGGTGGCTGAATGGCAAGGGTCGTGGTTCACTTGGAGTTGGAGGAGATCAAGGGTGGGGCTTAACCACAGACAGTGGAAACTTGCAGTATCCGCTCACTTATCATCAAGCTTGAATTATTTTCATTGATTTTTCAGCCGAAGCTCGCTCCTCTATTGTTAGGATTTCTTCACATATGGTAGATTTGGGGATTAAAAAAAAAAAGATATTATGTTGTGGTATCTAGAATCAAAAGCAGCAGGTAGACTTGCCTTTTGCCTGAAGGGCTTTCTCACGTTGCTAAAATAAATGAAACTGTGAGAAGTATGGGCTTCCATATTTAGATTAGCATAATATTATTCATCCATTTTCTACCAGAAGAACAATCCATTTTGCAATTTAATCACATATACTCCGTGACATTAGCTTGATTGAAATCCACAGACTGCTAATGAGACGTCAGTCCCACTGCTATGCCCTGGTAGGAAGCATCTCCCACCTGCCACAGCCCCGGGACATGGACATTTTCTTTACTGGAATTATCCAATGGGAACAGAGGCTCTAGGGAATTAAGCGACACAATCTCAGTAAGGGTTGGAATTTAGATAATTTTTAGCACTGCAAAGACACTCACATTTTTCAGTTTTGTTTAGAGCAGTAAGAAGCACGGGAAGGCCTTATTTGTGTTTCCTAGTTAGAGAGAGAATTCATGGGGACAGCAAATATTTATGTGTTCCTGTCCTCGGTCCAGGTGATGTCAGCATGGGCTTCCATATTTGTACAAAATCATCTGATAGAGTAGGAGGCTTCATGGCCCTGTGGAAGCCAGCAGACTTGCGGGTAGAGATCAGAGTTCAATGTCTGACTCCAGCATTTACTGAAATTGCCCTTCTTATTTCCCAAGAGCCTTGGTATCCCTATCAGATCCTGGGGATGATAGAAATATCTATGTCACAGGGCTGTGGTGGGTAGAAGGACTTAGGCTGCACAAATCTGTGTAAATGCTGGAAAAATTTCTAATGGAAGTTGAAATAAGATCACAAAGGTGGAAGCACTTTGTAGAGCATTTTCCCAGTAAAAGGTGGCACATGTGATGCGCAAACCACAAAAGAAGCCATCAGTTGCCTCCGTCAACAGTCACCTTCTCATGGTCCTTGTTGCACTTGGCATCCTGACCCTGTTATCCTAGGAAGTTTCTGCCACCACTCATCGTCTTTTGAGTGAGCAGGGACCCTTCTGGCCAACAGAAGGGATTGTAATTAGCTTTAGTGGAAATCACTGGGGCTAGACTCATGTCTAATTTCCCTCTTGGAGTTCTAATCTTGCAGGATAATTGTTGGAAGAAAGTTGATACTTAAATTTCTGAGTTCGAGTCATTAGCACATGCTCCATTCACTGGCATGTAATTTTTTTAAAGACCTGTGTTGTGACAAGTGTTGGTGCAGCTGGCCACAGAAATGTGCCCTTTGCCTCACTTTTTAGCCATTGCTTTGAAGCTCTACTCAGCTAAATGTATTTCAGCTTTGCGGTTAAAATACAAAATTGTTGACATATGTCAATTTTAGCCAGAAATACTCGTGAATACATAATCATTCCCCATCCCAGAAAGAAAGCTGATACATAGGTCTTCTAAAAAATAGATAAACCATATTTACCAGCCAGGAGTAATAGTAGGAGAAAATAACTTAAAAAAAAGTTATTATGAAGTTTTTGCTTTTGAACAAAACATTCTTTTTAAAAAATAGAAGTAACTCAAACATTGATACAATCCATTTGTCCATGCTGTTGGACAGAAGGCACTGAGGTAAGATTCAAAGCTATCTAGGGTGGTTTCTCAACCCCAAATTTCCTTGAGACACCAGCCTGGCAGGCTGCCTGGATTTCTGTTCTTTGAACTTAATTCCTGTATAATAAAGGCATGGCTTTCTATTTAAATGCGAATGTCCCTAAAATAGTAACACATTAAGGTGTTATCTATTACTAAAACTGGAACAACTCAGCTTAGTTGGGGGTTGGTTTCAGTGAAAGTGAGAATAGTAGATCATTCTAGAAGGCAGGTGCAACTTGTAGGTATGGGTTGTGAGAACAGGGATCTGGGTTTGGGGAGGTAAGAATCGTCAGATATGTGCACATATCTGAATCTCATGTCTGGGTTTCATTTCAGAAACAGGGGAAGCTGGTGGTATTTGAATTATTCTTCTGAGGCAGAGGTTATGCCAAATAAACCAGGCTAAGTTTAGAGGAGCTTTACAGGCTCTGGAAGAATCCCTCACGCGATGACGTGAACGACAGCCTCATTCCACAGCAAAAGCCCAGTTATGCAGCTTTCGGAGAGGACAGGCGCTTAGGCCAACTCATAGGATCTTTTTCTTTTTTAAAATTAGCCTCTGTAACTAATACTTAGAAAAAAGAATTTGAGCTTGCCTTCCACACCGAGGACCGTAGTAGATGGCAGCCATATTGCAAGGCGATTGGCTTTTGCTGCAGTGTGTGCACGTGAATGAGGACGTCACTTAATGTTTCTTCCAGCACCTAGATGGATCTGTGTTGGCTCAAAGACTTCCACACCCTACAGCGCTGTGACAGACATTTTCACCATCCCCATCATCAGATGGGGACACAGAAGCTCTAGAGCAGAGGTCCCCCATTCTGGGCCACAGACTGGTACCTGCCCATGGCGTTAGGAATCAGGCCGCATAGCAGAAAGTCAGTGGCGAGCGAGCACTACTGCCTGAGCTCTGCCTCCTGTCCGATCAGCGGAGGCATTAGATTCTCATAGGAGCGCAAACCCTGTTGTGAACTGCGCATGCGAAGAATCCAGACTGTGCACTCCTTATGAGGATCTAGCTAATGCCCGATGAGCTGAGGTGGAACAGTTTCATCCCAAAACCACCCCCCTACCCTGTCCAGGGAAAAATTGTCTTCCGCGAAACTGGTCCCTGGTGCCAAAAAGGTTGGGGACTGCTGCTCTAGGGTATTAACCGTGGGTTTCATTTCCTCTGTATAAAGGGCCTGAATTCAATTTCCTAGTCTGGGGATCGTAAATGAGTTAGGAAAGAAACTACAAGCATCATAATAGTTAAAATATGATACGTTAACCCAGGCACTTTTGAGAGGAACACGCGAGCAGTGTTAATGTTCTTAAATTCAAAGTCGTATGCAGATTTCCTTTCTTGCTCAGAATTGGAGGATTAAATTATCACACAAAAGAAATCGCTTCATGTGAATATTATAGATTAATAAAAATTCAAAAGCAAGAAAGGTTTATTTTGTTGGTGAATTTTTCTAATTCTTTTGCCACTCTTGAGTTAGATATGTTAAGTTTCTTCCAGAGACCCCTATTAAAATGATTCTTTTTCTAATTAATCTGGAGAAACACATTTATTAGATCTAACCTGCCTTTTGTTCAATATTAAAATAATGAAATCAACAAGCATTTAATAAGATTTAATTAAGATGAATGATAGGACCTTCCCACCTTTGCTGATGTTATATCAATTTGTGTGGGTCTAGATTCAAATAAAGTAAGAAATAATCCCAGCACTTTGGGAGGCTGAGGCAGATGGATTATCTGAGGTCAGGAGTTTGAGACCAGCCTGGCCAACATGGTGAAACCCCCATCTCTACTAAAAATACAAAAAATTAGCCAGGCGTGGTGGCACATGCCTGTAGTCCCAGTTATTCAGGAGGCTGAGGCAGGAGAATTGCTTGAACCTGGCAGGTGGAGGTTGCAGTGAGCCGAGTTCACGCCATTGCACTCCCGCCCAGGCAACAAGAGCAAAACTTTGTCTCAGAAATAATAATAAATAAAAAAAGAAATGCATTGATTAGATCAGAGACTATAGAAATAAAATGCAAAGTGTTTTTCCTTAAATACTGAAGAACTTTTTTTTTAGTTAACTTCCATGATATCAAGGATTACATAAAACTCTTGGAATTTAGACTATATCAATATTTAGATTTAAGTGTATATTATTATTTCTATAGGAAAACAATGGGCTGTAAAGCTGGCATTCACTTCCCATTAGGAAGACTACAGTGATTCCTTATGTCAGCTTTATGCAGTGTTCTACTTTTAAAAATTTATTTACAGTCTCTCTCTTTGCATTAGACTTGAGGCTATCCACAAAAATACATAAACCATAAAATAACCTACTAAGAGGAAAGTTGATGTGAAGACTGAGGCAAAGAATTTTAGGTTGACTAGGAAAGTGAAGCTGGGTTAAAGTTATACATGCACAGAAGAAGGCCCACATCCCGGCTAAAGATGGGCGTTGAGACACACGCATATTTTTTAGCTGCAGCCTGTGATATTATGAACCACACATGTGAAAGAGCCCCATGGGAATGAGGAGAGAGAGGGAAACAAGGATGGAGGAAGGGAGATGAGAGAAGAGCCACACATCAGAGTGATGCATGGAGACGGCAGCCTTGTCATTAAAGGGGACGTCCCGAAGGGAGTTCGTCACATCCATCTCCCTGTCTCAGGATCTTGAGTTTCAGATGGTGACAAACGTCTTGAGAACTAAATGGTTCAGCCCCAGAAGGACAAAAGCTGCCACTCAGGATTGACCTCGGCCTGGCCCAGAGCGATCAGAGTGTTTGAAACAGTCAGGGCACTGGAGACTCTCTATAAGGGATCAAGGGCTTCACCCTTTTACCTGGACCAGGTGCAGGTGCAGCTCCTCCCTGGTGTCCACAGCTGTTTCAGCATTTGATTCTTCCCTATCTCCAAGATTGGTGAAGGGCTGGGTAATCTTAATGGAAAAAAAGAGACTGGGGGATGGGGTTTGGGGATCTTACCCCAGCCCAATTTCTAATCTCTGCATACAGCCTGGTTCATGAATCTAGCCTGTGATTTGATTTGATTTCATTGCCTCACTCATGCAGGAACTGGGAAGGAGGACCAGTCAACCATCCTGGGTCATGAATACAGTAATTGTATTCATGTCTGCACTGACTCCTTTGTTACTGGATAAGTGTTTTTGAATATCAGTTGTGTCATTTTAGAGCTTTCAACAGTTAAATTTTAAAAACATAACATAAATAATAGCATCTTTGGGTTACGCACATCTCCTTTTATTTTCTCCTATTACGGAAGTGAGGCCTAACAGGAAACAATGCAATAAATAATATAAATTACTTGCCCATGGTCAAAAAGAGAGAAGACCCAGGAACAAGATCTCAGCAAGCAAGGTCGTGTTTTCCCTGGCTATGCTACTTTGTCATCTCTGCTTCATGTTCTTCTAATGTAAAGAGCAGGTCCTGCCATCAGACTAGCTGGATTCAGATGTCAGCTTTTCAATTTACGAGCTGGCGGACCTTGGTCAATTTACTCACCCTCTCTGTGCCTCAGTTACCTCAAATATAAAATGAGAATAACAATAACAGCCACCTCAGAGGTAGCTATGAGGATAACTGCATTTTGCAAAGCCTTTAGTACAATGCCTGGCATTTATTGAAGGCCTGATAAATATTCACAGTGAAGATGATCATGATGATGAGAATGACACAGACATTTTCTCTAACTAGATTGTCAGTTCTTGGAGCTCATGAGCTATGTTTCATGCATCTGCACATGCAATGCTAACCTCTTCAGACAGCAATTGTTCAAGGAATATTGTGCACCGTCTAGGATAAGAGGCTGAATACAGTAAGCATCAGATATCTGTGAAGGACTAAAAGCAGCATTTGAGGAAGGCTGTTCTGAAAATAGTTGGAGGAAGAAGCAGAAAGGGGAAAGGGAAATAGTATGGTTTGAATTCTGTCCTCCTGCCCCCCAAATTTGTATGTTGAAGTCATAACCTGCGGTACTAAGAGTGTGACTGTATTTAGGTAGGCTCTTTAAAGAGGTAAAGTGAAATGAGGTCACTTTAAAGAGGTAAAGTGAAATATGGGTGGGTCCTCATCCAATAAGAAAGGACATTGGGACATAGACAAACACAGAGTAAAGACTGTGTGAAGACACGGGGAGGAGATGGCCACGGGCAAACCAAGGAGAGAGGCCTCAGGAGAAACCAGCTCTGCCGACACTGTCGTCTCAGGCTGTGTAACCTCCAGAGCGATGAGAAAGAAACTTGTGTTGTTTAAGCCACCTACTCTGTGATACTTCGTTACGGCAGCCCTAGCAAACGAATACAGAAAGAGTAGGAAAGAAACCCACGATGGGGTTGTTAGCATTCTGGAGTGACATGAGATCTCTGGGACCAGGACAGCAGCAGAGAGGATTTGTGCCCTACATGGGGCTGGAACCCAGGGCTACCAGACCTAAGAGTGGATGAGGCCTTAGGGGGTCACCCCCTTCCCATTCCCACTCAGTGCATCATGCTCCCCTCATCACCTTTCTCAGGATGTTGTCTGAGTCCTGTCCCTCCTACCTTGCATCTCTGAATGTCTTAAATTGTAAGAAGGTCTTTACAATGAGACTCAATCTGAGCCCCTCTGCCTCTGACTAGCTGTGTGACCTTGAGCAAGCCACTTAAATTGTCTGATTTGTTTCCTCATTGGTAACATGGAAAAATCACACTTATTTTGGAAGGCTGTTGGGAGGATTAAATGAAAGAAGCCTCCCATGATACCTGGCACATGGCAGGGCTTCCTTCAGGAGATGATAGCTTTGTCCTCTGTTCCGTCCCCATCGGCTTTCCATCTTTAGGAAGAGTCACCACTGCTTCACTGATTTATCATTTTTGCTCCCATCCGAGGTAACTTGAAGATGCTGGGCAGGTTTTCTATTCTTTAACCAGCCCTTCTCATTAGTAATTTATACATAACAATTTTCATTTCTTAAAGTATTTTTTTTCCATTTTCTTGTGGCATAACACAGGAAATAACTAGAGGGCTAAATGGAATTTTAAAATAAGAAAGTAGAATGGTATGTTGTCTACTTGTGGGAACAGGCTCTTTTTTCAGGGAAATTCAATCAAAGATGAATTTTCAGTGACATTCATTTTCCTTAAAGTCAAACTTTACTTTTGTTAATGGATTAGAACGTTGCGGCAAATAAATACACAGATGTGAGTGAATTGAAGATCAAGACTGATTACATGTAAATTGTATGCCTAATTATAACCACTCCAAGAGTGCTGAGAACACATGAGTTGCCAGTATATGGCTGGAAGCTGCTTTTGAACATCTCCATTCTGCCAACCCACATATCTAGTTTTAGGAAGAAAGACTTCTACAGCATTTCCTAAAAGACATTTACTTTCTTCTCCCCTGGGTAGTAAAGTAAACTTCAATGTCCTTGGAAGGAAAGAGCAGGACTCTCATTATTGCTACTATTATTTAAAATTTATCATTTAAGCTGAAGGAATGAATTCCATGAATTCATGAATGTCAAGTCCTGAATTTAATGCTGAGATGATCTGCATGTTTCTACGCTTGTCTTTTTTTTTTATAATAAGCTACAACATTTGCAATTACTGAACCCGAATAAAAGAATGATAGTATATCTAAGAATGATGAGGAAATAAAATTATGAGCTATAAGTGATATGAACATGTTAAGTTACATGTGTAATGAATAATAGAACAATAAGACCCAGCCAAAAGACAAGAATTTAAAACATGTAATTCATAGTTTTTCTTTGAGCACTGTGTTCCCCCAAAGAGCAACAGTTTGTCTCTGTGGCTAGGTTCCATGTGTTCTTGTGTGGTCTGGTTCAGGAAAAGGCATTTATAGTCATTTTTACATTATACATGGAATTCTCAGGTAGTCTCTTAAATTTTACATCCACATAGTCCTTTTTGCTTCTTGAAATACTAAATCTGGGTTTAGTAGGAGGTTAAACTCTACATGGCTAAAAGGGGATGCTGAACTGGTTGTCTGACCCTTTAGTCATAGCTCGCCTATGCTTAATCAAATCAAAATGTGTCAATGGTTACTGTTTTGTATCTAGGTTTTAGTGTCTGTCACCTATGTAATTTCAGACCTAAATGACTGTCCTGTCTGGTTCCCACAGCCTAGGAGCTGGGTTAATAGATCCTTGGCTGAGGGTTAGCAGGACAAGGTTTCTGTGACCTCTGTCTGCACAGATTCAGGCTCAGTGCATTTGGGGTGATGGTCAGTTCTCGCTAGACCCTGACCAATGCTGTGTCGTTACATGAGTCGGCCAGGACACACTGTCTTCCTCCCACTGATGGCTGCTTAGGGCAACATAAGCTGTCGGTAAAAGTGGCTGCAGAAAGCCCTTACTCCTGGAATCTTTACGGACAGGCTCCTGGAGCTCCTCCATTAACTAGGAGCAAAATGATTCCAGAGCTTTCCGATGTTAGGAAACCAACTCAACTTGATGCTGCCAGTATGTGGGGAACTGGTTTAGAGAGGTCTTCGGACTTTTTATTCATAGGCTCTGTAAGCAGGAATTCCTCTGCTTCCGCCAAGGCTGGGGCTGGGCGTGCCCTAGTCATGACCCCAGTACACTGGGGAAGCTGAGAGGCAGCCAGACCCTCCCTTGGCATAGGAATGGCTGAGCCTTTTCTTCAAGCTGACAGGGTTGTTTGGAGGGAAATATGCTCTATTATGTGATTTATGTTGTCCACAAGGAGAAAACATGTTAGTTCCTTAAGGCGAGCAGAGATTTTCCTGGCACTTGGATATGAAATAAATCTCTGGAGTGGGACTTCATATGTGGGGACTCAGTCACATGCTCACAGTGTTCTCCACAGCAGTCCTGCAGCAGATGCAATGGCAGATTCCATGGGGAAGAGCCAGATGTGGGATGCTCAAATGGAATTCCAGTGTTTCCGAGTTTTAGCTTTCCTTTCTTGGTACTTAGCCAGATTCTTAAAATTAAAAAAAAATGTTTGTTTTATTATGGAAAATCTCAAACATATATAAACATAGAGTAACTGGCAGACCACCATGCCTGTGTCACCTAGTTTCAACCATTATCAACTCATTAGCCAGAGTTTTGACCTAGCAGATGTTTGGACATTTAACTATGAATAACCCGGATGTAGTTTGGAATTAGGCTGGCTCACGATGGAAATCAAAATTGGCCTGGGGGGTCCTTTAGCAAGGAGTGGCTTGAATCATCTCCATTTCGTTTTCAGAGTTAGGGGCCTGTTAGTCGCCTCTTGGCTTGGGACTGTCCTCCTAATCCTGGTTCCAGTTATCCCAGTTTGTATAAACATGTGCTCAAAGAATGACTCTGATGCTCTTACAGCCAAACCCAGGATATCAGAGATAGACACGGAAGAAGGAGGAGAAGATCCTGTGCCTGTGCAGAACTCTCCCGCAAGACTACTGCTAAGCAGCCTATTATGATGTCAGTTTATTTCAGTGAACACCTAAGCATCTATTATGTCTGAGTAACTAGAGTCTCAGACATCAAGGACTTCCAATTCTGGCGAAGAATTGCCTGAAGTTCCTAAGTCTGTTCAGGAGCAATTAGGCGCTTTATGTATACCTCTTATAAGAGGTACTTTCAGCCACCAGATAGGATAGTTTTTACTCTATCCTGACACCTTATTTGAATAAATTCAGTAGTAGTCTCAGATTACAGGAACTTAGAATCAGCGAACCAAAGGGATAGTCACTAATGCAGAGCTGATGAAGGCAGCCTGACAGCAAGGGAGGAAGTAGAAAAACCACAGAAATCTGGAGTGAGAACTAAAATGCCACCATTGCCGGGGTTATTTGAGAGTTGTCAACTCATTAGCCAGAGTTTTGACCTAGCAGATGCCCTTAAGGGTGAAGGGCCTCCCCACACGCATCTTCTGAACCCGAGGCCATCACAGTAATGAGGGGACTGTATGCCGCTGTGAATGACAAAGGATTTGGAATTAGACAATGTGAGTTCAAGCCTTGACCTTCTGCTTGCCAGCTGGGACACCTGACATAATTTTCCTGACCTCTTTTTTGAGTCTGTTCTCAATTCTTAAGATGGATCACCTGACAGACATGGTGAAGGTTAATGCAATAATTTCACTGAAGCAAGCTTTATAAACAATGAAATTCAATGTCTAGTCAGTTGGGCATTTTATGTTGATACTGATGTCACTGGGATATCAAAAAAAGACAAGTATATTTTCTGTATATGTTCTTTAAGGGAGAAAGTAAAATAGAATTATAAGTTCTGATCCATAAAGCAAGAAATATAGCTGCTGAGAAGACTTGTCTCACTGGAATGATTTGTTCACCAACACACAGGCGTTACTGAGAGAGGTAAAATGACAGAGAATAAGATTGAAAAGGTGGGTTGGGGCCAGACTGTCAAGTGCTCTGAGTGCTGTGTTAGGGGGTTAGATTTATTCATGATATTTGGCTCTATATTACATAAAGTATTGAAATAGAAAAATATCAAAAAAGTCAGAATCAGGGAATATATAAATTAGAAGGCATTGTCCAAGTTAGAAAGGAGAAATAGTCAGGTAGTCATAGAGCCCTATGTAGTTGTTAAAGCTAAACTTCAACTAGACCCTGAGCTTACAGCAGCCCAAATCAAAAATAAAAAAAAAAAAAAGAGTAATCGCATGATTTGCATCGTTCTTGAGAATGAAACATGAGTTCTAAAGACTAGCAAAACTGTGGCACTTAAATGAGTGAATTTTCTTGGGTAAGAGTTCGTAAATGGTGCACGAAGTGATATATGGTATATAATGTTCTCAACAATATCCTCATAGTGGATGTCATATTAGGTTTAACAGGGATATTTCTTATATGGCTCTTCAATATTTAATTGAGAGTGTAAGGTGAAATAACAGCTCAGTGAAAGCAGTTCTGCCAAAGGAACAAGAGAATACGGTCCAAGATTCAGTTTTCTGATTCAGTTTTCTGATGGTTGGACTCGATTTAGGTGTAAAAAGCTTGACTGTGTGGAGGAAGGGTTGAATTCCACCTATGTGCAATTCTTCAAAGACATTGGTCTTCCCAACTAGACTTTGATTGAGATAAAAGCCTATTTACACCCCACTGTCACTCTCTGTCTCCTCGTATCAATTTACACTTCTTTATAGCACTTACACAATGTGACAGGAAACTATATATTTGTTGTCCCTCTAGGATGTTATCTGACATAGAACATGTCCTTTTCTTCCACTAGAATGGGGACTGTGTCCTTTCGACCTTCACCACATCTCTAGTATTCACAATATTGCTAGACACATGGCAGTGTTCAAAAAACGTGTGTTGAATGAATGGAATTATTGAATACATGTTGGACAATATCCAGTTTAAGTTAAATTATCCAGTAATAGCCAGTTATTTTATAATGCTGAGTAAAGATACCTCTCATACTTGGAAGATCACCTAAGATGGTAGGACTGACATCATCATGTGAAAATGGAAGACTCAAACATAATTTCCCTGAATAAATAACCATCCAGCTTCTGCTTTGAGATGGCTGTGGGATTACTTACGTTCAGGGTCTGGGTGTTATCTGAATAAAACAAACTATTGTAATGAAACAAGGTAATTTAACGTAGAGCGACATTACTATGTGCAATGCATTTTCAGGTCTTTTCTGGCGCAAGAACTATCTTTTCCAAAATTTCACACCAAGCCAGGGTTCTTACAGTAGCCTATAAAGCCTATATCAGGGTTTCTCAAGCTCAGCACCACTGACATTTGGGACTGGATAGTTTCTTGCTGTGGGACCTGCCGTGTTCGTTGTAAGGTGTTTAGCAGCATCCTTGAACTCTATCCGCCAGAGGCTAGTAGCAAGCCCTCGGCTGTGACAACCAAAAAGTATGTCCAGACATTGCCAAATGTCTTCTGGGAGGTAATATGGTCCCTACATGAAAACCACCATCCCACGGGATTTGACGGCACGCCCAGTGACCTCTCACGTTACAGTGTTCTCTCTGTTATTTGCTATACTCTAGCGACACTGGTTTCTGGATCTTTCCTGAACATGTGAGGCATGGTCCACCTTGAAGTCTTTGTACTGGCTGTTCCCCTCACCTGGAATACCTTTCCTCGGATGCCTCCATGGCCACTCTGCACCTCCAGCAAGTCCTGGCCCTGTTTTCACTTTCTCAGTACATCCGGTTTTAAATTGTGTTCTTCATAACAGCCCTTCCACTTCTATTCCCTGTCTCCGTTTTTCCCCATGCCATTTATAACTTAATTTACTATACCACTTTCTCATTCATTTTATTCATTGTCAGTCAACGCTACTAGAATATAAACCCCAGGAGAGGGTCTTGTTCACTTCTGTGACCCTCAGCTCCTAGAACAGTGCCTGGCACATAGTATATGCTTAATACACATTGGTTGAAAGGACAAATAAGTGAATGCATGTGTGATTTTTTTTCTAACCTAGAAGTTTCCTTTTATTAATTTTTTTTCTTTTTTTTTTTTTTTTTTGAGACGGAGTCTCACTCTGTCACCAGGCTGGAGTGCAGTGGCGCGATCTCGGCTCACTGCATCCTCTGCCTCTTGGGTTCAAGCGATTCTCCTGCCTCAGCCTCCTGAGTAGCTGGGACTACAGGCACGTGCCACCACGCCCAGCTAATTTTTTTTTTGTATTTTTAGTAGAGACGGGGTTTCACCATGTTGGCCAGGATGGTCTCGATCTCTTGACCTTGTGATCCGCCCACCTCGGCCTCCCAAAATGCTGGGATTACAGGGGTGAGCCACCGTGCCCGGCCTTTTTCTTTTCTTTTCTTTTCTTTTTTTTTTTTTTTTTTTAGAGACAGCGTCCCATTCTGTTACCCAGGCTAGAGTGCAGTGGCATGATCATAGCTCACTGCAACCTCGAATTCCTGGGGTCATGCAGTCGTCTTCCCTCAGCTTCCCCAATAGCTGGCACTACGTCTTCCCACAGCTGACTGACTGAGAAAGTTTCATTAATGTACAAATGGCATATTTGACTTCAAGCTGTTGAGGAAAATTGAGATTCTTTATTGGGTTTTTAAATTAATCTCTGAGGGTCACTGTTCATTTTACTTGAAAAGTACATTTCCGTGTACTTATACAATACTTTTACAAGGAAGTATCTTTCTGTAATTTAGCTAAGCTGCTAATTTTAAGTAAGTTTATTTTGTCCCTTATGCTGGTGGAGTTAATTGGAGTTAGATTAGTGATTAGTGATATCACAGGCAATGAGTTAAACTTCAGTGGTCAAACATGGTTTTTCACAAAAGATGTGCGAACATAGTTTCCTATAATAAACATTCATGATCTCTTACAAGTCAGCAGTCTTAAAACTATCAAAACAAACTTTTTAATATTATAGGAAAGCTCTTTGTTCTTAGAAAATAGACAGGGAGTAATCTAACTTTATAGATGATATGATAGAGAATATACAAATATTTAACTAAAATTTTATGGTCATGAATATGTTAAACATTTGTTAACCTCCTTCCTCATCTCTCAGTGAAAATTTAAGAATCAATTTTGTGTTCTACTTTATCAAAAGCAATTGTTTCAACAGTTTCTTCAGGTTTCTTTCAAGGTTCCTGCTTGCAATAAAGCAAAACAAAATGGATGGCTTCTGTTTTATCTCTAAATTCAATCAAAGCTAACTTGAAGAGGCTGGGTGCGGTGGCTCATGCCTGTAATCCCAGCACTTTGGGAGGCCGAGGCGGGAGGATCACCCTGAGGTCAGGAGTTCGAGACCAGCTTGCTAACACGGTGAAACCCTGTCTCTACTAAAAATATAAAAAATTAGCCAGCCATGGTGGCAGGAGCCTGTAATCCCAGCTACTCGGGAGGCTGAGGCATGAGAATCGCTTGCACCCAGGAGGTAGAGATTGCAGTGAGCTGAGATTGTGCCACTGCACTCCAGCCTGGGTGACAGAGTGAGACTGTCTCAAAAAAAAAAAAATAAAAAAATAAAGCTAACTTGAAGATATTTGATTTGGGGCTCTCAATAATTTATTTCCATAAGCAGCATATTTTCCATGGAATGCACTAGATGAATTACATGCTAAATGTATCCGTCAAATAACCAAGCAAATTTATCCGCAATATGGAATGTCTGGATACAAACCAAGTAAATTTTAGAAGACAGCTGCCAAGACCAATGACATATAGTAATTTATCATGATTTGGAGGCCTGCTTTGGGATTGTATGCACTGGGCGTGCACAGCATTTACATTTCAAAGGTGGCCACAAATCTTCCAATGCACAGAGAGCTCCAAACAGGACTCATGCACATATCAGATGTGTACTCTGTTATGCATTTGAGCAAGGACAAGATTGTCCTTAGAAGACAGTTCTAAAAAAAGGAGTTTCCTGTTTTAAAAAAATACCTTTCTGACAGCTTCTCTTAGCTTCCAGCTACAAATACAAAAGGAAAAAACTCAAAACATGATGAAAAAACAGATAGATCCTCATTTTATTGCTAGAATGAAGAGGGAATTTCCATTTACCACAAAGAAGTGAGAGGTGATAGAAATAGAAGGCAGAAAATATAGCTCCAGCTTAAGAAGAAAGGATTTTTTTAAAAAAAATTATAATTGTTTTAGCTTCTAAGATATCATTGAAGAATGTATTATTAAACTAAAGGAGACTTGATTATGCAGATTACAAGGACCTGTTGTATTCCCTTAGCAAAAAACCGTATTCTGTTAACAGAAGAAAGACACCCATATACAATTTGGCAGTTTGGTCGAGCTAAATGTCATATCCTGTTGTCTGGCCTCTTGGTTGGTTTGTGAGGGATCTGCACACTTCTTGTTCAGTCAGTTGTTGTGAGGGGCATCCTCCTATGCAGTGTAAAACATGATCTCATGTGCAAGGGACAGCTTTTTCTTAGAAAAGAAATCTGTTGGGGAAAGAGGGTGGAGGGAGAGTGAAATGGAAGGCACTAGAAGTATGACTACTAATAGAAGCCAGCCATATTAAAACCATTTTGTATAATGACTTAAGTGGATGTTCCTTCCAGGAGCATAAGGTTGAATCAGTACTAGGAAATCTGGATATTGAATTCATGTCATAATAGGTCACAGATGAAAACAATAGATGATTCCTGTAGGAGCTAAAATGGCATTTGATAAAATTTCACAGTCATTCCAACAATCTGCTTAGTGGTAAATTCTACAAGCATCCCTCTGAGGCCAAAATTATTCCGGAAGAGCTGCCAATGTAACCTTGAGAACTGGAGAAGAAAAGATGACATTATTACTATTTGCAATTGTTATGGACTTATTATTATCATCTTGTTTTGTGTCATGTAGAAAGCCTGGAAATCAACTAAAAACTCTGACGTGTACTAAAAGCTCAGTGTGATAACTGGAAACAAAACCCTAGTATTTTATTCCTGTGTAATAATTACTAGCAAGTATCATTGGTATTAACAAGAATAGGATGAAGAAGATATTTCATTATCAATAGCTACAAAAACATAAATATTCAGGAGTAAATTTATCAAGAAATGTGCAGGAATTATGAAACTTGATTGAGAGACAAAAATGTACTAAAGAGAAGAATGGATAACCCTTTTCTCTTCAAGGGGAAGGCAGGCAGTGGGTTGTACTTATGGGGGGTACTGGGTGGAGATCCTGAGTTGACAGTGCTTGGAGAAGAGGAGAGAGTCTCTTTCTAAGATTAGCAGCGGGAGGCTGAGGACAGGGAGAGGGAGGGAGGGTGAGGGGATAATGGCTGGGGAATGGTAGAGATTGAACATCTGCCCCATGTGCCAGGCTTGGAGATGAGCTGGGCAAGGGGCTTTTGTCTGTTTTGTTTAGATTTTCTTAAGTAGTAAGATCTGTTAATGTCATTCTCCTTTGCCTCTCCTCCTCTCTTCCTCATAAAAATCTTCTGTAATGATCTATATTGCTTTGTGTAGGCTTTGGGGACAGATTTGTGGTTTATTTCAGACATGCCCGTACCCCTAGGCTGTCATTAAGAAGGGGACAGAAACCCAGTTTTGTTTGTATTTTGCACCTATCTCAGAAATGAAGCTTCAAGTCAAATTCCATTCTCTGTGTCTGAGTTATGGTCTTTTACTAAGATAATGTTAATATCATAAGCGATACAAAATGGTTACTTGAATTATACTCCTTTTATTTTCCCTTGCACTCAGGTAATCTGCATGGCTGTACATTGAGGCCAGTTGAAGGAGTGATTCAGTGCATTTTCTCAGTGTTCTGAAAGGACGGTCTGGGTTGGACATTTGATGACATCTTTGTTGCAAGTGCTATCTCTGTTGAAGGTTTTAGTTGGTTGGAGTGACATCTAGTTTAATGGCTGTAGCATTAAACTATCTGCTCTAGCAAAATTGCCATTTCCATGTCTGGCCAGCAAAACTTCAATTTTAGCTTAAAACAAGTTCATTTCATTTCTATTTTAGGAAGATCGAAAATGACGGGGATAAATATGAACAAAGAATAGAAAAACGTGTTTGAGATTAGACTGTAAAGAAACTACTGTTTGTCTTAAAGCGATGATTTCAACTAGATTATGACATAAGTGATTTGATTAAATTGCTGATTATAAAAAGGAAGTGGTTCTTTCAAACTTTGAGTCTCACAGCCAAAGCACACTGTTGAGAGGTGCCAGGTAATAGACACTGTGCTTTTTTTGTGTTTTAGGCAACTTTTTCCTGTACCTGTGAGGAGCAGTACGTGGGTACTTTCTGTGAAGAATACGATGCTTGCCAGAGGAAACCTTGCCAAAACAACGCGAGCTGTATTGATGCAAATGAAAAGCAAGATGGGAGCAATTTCACCTGTGTTTGCCTTCCTGGTACGACACATACTCATGGTTCAGTTATTAGGTGTATGTCTGTACAGCATGCACCTCTTGTTTTTTATTTACAAAGGTTTTTGGAGAACAGGTGGTACTTGGTTACATGAGTAAGTTCTTTTTGGTGATTTGTGAGGTTTTGGTGCACTCATCACCCAAGTAGTATACACTGAACCCAATTTGTGATCTTTATTCCTCATCCCCTTGTCACCCTTCCCCCTGAGTCCCCAAAGTTCATCGTGTCATTCATATACCTTTGCATTCTCATAGTTTAGCTCCCATTTATGAGTGAGAACATATGATGTTTGGTTTTTCATTCCTGAGCTACTTCACTTAGAGTGATAGTATCCTGTCCCATCCAGGTTGCTGTGAATGCCATTAATTAATTTTTTTTTTTTTTTTGAGACAGAGTCTCACTCTTTCCCAGTCTGGAGTGCAATGGTGTGATCTCGGCTCACTGCAACCTCTGCCTCCTGGGCTCCAGTGATTCTCCTTCCTCAGCCTCCCAAGTAGCTGGGATTACAGGCATGCGCCCCCACACCCAGCTAATTTTTGTGTTTTTAGTAGAGATGGGGTTTCATCATGTTGGCTAGGCTGGTCTTGAACTTCTGACCTCAGGTGATCCACCTGCCTCCACCTCCCAAAATGCTGGGATTACAGGCATAAGACACTTTGCCCAGCCTAATTCATTCCTTCTTATGGCTGAGTAGTATTCCATCGTATATATATACCACAGTTTCTTTATCCACTCGTTGATTGATGGGCATTTGAGCTGGTTCCACATTTTCAGCATACACTTCTTAGTCAAGCATGGTTAAACAATGCTGTGCCCAGCTGTTGAACAAGGCAGCTTCAAGATCTCATTTGATGCTATCAGTCTATGCTTTATGTAATCAGGGAATGGAAGAAGAAAGTTCACATGGGGCTACGCAATATGTCTCTTGGCTTTCTGACATTAGAATGCTTCTGTTTCAGCATTACCCCATTTTTGTTCAGGGAAAATAATATTCTCAGCCCAATAGAGGCTTGGACATGTTAAAAACAATTCCACAAGTATGTACTGAGTGTGGGCTGGCACTGTGCAGGGTGATTATATTAAGTAACTGAAGAAAAACCCAGGATAAACCACAAAAGCCACCTAATCTTCTTGTTTATATTAATTTCCTTTTGTTCATGTATGTTCATTAGTTCAAATTCCTGCTACCTTGTTCTCCACAATGGGAAGTTTTTAACATTTCTTGGTTAGTGTGGTGTGTTCTTGGGTGTTACATGAGACTTGGAAATCCTCAGAGCACATTGAGGGCCTCTAGGGAGAGTGCAGTGGACAGTGTTGCTGTAGACTTCATGCTCTGACAATCATCTTAATTGACTTACTGCTCAGCCAACTTGGTTACAAACCCTTCAGGAGCAGGAATGGCATTTTACCAGGGAACGTTTTGACACAGCTATTTTGATGCATCTTAAAAGCAAACACCAAGTTGTTCTTATTTTGTTATAAAATAATGTGCAAAACTGACATCATCTTTTCTCTTTCCATCCCATTCTCTTGCCAGCTTCTGCCACTGGGTGGGGATTCAGGATAAGGTAGGAGTTGGGGGTGAAAAAGGGATGGAATGAAGTGGGCATGGGGGTTATTAAGTACTCATTGTAAGAAACAAGACAGTCAGCAAAGCAGAAATTTATAAAAGTGAAATTCATTTACTTATCTATTCCCACCTAAACTTTATCAAATCATAGGGATAGGTTAATATTTCGTATATTCTTTCATTGTGTGTGTGTGTCTGTGTGTAGGTCAGAGTGTGTGTATTTCTCTTGCAGGCCAGATGATTAAGTATTTTTCTACATGTTTTTAAAAAGTGATATGATACATATTGTTCTATAACTTGCCTTTTTTCAGTATGCATTTGGCAGTGGATCACAGACATCATACCAAGTCAGTTTATATGGAGTGACCTCATTCATTTGAACAGTTACATGGTGTCCCCAGATTTTTATCTCCAGGTGAGGCTCCCCTCCAGACCTACTTACTTGACAGCCTACATGGCATCTCCATTTAGGTGTCCCAGGACAACCTAAGCTCAGTCATCTCCAAACTGAACTCATCGTGTTCCCAGCCCTACACAGCTCGTCTTCCAGCGTTCCATCCATTTCTAGAAGCCAGACATCTCTACAAGTCATTCTAGGTGCCTCCCTCTCCCTCTCTCTTCATATTTTTTCCACCTCTGATGCTCTCCATTTTACCACCTAGAGAATTCTCAAATCCTCCACCCTCTGTAGCCCCACTGCCAACACCTTCAGGCTAGTGGCCTTTGCCCCTTGCCTGTGCTGCTGAGATGGCCTCCTGCTGTTCCTCCAACAATTCTTGACCCTGCTGCACACTAGAGCCAGGGTTCTCATGTCAAAGTGGGCATCGGCCTTTGCCTCATCCATGCCCGGACCCTCCATTCTCCACGTGGCTGCAGGGCATCCCTTCGCAGTGAGATTCTGATGTAGTTGCTTTTCTGCTTAAACTTCTTCTTCACATTGCTCTTTGAACAACGATTGAAATCCTTGGCCTCATTCTGCACCAGGATATGTCTTTTGCCTGCTTTTCCAGCCCTATCTCACCCCCATGTCTCCCTTGCCCTGGTTTCAGCCACCTTTACCTTTTGCCTCTGTAATAGCTTGATCTCTCATCTGCCACAGGATCCACCCTCTCAACCTTGTGCTTGGACAATACTTCCTCCCTGTCTCCTTTTTGCTTGGGTAACTACTCCCAGATCTCTGTTGTTTCAGGCCTCTATTAAATGTCCCTTTTCTCAGGAAGTCTTGGCTGCAGGCTTCAAGATAAGTCTCTCTCCATTTTTCTCTTCTATAACCCTGTATTCCTTACTTCACAGTACTGTCTGTTTTCAGCATACATTTGTGTGTGTGACTCTTTGATTACTACCTGTCTCCCCTTTTTTATTTTATATTTTATTTTATTTTGAGACAGAGTCTTGCTCTTGTTGCCTGGGCTGGAATGCAGTGGCATGATCTCGGCTCACTGCAACCTCTGTCTTCCAGGTTCAAGAGATTCTCCTGCTTCAGCCCTCCTAAGTAGCAGGGATTACAGGCACCCACTACCATGCCCGGGTAATTTTTGTACTTTTAGTAGAGACAGGGTTTCACCATGATGGCCAGGCTGGTCTCAAACTCCTGACCTCAGGAGATCTACCCATCTCGGCCTCCCAAAGTCCTGGAATTACAGGTGTGCGCCACTGCGCCTGGCCTGTCTTCCCTTTTTAAAAGGATTGTTAAGCCACATGAGGGCAGGACCTGGATCAGTTTTGTTCATGATTGTATTCCCACAGTGTCTGACAAATTGTGGACACTCAGTCAATGTGTTGATGAGATGAATTAATGAAAGAGTATAAATGTAGACAGATGTTTTAAGCTATTCCTCTATTGATGAATCTTTTAGATGGTTGCAATATCTCTTTTGGAAGTAATGTTAAATAAAGATCCTTTTACAAATAGTCTCAATCAGAGCTGGCTGGTGGAGGTTTTCGATATATTTGGACTGACATGATTTCAGTTTGATATTTTTTATCTAGGTTTGTTCTCAAAGGGGATTCATCTTTTTTTAAAGGATTTTATGTGCACAGAATTGAATTGATGATAACACCCGGTCTGTGGCACTCTCCGATCTTGTTCACGCATAGCCTATTTTTACATATTTGCTAAGCACCAGTGAAACCACCACCAAAAACAGAAGTTGTTTCTGACAACTAACCTTATAGGCTCCTCCTTTGTTCATCCCTTCACCTCTCCTTTCTCTCCAGAGATAACAGATAACAACCACCCTGAATCTTGAGTTGATCAGTTCTTTGTTTGCTTTTTCTTTTCTTTTCTTTTCTTTTCTTTTCTTTTCTTTTCTTTTTGAGATGGAGTCTCACTCTGTCGCCCAGGCTGGAGGGCAGTGGTGCGATCTCAGCTCACTGCAAGCTCCGCCTCCCAGGTTCACGCCATTCTCCTGCCTCAGCCTCCCGAGTAGCTGGGACTACAGGTGCTTGCCACCACGCCCGGCTAATTTTTTGTATTTTTAGTAGAGACGGGGTTTCACCATGTTAGCCAGGATGGTCTCGATCTCCTGACCTCGTGATCTGCCCGTCTCGGCCTCCCAAAGTGCTGGGATTACAGGCATGAGCCACCGCGCCCAGCCTGTTTTCCTTTTTAATCATTTTAATATTTACATGTTTTTATAGAAACATTTATTTTTAATTCTTTTAAAATTTATAAAAATGGTATCATGCATGATTCATGTTATGGTATCATGCATGCAATTCTCTGGCACTTACTTTTTCACTTAATACTGTTATTACTAAGACATCCATAGTGTTGGAGTTCTTGACTGCCATATAAAATTCCATTCTATGAACAGGCACAGATATGCATTCTTGTATGTCTTCTGTTGTGTATGTGCTGGAGGTTTTTAAGGTATATACCTAGAAGTAAAATTGTGGAACATAAAATATGTAATTGACCAATTATAGGAGGTCATATCAAACTGTTTTTCCCAAGTGTTGCACTAATATCTACTCACATGTGCAGTATACAAGTGAGTTTGTAGACTCACATCTTCTTCAGCATTTGGTAGTGTCAGAGTTCTTAATGTCTGCCCACTGGATAGGTATAAAAAGGAGTCTCATTATGGCCTCTGTAGTCTGCTGAACACTAATCATGCTGAACTCCTCTTCATATGTTTATGTGCCATTATCTGTGTGTGTGTGCACACTCTTCTTGTTGATTTGTTAGAATTCTTTATTTTTGATACTAATAATTTGTTATACAAATTGTAAATATGTTCTTCAAGTTTGTAACTTGTCTTTTGACTTCAAGGGCTCTTTTGAGGAATAGACATTATATTTCTCAAACTTTACTTTTCTGGTTAATACATTTATGTCCAATTTAAGAAAATGTTTCCCTGCATGAAGATCTAAAGGATATTAACCTTGTTTTCCACTAAACATTTAAAAATTTTGTTTTATACCAAAGTCTTTAATCAATATGAATTTGATTTACATATATATAGTATGAAATAGAGATCCAATTTCCTATGTTATAATTTTATTTTTAATCTTCAGAAATACACCATTTCTATAAATACATAGTATATGATACTTTATAACGTGTCCCTATTTCTTCAAAGCTACAGACAGAATTTGGAATAACTAAATAGCTGTGTATTTTAAATTGTGCCTATTATCTTCTCAGCATTTCTGCACTGTCATGGTTAAACCATTGATTTGAAATTTCCAGAAACGTAATTAATTATTTTTGCTTGTTAATGGGAAAAAGAATTTTACTGTTACCATCTAAGGTGACTTAATGTCTCCAATGCTAATAGCACATTATAGCACATGTAGGCATATAGGAATCTCCTTGGGCCTTCTACTAACAACAGTAACAATAATAGAAGTATAGTCATGTACATGTACATGTACAACAGTAACAATAATAGAAGTATAGTCATGACGGACCACATACTGACAGTCAGTGATGGACCGCATAAACAGTGGTGTGCCATAAGATTACAATGCTGTATTTTGATGGTAACTTTTCTATGTTTAGATATATTTAGACATGCGTAAACAATGATGTGCCATAAGATTACAATACTGTGTTTTAATAGTAACTTTTCTATGTTTAGTTATGTTTAGACACAAATATACTTATCATTGTGTTGCAGTTGCCTACAGTATTCAGTACAATAACATGCTGTACAGATTTGTAGCCTAGGAGCAATAGGCTATCCTGTATAGCCTAGGTGTGTAGTAGGCTATATCATCTAGGTTTGTGTAAGTAAATTCCATGACATTAGCATAATGACGAAATCACCTAACAACACGTTTCTTAAAACATATCCCCATCATTACGCAATGCATGATTGTAATACTTTGACTTTCAGTTGACATCAGGACCATAGCATAGGGACATGGATGAAGCTGGAAACCATCATTCTCAGCAAACTATCACAAGGACAGAAAACCAAACACCGCATGTTCTCACTCATAGGTGGGAAGTGAACAGTGAGAACACTTGGACACAGGAGGGGAACATCACACACCGGGGCCTGTGGTGGGGTAGGGGGAGGGGGGAGGGATAGCATTAGGAGATATACCTAATGTAAATGATGAGTTACTGGGTACAGCACACCAACATGGCACATGTACACATATGTAACTAACCTGCACATTGTGCACATGTACCCTAGAACTTAAAGTATAATAAAAAAAAAAAGAAAAAAAAAGGCCATAGCATTTTTGCATTACAAATATATGAACTTTGATAATTGTACTTAGACTCCTGGTATGGTTTGGCTCTGTGTCCCTACCCAAATCTCCCCTTGAATTGTAATAATCCCCATGTGTCAAGGGTGGGATGAGGTGGAGATAATTAACTCATGGGGGCAGTTTCCCCCATGTTGTCCTTGTGATAGTAATTCATTACAAGATTTGATGGTTTTATAATGGTTTTGCTCAGTTCTCATTCTTCTCTTTCCTGCCAGCATGTAAAGAAGGACATGTTTGCTTACTCTTCCTCCATGATTGTAAGTTTCTTGAGGCCCCCCAGCCCTGTGGAACTGTGAGTCAATTAAACCTCTTTCCTTTATAAATTACCCAGTTTTGGGTATTTCTTCATAGCAGCATGAGAACAGACTAATACAACCCCAAAACAGTTTGGTGGTTGCTGGTAAATTCATCAGAATTGTGCTGGAACCCAGGAGATGGCAAATTGATCTTGATTCACGAAACAGTCATCTGTTATGTCTTCTATTAAAACAACAAAGCTATTTTATAGCCCCACACTTGTAAATAATAGCAAATTATGGTTTAAGTAAGCTGCTTTCTGATAATAGTTCTACCATTTTCTGAATATTGCAGATTGAAAGCTCCCATTTTCATGAAATAATATGAAATTAGATATAGGTGCCTTTGTGCATTGGTCACAGTCTAAACAAGTTTCAAAAATAATATCTTTTTACATTGACATTTACATCATATTGTTTTATTTTCTGAGGTTCTTGAAACGTGTATAATTTGCTTAGAGTTAGTTTTCCATGTGTGAGAAAAATCCCTCCATGTGAAAGGTCTTTCTTGTTTAATATAATTTAAGGCAGCCGTAGAACCATAGTAGCAATTTAAAATAATTCATTTCTGCTCTCCTTGAATCTGTAGCTCTCCTGTCATCTGTCTCACCTTCCACTTTGCCCAAAGGTCACCCCTGCCTCTGTCAGGGTCTCTCTGACTCCCAGCTACTTTTCTTCATTGCATTTTCACAGAGATGGGTCCAGGGGACCCCCCCGGCTCTACTCTTTTTTATGCTTTAGCACAAATCCTGATCAGGGGTAGAAGAGATTTAGGAATGTTACCTTGGCATCATAACTCCCTCTTTGCTCATCTATCTGATAACTTGTTCTTGAGTTTCCTTAAGAAGGTTTCTTCTTTGCCAGTTCCGATTCCCTGCAGGAACCCCCATTCCCATAGGTTTCTCTCTCTCTCTTTTAGCTTAGCTTCTAGTGCTGCTTTTTTATTGTAGCCAACACACACACACACACACACACACACACACACACACACACACTGCAGCAACACATAATCCTCAAGCCTCAGTGGCTTCCAAGCCAAGGTTAATTTTTGCTTGTGTCATAGTCTGATGGGGGCACTTAGCCTTCAGGTGGTGACTCAGGGATCCAGGTCCCTTCATGTTATGAACATATCATCCTCAAGAGGTGGCCTTCACAGTACTGCTGAAGGCAAAGGGACGGCTGGAGGGTCCTATGCAATGTTCTTAGGGCAGTGCCTAGTAGCATCTGCTATCCCTTCCACCACATGCCATTTGCCAGAATTTAGTTGTTATTCCCTAAAGTCACTGACTAGGAAGAGGAAACAACATGGGGAACACGTCTTGTCCATGCCATGCCAGGTGCAAGCACCAGTAGCTGTTGGGGCTGGGATTTGAACCCAGGTCCTTCTGCAGGATTATTGATCATCTTACTATAATGTTTTTCTGTGTTTGCAACTATGTGGTGTGCTGAGTAATTTCCTGTCACAAATGCATGGTTTAAGACAATGTAATCCCTTCAGCATTTCCATGTCAAAAGATCTCTTTATAATAAAATAAATATTAGGCAATTTTGTGTAAAAAAAGGGGGCTGATGTTTAAAAGGGAGTTCACTAATGAGTTTAGTTCTGAACATCTTTTATTGTTGTTCATCACTTTATTCTAAAGAATATTACAGGGCCGGGCATGGTGGCTCATGCCTGTAATCCTAGCACTTTGGGAGGCCGAGGCAGGCAGATCACCTGAGGTCAGGAGTTTGAGACTAGCCTGGCCAATATGGCGAAACCCTCTCTCTACTAAAAATACAAAAATTAGCCAGGCATGGTGGTGGGTGCCTGTAATCTTAGTTACTTGGGAGGCTGAGGCAGGAGAATCGCTTGAACCCGGGAGGCAGAGGTTGCAGTGAGCCAAGATCACACCACTGCACTCCAGCCTGGGCAACAGAGTGAGACTCTGTCTCAAAAATAAGTAAGTAAATAAATAAGTAAATAAAGGATATTACAAAGGGTATAGATGAAGAGATACACAGGGCATCGATATATATATGTGACTGGGTGTGTGTACACTCATGTGTGCATGCACATACACACGTCACCACAGGCCATCTCCTGGTTTTCAAACACAGATCAGTTACATCAAAAGAATACACAACTCAGCTGGGCACGGTAGTTCACGCCTGTAATCCCAGCACTTTGGGAGGCCAAGGTGGGCAGATCACTTGAGCCCAGGAGTTTCAGACCAGCCTGGGCAACATGGCAAAACTCCATCTCTACAAAAAAACCTCAAAAATTAGCTGGGCATGTTGGTGTGCATCTGTAGTACCAGCTACTCAGGAGGCTGAAGTGGGAGGATCACTTGAACCCAGGAGGCAGAGGTTGCAGTGAGCTGAGGTAGTGCTACTATATTCAACCCAGGTGACAGAGTGAGATGCTGTCTCAAAACAAACAAGCAAACAAGCAACAAAAAAGTATGTATAACTCAAAAGATACCCCCACATTACTAGAATCCTATTCAGTCATTAGTTATCAGTCCAGTCCGTCATACTGCATGAATGTCTCCCAGGCTGTGGCCATTGGGTTTGCAGGCTTCCTTTTTATCTCATTGGGTTCCAAAAGCAGGAGTGGTCTTTGGCAAACATGTATTGTACCCTTTAAGGCATCTGTTATAATTGAGCTGAGACAATGTCGTCTCTTGCTCTGAGACTCTTTCGAGATGATAGTGCATCCTATTTATTTATTCCTTTACCCTCAGCTACTATTTCTCCTTTTTCCATTTGTCATTTATTTTTACTCAACTTTTCCACCTCTGGAAGGGACATTAGGTTTGGCCACTCTGCTGGTCCAGACTGCTGGTAACAATGCTAGTCCAGCAAGGGCCTCTCCTCAGTCTATACCCATTCGTGTAGGGTAAGGTTACATAGGCTCTGAACTAGTGAACCATTTTTACCACCCAGGCAATAGAGCCGTATTCACTCTTAGCCCCAGTTTTGCCAGTGGGGGTCAAAGCATAACCTACCCCCATTAGGTCCTTAGGAATTCTGACATAAGGTTGAAAAACACAGTTACAGTTTTCGGTTTAGAAATCATCCCTGCTTCCAGTACTTGCAGTTGTGGCCCTAGTACAAGGACCATTGTATCAGGTAGTGGAGAAAAAAGAATTATTTGAGGGGTAACTTGGGAAAGAAAGAAAAAATTATAGTTGTTATTACCAGTGCACTCTCTACCTTGGCAAGAATTGCTTAATCATACCAGCATTCTCGCTATCCCCTCTCCCCAAGATCAGCCAGAGGAAAAAAATATCTAAGGGGGACACCCCTTTAATCCCATTCATATGCAGTGTGAGCACACAGCTGCGAAACCAGGTAAACCAGCCCTGCCTGCCGTCTCCTTATTTCAGGCAACCATTGTTTCAGTTACCTGTCCTATTTCTCTATCAAACTATCACTCTGAGGAGGATATCTCTACCCATTGTTGGACATTATGGGCTGTATAGTGTGTTCATTGGTCTGAAGAAATGATAACCATCCAAATCCATGTAATATCTTCTGTTTCTTGTTTTTTGTTTTTGTTATGGCACTCCGAGCATTTTCATCTTCCGCAGGGTAAACAAAGCCCAGTCCAGAGTCAGTGTCTATTCCCGTCAAGACCTATTTGTAGCTCCCCGGGCTGCCAGCATCAGTCCCACTCATCAGCTGTGTTCAGGGCCTTCTTTCCCCACAGAGAATCTGCCCCATAGCCATCGGCAGTCTCTGTCTCTCTTATTGACAAGCAGTACAGTTTTGGCATTATGTGCCCAAGGAGGGTGCAAGAGGAACGTATCTAGGTTCAGCCCATCTCTGCACTGCTGCGGTGCCCCCATATCCCATATCCACCCATTTCATGGACTCAGGTGGCCTCCTCAAGGGAGCACCCGTAGATATCTGTTTGTTGATTCCAGTCACCTTCTGAGCCTGGATGAGAGTTCTTCTGATGGGCACTGATGGGTTCTACTTTAATGCACCCCTCAAATCTTCATAGGGCCATGCTCCATATGGGTTTCCTTTCGATAGGACAGGTTTCCACTGCCCTCTTGCCTGAGTATATGGCCAGGCCATTGGTCACTGCCCAGTGAGTCAGTGAAAACCCAAACACAGGGGCTTCCACCACTGTTAGTTCTTCCGTTACTCTTAGAAAAACAGCATGCAATTCAGCCCACTGAGCAGATCAGATTTTACCTTCTTTGACCAAAGCAGCAGCTTTCCAAACAGTATATTGTCCATTCACTTTGCAACTGCTGTCTGTAAGCCAGGCCGCTCCTTGTTGGTCAACTATGAGCTGCTGGATATCCTTGAACCAATTATTTTTCCATAGGAAAATTGCATTTTCTTTGTGGGTTAACTATTTATAATTAATTAATATCAATTAATTAACCTCCGAAACACCAGATAAATACACAAAAACCTTCAAACAGAGGGGAGTGTGCCTTCTTTTTGAAAATGTATCCCACTATGCTCTAATTATTACAAGTTTGATCATGCAAAATTATTTTGTTTGATGAATGAATTAATTCAAACTGTGTTGTTGTCACCAGAGAACAAAAACTCTCAACAAAGTCTCTTCACAGAAGGATTGTTGTCTTGACACAAGGCTTATTTCTCTTGAGAGGAGAATGTTTCTTGGTAAGGGAAAATATTTTCAGCAAAGAATCTGCAGCTCCAAATTTGTTAAATTTTTTGACATTTTTGCTTTAATTTCTATGTCAAGTATCAGTACAAAATTTTTTTTTTAGTTATGGGTAATCTAGAATGCATGAATATGGCAGATTGGGTTTTGAGTTGGTTAAGTGATAAACATTTTTCTTTAGTTTTCTTTTTCTTTTTTTTTTTAACCTAACATACTTATCATTTCTTTGTGGTGAGAACACTTAAAATCCACTTTCTTAGCATTTTTTAAGGATATAATACATTGTGACTAACTATAGTCACGGTGTTGTACAATAGATCTCTGGAAGCATTCCTCCTGAGATTTTGTATCCTTTGACCAACCTAGGTACTCTTTTAAATCTCTCCAATCTTGTCCTCCCCTCCTCCTACCCTCCTGGTAATCACCATTCTCTCTACTTCTATGAGTTTGCCTATTTGAGAGTCATCATATAGGTGGTATCACACAGCATTTCTCCTTCTGTGTCTGGCTTATTTCCCTTAGCACAATGTCCTCCAGGTTGATTCATGTTGTTGTAGATGACACAATTTTCTTCTTTTGAAAACCAAACATCGTATGTTCTCACTCATAAGTGGGAGCTAATCTATGAGAATGCAAAGGCATAAGAATGATACAATGGACTTTGGGGACTCGGTGGAAAGGGCGGGAGGGGGGTGAGAGATAAAAGACTGCAAGTTGGGTACAGTGTATACTGCTTGGGTGGTAGGTGCATCGAAATCTTACATATCGCCATAACCTACTCTTGTAACCATACACAATCTGTTCCCCCGAAACCTATGGAAATTTTGAAAAAAGGCCAAATAGTATTCTATTGTGTATATATACACCACATTTTCTTTATTCACTCACCTGTTGATGGATACTTAGACTGAATCCATATCTTGACTATTCGTAAATAATGCTACAATGAACATGATAGTGGAAATATCACCTCGAAATACTGATTTCAATTCCTTTGGATATATATCCAGTAGGGAGATTACTGCATCATGCAGTAGTTCTATTTTAGTTTTTTGAGGAACTTAAATACTGTTTTTCATAATAGTTACACTACTTTGCATTCCCAGTGTTCAAGAGTCCCTTTTCCTCCACATCCTCACCAACACATATTATCTTTTGTCTTTTTGATAATAGCTATTCTGACAGGTGTGACTTGATATCTCATCGTGGTTTTAATTGACACTTCCCTGATGATCAGTGATTTTGAGTCTTCTTTCATATACTTGTTGGCCATTTGTATGTCTTTCTTTAGAAAGCTTATTCAGGGCCGGGCACGGTGGCTCACGCCTGTAATCCTGGCACTGTGAGAGGCCGAGGAGGGCAGATCATGAAGTCAGGAGATTGAGACCATCCTGGCTAACACGGTGAAACCTGGTCTCTACTAAAAATACAAAAAATTAGTTGGGCGTGGTGGCAAGTGCCTGTAGTCCCAGCTACTCAGGAGGCTGAGGCAGGAGAATCGCTTGAACCTGGGAGGTGGAGGTTGCAGTGACCGAGATTGTGCCACTGCACTCCAGCCTGGGTGACAGAGTGAGACTCTGTCTTGAAGAGAAAAAAAAAAAAAAAGAAAGAAAGTCTATTCAGATTTTTTGCCCATTTTTAAAATTGGCTCATTTGTTTTCTTGCTATTGAGTTGTTTGAATACCTTATATATTTGAAATAGCAATTCTTTATCAGACGTGTGGTTTGCAAGTATTTTCTCTTATTCTGCAGGTTGTATTTTCACTCCATTGATCGCTTCTTTTGCCATGCAGAAGCTTTTTAGTTTGATGTAATCCCGTTTGTCTATTTTTGCTTTTGTTGCCTGGGCTTTTGGGGTTATATGCAAAAAAAATCATTGCACAGACAATTGCCACAGAGCTCTTCTATTTTTTTTTTTCTGTTTAACAGTTTCAGGTCTGATATTTAAGTCTTTAAATTGATGTTTTGCATATGATGTGAGATCAGAGTCCAATTTCATTCTTCTGCATGTGGATGTCCAGTTTTCCCACCACCATTTATTTTAGAGACTGTCTATTCCCAATTTTTAAATTTCCTTTTTTTTTTTTTTTTTGAGTTGGAGTCTTGCTGTGTTGCTCAGGCTGGAGTGCAGTGGCATGATCTTGGCTCACTGTGACCTCTGCTTCCTGGGTTCAAGCGATTCTCCTGCCTCAAACTCCTGAGTAGCTGGGACTACAGGCACCCACCACCATGCCCAGCTAATTTTTCAATTTTATTAGAGACAGGATTTCACCATATTGGCCAGGCTGGTCTCAAACTCCTGACCTCAGGTGATCTGCCCGCCTCGGCCTCCCAAAGTGCTGGGATTACAGGTGTGAGCCACTGCACCTGGCCCTGTTCCCCATTTTATGTTCTTGGCATCATTGTTGAAAATCAAGTGACTGCAAAAGCATAGATTTGTTTTTAAGCTCTCTGTTGTGTTCCATTAGTATGCATCTGTTTTCATGCCAGCACCATGCTGTTTTGATTGCTATAGTTTTGTAGTATATTTTGAAATCAGGTAGTGTGATCCCTCCTGCTTTGCTCTTTTTACTCAAGATTGATTTTAGCTATTTGGAGTCTTTTGTGGTTCCATACAAATTTTAGAATTTTTTTAAAATTTCTGTGGAAAATGTCATTGGAATTTTTGTAGGAATTTCATTGAATCTGTAGATTGCTTTAGATAAAATGGACATTTTAACAATATTAACTCTTCCCATCCATGAACACAGGAAATCTTTCCATTTATTTTTGTCTTCTTCAATTTTTTTGTCAGAATTTTATAGTTTTAAATTTACAGATATTTCCCCTACTTGGTTTAATGTATTTCTAAGTATTTTATTTTGTAGTTACTATAAAGAAAACTGTTTACTTCATTTATTTTTTAGGTAGGTCATTGTTAGTGTACAGAAATGCTACTGCATTTTGTATGTTCATTTTGTATCCTCCATATTTACTGAATTCATTTATTAATTGTAGCAGTCCTTTTGTGGGGTTTTAAATAATTTCTATATATAAGGTCATGTCATCAGCAAACAGTCTAACTTCTTCCATTCTGATTTGGAAGCGTTTTATTTCTTTTTCTTGCCTAATTGCTCTGGCTAGTATATTAAGTTATATGTTCAATAGAAGTGGTGAGAGTGGGCCACTCATTCCTGATCTTAGAGGAAAATCTTTCAACTGTTTACTACTGAGTATGATGTTAGCTTTGGGCTTGTCATATATGGCCTTTATCGTGTTGAGCTACATTCCTTCTATACCTAGTTTGTTAAGAGTTTTTATCATGAAAGGATGCTAAATTTGGTCAAATGCTTTTTCTGCATCTATTGAGATGATGATGTGGTTTTTGCCCTTCATTCTTTTAAAGTAATATATCATATTTATTGATTTGCATATGTTGATCCTTCCTTGCATCCCATGGATAAATCCCACTTGATTGTGGTGAATGATTCTGTTAATATGGTATTAAATTCAGTTTGCTAGTGTTTTTTTGAGAATTTTTTCTTCTATGTTCATCAGGGACCTGTAGTTTTCTTTTGTCATAGTGTCCTTGTCTGGCTTTGGTATCAGGGTAACGCTGGCCTTCTCTTCCATATTTTGGAAGAGTTTGAGAAAAATTGGTATTAGCTCTTTAAATGTTTAATACAATTCAGCAGTGAAGCCATCAGTTCCTGAATTTTTCTTTGATGGGAGACTTTTTTATTACTGGCTCACTCTTTTACTCATTCTTGGTCTGTTCACATTTTCTATTTCTTCATGATTCAGTCTTGATAGATTGTATGTTTCTAGAAATTTATGCATTTGTTCTTGGTTATCCAATTTGTTGGTGTATTACTGGTTATAGTATTAGAGTAATTCTTTGTGTTATAGTATAACAAATCCTTTGTATCTCTGTGGTATCAGTTGTAATATCCCCTCTTTCATTTCTGTTTTTATTTAGTTAAGTCTTCTTTTTTACTTTGTTAGTCTAGCTAAAGTTTTGTTGACTTTATTTATCTTTAAAAAAAACAACTGATTAGTTTTGTTGATATTTTTCCTATTGTTTTTCTAGTTTCTAGTTTATTTATTTTTGATCTGATCTTCATTATTTCCTTCCTTATATTAACTTTGGGCTTTGTTCTTTGTCTAGCTTCTTTAGATGTAACATTGGGTTGTTTATTTGAGATCTTTCTTTTTTGATGTAGTTATTTATTGTTACATCCTTTCCTCTTAGAACTGCTTTAACTGCATCCTATTAGTTTTGGTATGTTGTGTTTCCATTTTTGTTTGTTTCAAGATATTTTTACATTTTTCTTTTGATTTATTCTTTGACTTATTGGTTGTGCAAGAGCATGTTGCTTAATTTTCATATATTTCTAAATTTTCTAAAATGCTTCCTGTTATCAGTTTCTACTTTCATATCATTGTAATATGAAAATATTATTGATGTGATTTCAATCTTCTTAAATTTGGTAGACTTGTCTTCTGGCCTAACATATGATTTGTTCTGGAGAATGCTCCACGTGGCTTGAGAAGAATGTATATGCTGCTGCTGTTGGGTGGAATGCTCTGTATATAACTGTTAGGTCCATTTGGCCTGAAGTACAGTCCAGCTCTGGTGTTTTCTTATTGATTTTCTGTCTGTATAGTCTCTCTATTTTTGAAAGTGGGGTATTGAAGTCCCCTGCTATTGTATTGCAGTCTAACTCTTCCTTCAGATATATTAATATTTGCCTTATGTATGTAGGGGCTCTGAAGTTGGGCACATATATATTTATAATTGTTATATCCTCTTATTGAATTGACCCCTTTGTCATTATATAATGACCATCTTTGCCTCTTTTTACAGTTTTTGACTCAAATTCTATTTTATTTTATTTAAGTGGAGCTATCCCTGCTCTCTTTTGGTTTCCACTTGCATGGAGTGTCTTTTTCCATTCCTTTACTTTGGATCTATGTGTGTCCTTAAAAGTGAAGTGAATCTCTGGTAGGCATCATATAATTAGGACTTAAAAAAATTCATGCATCCACTCTATGTCTTCTGCCTGGAAAATTAATCCATGTACATTCAAAATAATTATTGATAGGTGAGGACTTACTACTCTCTTTTTGTTTATAGTTTCTCTTTTAGTTTTCATTTTGATTCTTAATATAATTGCTTGGAAGCAGGAGGTGATCTTTTAACTTATAAATATTAATGAAGTCATATACATGTTTTCACAATATTAAATGGACTATAGATTTTGATCAGTAAAGTTTCTGTTTTGAGCAGAAAATTTTAATGAAGTGTAATTGATATTTTTCTTGAAACTTTCTCACAATACTTTCAAAAAGAAAGGGATTGTCATCCGCATCAATTACTGCAAGAAAATCTAAGAGGAGTTTATTAAACTTAGTAACAAGGTTTTTCAAGCCTGTGGTGGTTTTCCATTACATTGACCTGACATAGGCTATATCAGAAGCTTTGAGGTCTCTTTAAAAGACTGTAAGAACAGGAGCAAGAAGGGTAGTTAGGAGGTGCCAAACACTCTGTAGGGCAATACTGTGTCTAGAGCTGTCATACCCTCATGGTTTACATGTGGCCAATAAGTTATTAGACTGACCACCCACCTCAACCTCCCACCAGGTGATACTGGTTGGCAGTGATGAGCTGAACAGGAGGTAGACATGATATGAGAATGAGTGAGCAGCAAATACAGACTGCTCTAGAAATACGTTTAGTGGAAAAATTAATATGAGGAACAGAATCAAAGAAAGGTCTCTGTGATGGTTTATTTTATGTGTCAACTTGACTGGGCCAGCGGGTGCCGAGACATTTGGTCAAACATTATTCTGGGTGTGTCTATGAGGATGTCTCTAGATAAGTTTAACATTTGAATTGGTAGACTATGTAAAGAATATTACCCTTCCTAACGTGGGTGGGCCTAGGTTGAGGACCTGAGTAGAACAAAAAGGCTGAGTAAGAGGGAATTCCTCCTGCCTGACTGCCTTGAGCTGGGACATTGGTCTTTTCTTGCCTTCCAACTTCAGTTGAAATATTGGCCCTTCTTGGGTCTCGAGCCTGCTAGCTTTCAGACGGGAACTTACACCATCTCTCCTGGTTCTTAGGTCTTTAGACTCAGACTGGAATTGCATCATTGGCTTTCCTTAGTCTCCAGCTTGCTGACCATAGATATGGGGACTTCTCAGCCTCCATAATCATATGAACCAATGCCTTATAACACATCTCTTTATGTATATCTCCTATTGGTTCTGTTATAAAGTGGCAAAAACCTTGGCTGAGCTACATTCTAGTATTTTGTGAAAGGTAGAATTTGTTAGTGATGAAATTATATATTTAGCTGAATAGATTTCCAAGCAAAGTGTTGAAAGGCTGGATCCTGTTGACTACTCAAGTAAAATGCAAAAGGAGAGAGATGCATTGAAAAGGAAATTGTTAAGCTAAAACGGATCAGAACTTGAAGATTTGGAAAATTCTCAATCTATCTATATTGCAAAAAAATGAGAAAGTTGTTCTGAAGAGAATACTTAAGGTTGTGGCTGAGGAACCATTTGATAAAGAGATCATGGATATGATTCATGGGTTTAATCAGCAATCTCAGCAGAAGCCAGGAATTGAGATGGGATTTTACAATCAAAGACACTCTCAGTTTGAACTAAAGGGGACAGAGAAAATAGAGGTGGAATGAAGGAAGGCTGTCGGACTTCTTGGAATCTATAGGAGTGGAATATAGAGCTATTCAGCTGTGAATATGAGCTGTTCTTCAAGGAAAGGGAAAGAGGGCCCCAAAGGAGACTCAGAGATCAGCGGGGCTGTAACTCCCACTACAGAGATGGTATAATCCCACCTCTACTCCAGGTCTGGGGACAAGGCTTCCTCCTTTGTTTCTAAGGGTATGACAGCCTCCCAGATTTCAATGGGCCTGAATAACTGCCCAGTGTCTCTGGGGCAGGGCTGCCCTGCAAAGCTGTGGGGTGACACTGCCACACCAGGGGCCTGGAGGGCACAGCATCATACCAAAGAGGATTGCTCTTGAGCTGTTACGTTCTGATGGATTTTGCCTTGCTAGAGTTTTAGACTTGCTTGGGACTTGCCACCTCTTCTTTCCTTCCTAGTTCTTCCTTTTGGAATGGGAATATCTATCCTACACCTGTCCCACCATTGTATTTGGAAGCATATAACTTGTCTGATCTCACAGGTCCATGTGTGGAGAGGAATTTTGCCTCAGGATAAATCACACTTTGGGTTTCATTCATATCTGATTTAGATGGTATGTGGATGAGACTTAGGACTTTAGATATTAGGTATTATGCTAGAATGAGTTGAGACATTTGGGGCTGTTGGGAAGGAATGAATGTATTTTGTGTGTATGAGAAGAACCTGAATTTTGGAGAATCAGAGGTGGAATGCTGTGAACTGAATTGTGCCCCTTTAAAATTGGGCTATATTCTTTATTTCCTATCAAGCCCTAATATCATACTATTCAATTCAGAACAAGGTTCCTAGAGAGGTTCATGTAGCTTATTGCCCGAAGTTATATGAACCCGAAGCGCCAGAGTCAGGTACAAACCTGATACTGTCTGCCCTGGAATCTAGACCCTTATCTGTTCCACTTGGCCACAGCTTCTGAGCCAGCAGTTTAAATCCTGCTGCCACTCTTACCCTTTTCTAGCTGGGCTCCTTGGGAAGATTATGCAACTCTCTGGGCCTGCTTCTTCATCTCTGCAAAGAGATTAGAACAAGTCTCATCATGGCTGGTTATGGGTATTGAAGGAATGCAAGTACCTGATCAGTTGTCAATCCATACACCCAGTACCTAGCCTGGAGCCTGACACAAAGCAGGTGCTCAATAAGGACTTCCTGAATGAATGAATGGGTGAATAGAATGAGATACAATTCTATATGAGCCATACAGGTGTATGGTAGGGGCTCAGTTCTCTTATTTCTTCTTCCTCTTCCCTCTGTCCCTCAGCTTCTCCCTACAGCACATGTGTAATTTGTAGCTGGCTCGAGGGCAGCAACAATTCTATTCCTCTTGAGTTTTCCATCATGTCAGTGCCAAGCCCTGTGCCTTGTACATAGTAAACACACAATGGCTGATTAAGTTGAAATTTAACTTCTTTAATCAGGATTTATTAACATTTTATAAAAGCCTTCTAATTTCAAGAATATAATTCTTCCTCAAAGGAGCTATTTCTTTTTCTGAAAAGAATAGCGGTGATACAAGTTCAGAACCACCACTGCCAAAATATTATTAGCATTATGCAAAGCATTTTTCAACTTCAAAGCACTACATTGTTCCTACTAATTGGTGATTTCAGCCTATTTTTAAAAACTCGTTATTTCCGAGGCAACGGGAATGTTGTTGCGCGTGTTCCCTTCCCACATTTACTCTTTTGCACACTGACTAAGTGTCAGTGCCTTTGCGTTGTTGGTTTGAAATGGGTCACCTCCTGCTGGAGACAAATCCCGATTAGAATTTTCTGTGTGTCCCCAAACCCAGCCTTTTTCACCTCAAGAAGTGAGTGAATTAGCAGATCATGAAAGCAGGTTTTAAAAAGTAGGTTAGGCTGGGTGTGGTGGCTCAGGTCTCTAATCCCAGCGCTTTGGGAAGTTGAGGCTGGACGATAACTTGAGGCCATGAGTTTGAGACCAGTCTGGGCAACATAGCGAAATCCTGTCTCTATGAAAAATAAAAAAAGCTTAGCTGCGCATGGTGGTATGTGCCTGCAGTCATAGGTATTTCAGAGGCTGCCGCAGGAGGTTAGCTTGAACCCAGGTGTTTGAGGCTGCAGTGAACTATGATTGTGCTACTGCACTCCAACCTGGGTGACAGACTGAGACCCCCATCTCAAAAATAAATAAATAAGTAAAAAATGAGTTGTGAGTTTTAGACTGGCAGAAACCTCAGAACTCACCTCTGTGTGAAGCATGGAAGCAATATTGACTCCATAAGGCTGTGGGACTTGATCAAGGTCACAAAGCTCATGGGGGAAACCGGAATGCAGGCCTCTTCACTCGGGGCCCATCTTTGAGTCAAAGAGTGTGTTTCACTGCTACATATTAATGGTCTGTGAATTTTCTGTTAGTTATGAATAGAGTGGAAGGTATGGGCATTTCTAATGGTCTATGAATGTATTGCCCCTGTGTCATTCATCCCTTCTCAGGACCAGACATTGCACCCCTTGGGGCTCAGAATAACAAAACAAAGCTAGTGAGACATGGTACGTCAGGGCTTCAAGCTAACCACTTCTACCTACTGGTTGTGTGACCTTGTGTGATCCTCCTAACCTTTCTTAACTCCTTCTGGTTTCCTCATCTTTAACATAAGGAGTTGTAGTAAGGCTTATTCATTCAATAATTATTTACTGAATGTGTACTATGTGCCAGGGATTTTTCTGGGTGCTGAGAATACAATTGAGAATGAAGCAAAGTCCCTGTGCTCGTGGAAGTCATATTTCAGTGAGGAAGATGACTAGACAATATGCATATGCATTTGTGTATACAGTGTATGCGTGTGTATGTTTGCATATATGTAGTGTGTTTGTGTGTCTGTGTGTCTGTGTGTGTGTGTGTGTGTGTGTGTGTAATCATGGCAAAAATGGGAAAAATGGGGAAGTTGTTCTGAAGAGAATACTTAAGGTTATGGCTGAGCAACCATTTGGTAAGAGATCATGGATGTGATTCATGGATTTAATCAGCCATCTCAGCAGAAGCCAGGAATTGAGATGGGATTTTACCATCAAAGACAGTATCAGTTTGAACTACAGGGGAAGGAGAAAGTAGATGTGGAGTGAAGGAAGGCTGTCAGACATCAAGGAGTGATAGGTGCTGTGAAGAAAAAATAAAACAGGGTAAAGGGATGAAGAAAAATGGGAATAGGATTGCAGATAGGTTGACTAGGTAAAGCCTCCTAGAAGGGGAAATGTTTGTGAAGAGACTGAATAAAATGAGCTTGTAAACAGTGTGACTATCAGGGGAATAGGATTGCAGGCAGAGGAAATAGTTATATGCTATGCACAAGTGCTATGATCTGTGTTTGCGTTTCCCTAAAATTCCTGTGTTGAAACCTAATCACCAAGGTGTTGGTATTAGAAGGTGGAGCCTTTGGGAGGTGATTGGGTCATGAGAGCTTCACCTGATGAATGGGATTAGTACCCTCATGAAAGAGGGCCCAGAGAGCTGCCTTCTTTTTCTGCCATGTGAGGGCATCTCGAAGGTGCCGTCTATGAGGAATGGGCCCTCACCAAACACTGAATCTGCATGCACCTCGTAAATTTCCTAGTGTCAGGTATTTTGCTCTAGCAGCCTGAATGGACCAAGATAATGTGCAAAGGTCATGATGCAGGAATATGCCCAGCGTGTTTGAAGAGCCGGAGCACAGTGCCCGAGAGAACCTATGATGAGACCTGAGCAAGCTGAGAAGGAACCTGGACCTGGCCAGGAAGGAAGGACAGGGAGCTCATTCTGAGAGTGACAGGAAGCCACTGAGGGCATGAACTGGGCTGAGCCATTGGACTTTCCACTTAAAAGGATCACTGTGGAGTCTGGGGCAGAATAAACATAGGGAGGACAAATTGGAAAACCAGTTAGGAGGCTATTTTTAAAATATGTGCATTTATCAGGCTAGAGATAAGGACAGCTTGACCACTGTGGTGCTGGAAGTAGTGAGACGTTTTGGATTTGGGATGTCTTTGAAGGTACAGCTGATAACACTTCCTGGTGTGCTGAGGTGTGAGTGGAAGTGGAGAGTTGTGAATGACTCCAAAGTTTGTTTGTTTTTTTAAATAACAGCTTTATTGAGATACAATCCACATACCAGCAAGTTTACAATTCAGTGCTTTTTAGTATATTCATAGAGTTGTGCAGTCATCACCATAATCAGCTTTAGGGCATTTTATCACCCCTGAAAGAGGCCCTCTACCCTTTAGCTATCACTCTGTGGCCCTACCATCCTCCCCACCCCCCAGCTCTAGGCAACCACTCATCTACATTCTGTCTCCATAGATTTATTTATTCTGGACATTTTAGAGATAAGTCCAAGTATATGATGTGTAGTTTTGTGGCTGGTGTCTTTAATTTAGCAGGTTTTCAAGGTTCATTCAGGTTATACCAGGTATAACTGCATTCCTTTTTATGCCTGAATAATATTCCATTGTATGGATGTACCACATTTTGTTTATCCCTTTATGCGCTGACAGACACTTGGAGTATTTCCATCTTTTGGCTATTGTGAATAATGCTGCCAAGACACTAAGACACTTAGCCTGATGTACTCCCTCTTCAATTTTCCTCCAGGATCATGTGCTTCTAACCTTGTCTCCCTCTTTCTGCTATATTCCCTGTCCCTCCCTGCTTCTTTCCTGGCTTCTTGTTCACAAGGATTCTCTGGCCTTCTCTATCTTAAAACCAGTCCTGCAAACAAGCAGTAATTTGGAAATTCCTTGCTGCTCCTTCCATATGTCCACTTCCTCCGCTTTCTCCTCCTCCTTTGTCTCTTCCTCCTCTCCTCCTCTTCCCTCTTGTCCTCCACTTTGATCTCCCCTTCTTTCTCTTCCACTCTCTCTTCCTCGTTACTGCAACATATTGGTCCATCTTCAACTCATAATTTTCTACCCACTCCCTCATGCTGCTTTTCTCTCTGTATCATAAGAGTGCTTCTCCAAGGTCATCAGTGGTGCCCTTCTCACTGATTTCGAGGGCTCCTTCCTCATCCTTATCCTGCTGAAGTTGATCATTTTTCAGAAGCCTTCTCACCTGGCTTCCAGAGCACTGCACTGTGCCTGCTCTCCTGAGACCTCTCCCACCCTCTTCTTCCTCCCCTCCCTCTTCAGCTGCTCTCCTCTGCCTTGGGTAGCAATGGCTCCTTCTGAGCCATCACCTCAAGGTGGATGGCTTCCAGACCCCTTCTAGCCCAGCCTTTCACCTCAGCACTTTGCCTGCACCAGGCAGCAATGTGTCTGCCGACTCCTCCTCCCCTCCTCCCCTTCCTCTTCCTCCCCCTCCTCCTCACCACCTTCCTTCCCTCTGTCCGCGCCCCCCACACCCACCCAGTCATGTTGCCGGCCTCTCTCTGCCTCCTTTTGATCCCACACTTGATTGCAGTCTGGCTTTCTCATGCATCCCTAGTTTCTATCAGTGGTGCCATCATCTCCCTCCTCACTTGGGCTGGAAGCTCGGCCATTATGCTCGCCGCCCTCATCTCAGTTATCTTTGGAGTGCCACCAAGTTTCCTTTATTTATGATGACTCTCCATCTGCCCTGGCTCTTCCTCTTCCATTACCAATGCCCTGATTCAAGCTGTTGGCATCTGCCGCCTGGGTGATTGCACCCTCCCCGCAGGCCATGCTGCCTTACTCACAGCTGCCGATGTGATACTTACGAAGCCAGGGCCTGGCTGACCGCAAAGCCCAGCTGGGCCGGGAGGCCAGATTGCCCAAGTGCAGCGCCTGCTTCCACTACTCATTTATTGTGTGAGCTTGGGGAAGTTACTTAATCTTCCTGGGTCTCAGCTGTCTATCTGTAAATTGGGCATGGGTGACGGTATTCAATGTGCCACAATCCAATGACTGTGAAGATTAAATAAGATGATATAGGTAGTGTGCTTGGAAAGTGACCTGGTGCATAGTAAGCCCTCAACAAATGTCAGCTGTTGATATTGTTGTGATTGTCAAGCCCTGCACAGAGTCCAATCACCACTTTCTTGGCCAGAGATTTGGCTTCAGCTCTTTCTGCATCTCCTGCTCAGGGGAGCCAGGTTGGAGCAAAGATCACAGGAAAGCCAGGCCTGAATGGGCCACTTCCTGCCCACTGTGTCTGGCCTCAGGGCTGGCCTTGGTTGGCCCTCACAGTCTTTTCAAATGAACTTCATCAAAAGGAAAGAAGGAACACATATGAGGAAAGAGAGGGACGTAGGGTTAGAGTCTGCAGTCCTGGGTTGAATTCCACTCACCAACTTTACTTAGCTCCTCTGAGCCCAAGTTCTCTTATCTATAAAATGGAATGATGATCTTGACCTTGTAAAAGAAAACACACACGCAAGAACACACAAATGCACACACAACACACATGTGCACTCATATACATGCATATGCAACACATGCACACACATGTATACACACATGCACATAACACATACACAAACACAAAACATGTACACACATATACAAATGTAATATACACAGAGTGCACACATGCACGCAGACATGCATACACAAACATCTATCCCCACATCCACATCCACACACACTGGCACAGAATCGGTAAGCCATCAAGGGCACTTCTTTGTAGCCTCTAAACACTAGTAAGAGGATGAAAGATGAGAAAGATTGGAGCTTTCATTCTTCTGATTTCTTCTGCAAGGGCATTGCCCACTCCCCATCCCACACCCAGTTTCGACATCCCTCTTGGAGTTCTCTCATTTCGTCCAGACCAGAACACTTGCTCCCAGGGAGAAGGGAGGAGAGACCTTAAGTGCTCCCCTGAAATGGCGGTGAGTGGTTACAGGAAGAGATCAATATACAACACATCGTTACCATGCCTCTACTCTGTGCAGAAACCTTTGAAGATGCCATGTCAGTGACCCCAACTCTTTGGTTTGTGGATTGGGGGCCCTAGCCTAGCCTTGTTTCCCCGGCACATCAGTGAGGCTAGCCTGGGCACTGCCATGCACATGTGCCTGCCTTGGGACCATTCTCCTGCTCATTTACTCAGTATGCTGTTTCATGGGAATGTGTCTTACCTCCTCATCTGGAGCCTAAGCTCCCTGAAGGTAAGAACTGTTCCTGAACTTCTTTTAGATTCCCCAAATGTGAATTTTCACTCACAAAAAATTCTTTCTGAAGAGTGAATGAATACCTTCTTTAGAGTTTGATTTACTACAAAAACTTAAAACTCAACTAATAAATATAGTTATATAAATTTTTATGTAGTTTAAGTCAATCCCCTAACTTGTCTGTCTCATGGTGTAACACCTTAATTAATCTAATGTTTTCTTTCTTTTGATTTCAACTTCTCAGGAGTAGTCATCAGGACATACTTAATGAAATATCTTCCCCTTTGAGGTATTGAATTCTAAGTATTGAATTATCTTCCTCTTCGGAATCATCAGATTAAAAGATATAGATGGACTGTATCAATATTGCACTTTATTATTTGAGAGCTAGAGAAATTGAATAAAAGGAATTATATTAGAGAGAGTGATGCATGGTGCTTATGCAGTTATTAGTTTACTATATAATGAGTATTTATAGTGTCCCTGGCTCTGTGCTAGAGGCTGGCATAAAAGTAATCAATACCTGCCCTTAAAGAATAGGGAAGTAGATGTGTGAAGAATGCAATGACAGTTGCAATAATTGAGCCCAAGACCTCCCACTCAGAAAAAGAAGAAAACCATGTCAACAGTGCAATCACTAAAGGCTTTTTGATGTCATATAATATTTGACTTTCACCCATTGGCCTCTGATTTTTGTCCTCTGTAATTTGCGTTATATGTGTAATTCGGAAATGAATAATATTAATATTTGATGTTAAAAGATTGCTTGCTTCTAATTTTCCAGATGGTGGTTTTCAAACTCTAGCATGTACCTTGTATTAGTATCACCTGTAGGACTTCTTAAACCTCAGTTGCCAGGCCCCACCCCCAGAGTTTCTCCTTCAGTAAGTCTGTGACAATGATGGTCAATTTGCATTTGTAACGAGTTCCCAGGCAGGGCTGATGCTGCTGATCTGGGAAACACATTTTGAGAACCACTGCTCTAAATTGCCTGTATAAAAACTGAGAGATCCAAAAATATTGGCATATTGCTTTGCAGTTTTAAAATCCATAAATTTCACTCAAAAAATATTGAGCCACCTAGGACATGCCAAGCATGGTGCAAGCTCTTGTGGATTAAAGGGTACACTCCATAGAAATGGTACCTGCTGCTTGAAGTCATTATAATCATAATCTTTAATTCCTCCATGAGGGAAATGAAGGTAAAAGTCAACCTCTTAATGAGCTCTCTCAGCTGATTGTTGTATCACCATCCCAGACCTTCCACTCCCCAAGCCACTGTCCTTCCCACTGTGCCTCTTGTCTATTTACTTGTTAGATGTGGTTACTTTTTTCCCCAATGTTGAGATTAATTTTTCTAATTCTGCTGAATGTCAGCTTTCTGTCAAGCTTTTTTTTTTGCATATTCCAATTTAATTATATTTTACTTATTGTCTTTCATAGATGGGCTTCATGTATCTTCCTTTCTTTGCCTTTGGTTTTTAAATCCTGTTTGTGTTTGTCCAGATGTGTTTGTGTTTCTCCTGCCAGCGAATCTTACTAGTTTTTTTCTGTGCAATAATGTCTGCCTTCCGACTTTAAAATAGGATGCCTCTGAGACTGAACGTCTTGATGGTGCACTATTTATTCCCCCGGTTTACTTCTTGCCTCAGAGTGCTAATATTAGGCACTGCATCTTAGCAGACACGGCTGAGGCCCTGATACCAGCTGCTCAGATCCCCCCAGGGTGAGAGCTGAGACTGGTGGGTTCTCTTGGTAGCATCAGCATTCAGCCCAAATTCAGCAGCCTCACCTCACTGCACAGGCCAGACTATTAAAAGACCAGGAGCGTTAAAAATAGCTCTCGTCGCAATTGCCACCATGGGAGCCTTCAGAACAGCTCTCCAAAGAAACAATTAGACTCTGCCTTAGAGAGCCAAAGCAACACAGGAGAATTTTTTTTTTTATTATTTCAGTAGAGAAATCATGAAGTAAACATCATACACAAAAACAACTGTGCAGGGAAGGAGAATGTTTTTTTAAAAATGCCCACAACTGATTGATCGCCCTTCTTCTTCATAATCTGACTCATTTAGCTAACTTCGCTTACACCTCATGTAATTTACCATTGACCTCTGGAAGGTTTTCTTCATTTGAAGGGAAATGGTGGTGTCGATAATGATATATGGGTTGGTGGGGGGATTTTTTGTTATGTTGGAAATCAAAAGATATCACTCAGATGGTATGCTGTTCTGAGATTCACAGGCAAACTTAGCCACTCTTCTCTCTCTAGATATGAATACATTTTAAATTATATTTTATACTTAAATACAAAATAGTATAAAATCAAACACTCCAAGCCTATATTAGACCAAATGTAATCTGTGAACACCCACTGATGAAATGGATGCATTTCCTTCAAGTGTCTGGTCACTTTCTGCCTTTTGCCTTTTTAAGAATTTACTCACTGCCAGGCTTTGCTTCCTATGTCAGGGACTGTATTTCACCTAACATCATTGCTCACGGTCAGACCCTTTAAAAGCACGAAGCCTGAGTTGAGGGCTTTCCCGGCTGTGCCATATGTCCTCAAAGGGCATCCTTACCATGTACCCTGAGTCACAACTTTTCTTCTATCTTTGTTGTACTGCAGTGTTCTTCAAAGAAACAATAAAATCTCTGCAATTCCCTGAAAGGAGAGGTCAGTATTTTCAATAGTCATCTGTTTTTGAATGAATTATTTTACTTATTCATAGAATATCCCAATTATAAATTCCTCAGGTTCTTAGGGTTTTGGGTCAATGTATTTTACAACGGCTTTGAATTTGCTAGGGATTATAAATATTCCTGAGAATGCTGATTTTTAAAAAATGTTCTGAAGGTGCTGTTTCTCTGCTTTGTAAAGGAGCAGTTTCTGTTTAAGGGAAGATAAGAGGCTCTGAAACCAAAACAAAGGTTTATAGTCTGAAGGACTAAGGTTCCATTGACCTAAACCAGGGCTTCTCAACCTTGGTGTTCAGGACATTTTGCCTTGGATAATTCTTTGTTGTAGGAGACTGTCTTGTGTATTGGAGAGTGTTCAGCAGCAGCCCTGGCTCTACCTACTAGATGCCAGTCACACCTTCAGAGGTATAACAATACATAAAGTCTCCTGACATCACCAATGACACCTGGGGGAAGAATCACCCCAGTCAAGAACCACCGACCTAAGGAATTAAGTCTGGATATGGGCTCCTGAACAACAACAACAAAATGAAGAGTTCTGCTTCAGCCTTGTTGATTTGCCGTATTGCAGAGACCTGTTGGAGGTGCTGAATGCTAGCTGGAGAAACAAGATCGAAGTTCAGAAGAGGGGTAGCATGATGCTCTACTGATCTCAGTCTGCCTAGAAAGGAAGGGGCCCTTTAGCAGGACAGTTGCTCATTGCAGTGTTTCCCAAGTTAGATGTACAGACCATGATGGCAGCAAGGTGATTTTTGATGGCAGATATTTGAGATAACAATGTTTTTACTTCAGTAGCTCTGCATTTATTTTAATGTGCATTAGGAAAACAAGCAGCTAGCACATTTTACCCAGGCCGTTCTCGATATTATTGCTTAGGGAGAGGCTAAACCTAAGTTGAAAGATATGGTTGATTTTGGGACAAAAACTTTAAGCAAGTGGATTCGCTCCTTCAACAAATAATTGTGCCAGGAAATGTTTAAGTTTGGAGGGTCCAGAGGTTTCTCTCCAAACAAGGCAGAGAAAGTCCTGATTCTCAGGGAGTTTATGTTCTCGGAAGGAAACCAATAAAGAAAATCATTGTAGGTAATGAGAAGTATACAGTGATGAGCACACAGGTGCCCTGGGGATACAACAGGGGCCTCCAGGGATGCAGCCCTACTCCCATGGGTCACCTTCTGGGTGGGGAGGTAACAAGTATGTGTGTGTGTTTCAAGTAGAAATAAGAGCGAAGTTTTAGAATAAACAAGGGCAAAAAGCCTGAGGTCTGAGCAAGTGACTTCTGAGCTTAGAGCTAACTAATGAAAGAGGGTGGGCACAGAAGGCTGCAGAGTCAGAGGAAACAGCCCTGCAGTGTGACCACAGGGTCCAGGGGTGAGTTTTTTGGCATCCCAGAATGTCCTTTGGGCACAGAGAAGACTATTTGAAATTATCTTTTGTATGCGTTCCCTTGTGAGAAGTAAACTTAAACACTATAATGATTCTCAAGCTCTGTTCAACATCCCAATGGGTTCTGACTTAATCTTATCTTTCAACTTAAATTCATCAATCAAAAACCAATTACTCAGCTAAACATTTTAATTGGAATCATAAGTGTGATAGATTCTCTCACACATCACATTTTTTCTCAATCATCACACATTCTTTGCATACCAATAGGCACAGATTAGCTTAAACCAGACACGAAGTGGCAGAACCATGGGCTTGATCTACGTCCTCATATCATCATCTCTATACTTGGCTCTATCTCTTCTTGTGATTGGAAGACTCATACCGCTAATGGAAGAGCTTCATTATCCTAAGCTAACTGTGGTTCTTGACCCAAATGAATTGCAGTTGGCGCTCAGAGGACTAAGGTTGTTTCTGGGAGGGAGGTTTTTGGCTGTCTCAGGAGTCCTGGGCATCCAGGGTGATTCTTCTCATATCAGTGGGATGAGCACACATAGGCCACCTCTCCCTATTATTGCCATCCAACAGGAAACTCCAAGCTCATACTCATCAATGGGCTTGATTTCAAAACCCACAGCCCCTGAGTCCCAGAGACATTATTGTTTAATTGTTCTGATTTTATTGGTAACTCCCACTAAGGTTGTAGCTATTTTCCTTCCCTCCTTAGTTGGATTTTGCACTTTTCTTTGTAGCCCTCTTAAGACATTTTCATGTCTCCCTACCTGGTTCTAGAGATAACTTTAAAGCTTTGATACCCTTCTCTTAGGTCTTCTACTCTGTTGTGCAATTTATTTCTAAACCCTCCTGTCTTTATTTCCTGATTTTACAAATGAAATTCCACTATAACTCCACTGGTCCTCTCCTTTCCACTCCCAAAAGTTTATTGCTAACTTTCTTCAGTAATTTCTCCATCTCAGGACAATTTTAAATCTGTGCCCCACTTCTCTTTGTAGGGCAGGACTGTAACTGCTTCTGTTGAATCCTGCATCCCTCTCATGATTCTTTCTGGTCCTGAGGCCACAGCATGAAAACAATACTGATGCCTATGAGCAGAAGCTTGGCGAGATTCGGAATAGAGTGAGGCCTGGGTGGCTGCAGCACGGTGGTCGGTGGCAGGACTGGGCCAAGATGAGGGTGCAGGGGCCACACCGTGCGGTATCTTTTAGCCCCTGGGTAAAGTGTTTGGGTTTTATTCCAAACCTTTTGGGAAGCCATTGGAGGGTTTTAAGTAAGGAGTAATAGGATATGAATTATATCTTAAAAGGATCTCTTTGGCTATTCGTATGTGGAGAATGGATTGAAAGAAAGCAAGTGTGGCAGTGAAGACAGGGGCTGGGCGACCATTGCTGGAGTCCTGGTGAGAGGCAGTGAGGTTTGGGACTAGACAATGTGAAAGGTATTATGTGGTTGTGACAATAACTTGGCAGGTGGTTCACGAATGCTTGTGGTCTGCCCATGGGGGCTTAGAGGGAGTACCACTAGCTAGAGGAAAGAAAGACAATTGCTGATACTTGCCTCCATGGTTAGGTATAGACTTTCGTCATTTGGAAATCAAAATAAGGGAGTTTATCATTGTCTTGCATTTTTAGTCAAGTGTCAATGACATTCACACATTTTCTGCACTCTTGTGTGCCTTTACATGGGTTTTTCTCCATGTCTTGCCCACCTTCCACTTGGGAGCTATGGCATAGGTTTCCAGGGCTGAAATGCCTGTTGTGTATGCATGCTAGAGCAAATTCTTCCATAACACACACAGAATGGCCACCGTGTATTACCTTTTGTGTCTGTGGCATCGATACCATCAGTCTTGCTTGTATATCTTCTACGAGGTCCTCTGGGTGTCTGTCATTGCTTTAGTGGCAAAAGGAAATATTAGTCATAGTTGGTATGGTTACTTTAGTCCCCAGAGAAGAGTTTGACTTTTAGCAGGATGGAAGAAAGAAAACCCAGGCCAAGACTTTAATGGTATTTTTCATTTAAATTTCTACCAGTCACTCATTTAGTTTTGACTCCTTGATTATGAGATCAAATAAAAAACCAAAAGACACAGGAAGGGTGAGATTTGTGTAGATCTTAGGTATCCAGTTCAGAGTATTACATGTATATCAATACCAGTGATTTGCCCAACACCTTCAGTGAAGCCTCTGCTCTCTGAGGGTCTAAGGAGTCACTCGCTGGTATTTGAGAGTTTCTGAAGCCAGCCACAGGATGCTCCTGGCTCCTTGTCCTCTGCCTCTCCTCTTCCAGAACTGTCTTCACTTGGCTAGTAATGCAACTGTAATGGGAGTAATACAGTTGATGATGGTACTCTTGGGACTGCCAACTAGTAACTCCCTGGAGGCCAAGAATAATACCTGGTCCTCTTGGTGAGTCTGGTGTGAATGATTGTCAGGTCTTGAGCTCCTGCCATCATGGTCCATACGTCTAATTTGGGAAACGCTCGCACCAAGCAACTGTCCTGCCAAAGGGCCCCTCCCTTTCCAGGGAGACTGGGGTGGGTAGAGCATCAGGCTACCCTCATCGGCTTTGCAGATCCATAGCTGGTTATTGCCAGTAGCACTGGCCACTTGCAGCTGAGAATGCTCAGTGGTCCTATAATCCCGTGATCTCACCCCTGCCTCCCTGCTTCCTCCTACACCCCAGTCCATGCTCCTCCATTAGTGTTCTTCATCTCCAGTAATACTGAACCCACAGACATGTCAATATGCTCATACTTTACGGGTCTAGAGCATTACACATAATCTTTTTCTCCATAGTTCCATGTTTCCTGTGTTTTCAAAATCTTTACTATAAAGACTTTAAAGCTCAGGGAAATAAAGCAATGACAAAGTGTTGAATATGGACCACTGTTTCTCATTGGAGGGAACTATTGGCATTTTCAGTGTGACAACTCTGTTATTAATATATTAGGCCATCTCAAGTCCTGCAAGACCTCAGTATCTTTACCCACAAAATGCCAGTGAGGTCCCGAAGCTGTTATGACAATTAAAAATGTAAATTAGCCTCTCTGATTGAAATCTTACCGAACTTGCATACGGTATTGGGGCACTTAACAGCATTGAAGATTCACCCTCACTTATAATTTATTAGATCTGTAAGAATTAAGTGCATGGGAATATTTGTGCATTATCAGACAGTTGTGGTTCTTAAGAAAATTGTGGATATTATTAAATATAAATAAATATGTTTTAAAGTGTTTAATTAAATTTGTAAATGGAATGAAATATTAATTAAAGAGGCCATTAAAAGTGATCTTTAAAAAACTCCCCTTTTGCTAGAAATGCATACTGAAATATTTACAGGTGAAATGAAATTTGATTCAAAATACCCTCATGGGGAACCTAGGAAAATACGAAGAGACTAGATGAAATTAAACGGACAAAATGCTAATAATGGTTGGAGCTGGGTGATGGACACATGAGGTTTATAACCTCATCTCTCTATGTTTAAGTATGTTTTAAATCCTTGGATAAAAAGTAAAAAGGAAGTGATTGTTAAAATTTTATTGAAAGAACTTTGAAGTTCACAGAGTCCTGCATTCTTCTATTTTTTCTGTCTGGTGGGGATGTACATCTCTCACTTCTGAGACCAAATTGGCTGCTGGCTGTGGGTCATGGTTTTGTGTCATTCTGTGGTCGCAATTCTGACATCTTTCCGGGGACAGAATTCATGATGCCATCCACATCCTTTAGGCCACACTGCCTCTAAGAAGCTACCACTTGTAATCGGTTATCTTTTTCATAAATGTACTATACTTTTCTAGCCATATTGTAGAATCTTTAAAGTCAGGGATTTGAAAAAATAATTCTTGGCACCTCCAGCCTAAGCATAACCAACCACACATAGGCTGTAAGTTATGGATGAATATTTATATTTATGGTTTTTTGTTTTTTTTTTTTTTTTTTTGAGACAAAGTCTCACTCCATTGTCCAGGCTGGAGTGCAGTGGCGCAATCTCGGCTCGCTGTAACCTCTACCTCCTCGGTTCAAATGACTCTCGTGCCTCAGCCTCCCCTGTAGCTGGGATTTCAGGCGTATGCCACCACACTTGGCTAATTTTTGTATTTTTAGTAGAGACAGGGTTTTGCCATGCTGGTCAGGCTGGTCTTGAACTCCTGGCCTCAAGTAATCTGCCTGCTTCAACCTCCCAAAGTGCTGGGATTACAGGCATGAGCTACCGCACCTAGCTGAATATTGATGGTTTTTATATCAAGCTCTGTGTCTCTTTCTATGTGTTTTCTTACCCATTATTTTCTGTTATTTTCCCTTCATACTAAATACCTGTTTGTTGACGATGGTGATGCATAGTGCCTTAAGTGTAACCTTAGGCGGACTGTGTGAAAGGGCTTGGACACAGGGCTCTGACTCCCTGTATGACTGTGTGCAAATTACTTAACCTTCATAATCCTCGGTTTCCTCATTTGTTAAATGGGGTGGTTCTCCATGGAATACTACGCAGCCATAAAAAGGAATGCGATCATGTCCTTTGCAGGGACATGGATGGAGCTGGAAGCCATTATCCTCAGCAAACTAACACAGGAACAGAAAACCAAACACCACATGTTCTCACTTTGAAGTGGGAGCTGAATGATGAGAATACATGGAAACATGGAGGAGAACAACACACACTGGGGCCTGTTGGGAGTGGGGGTTTGGGGAAGGAGAGCATCAGGAAGAACAGCTAAGGAATGCTGGGCTTAATACCTAGGTGATGGGTTGATCTGTGCAGCAAACCACCATGGCACACGTTTACCTATGTAACAAACCTGCGCATCCTGCACAGGTACCCCGGAACTTAAAATAAAAGTTGAAGTTAAAAAAAAATAGGGTGATTCTAATAACACTAACCTCATAAGGTTACGTGAGTATGGATGAATTAGGTATTAATGTGTGGATAAATTATTAATATTAATTAATGTATGAATAAAAATAAGTGATTTTTGTAAGTTTTGGCTATTATTTTTAGCCAAAAAGTTATTTGCAGCATTCCTCTTAAAAACAATTCACTCTCCCTTATTTTGAATTTACAGCTTTTATTTAATCTGTTCTAGAATTTTGAAATAGCCTTTTCTCCTGGTGTTTGGATTTTTAGTTCATGCGCTTGTCTTACTCCTCTTCTCATACCGTGAATTAGCTAGAATCTCCTACACGGCTTGAATGCCTGTGAGTAGGATTGCAAATGAATGCCTCCACATTCCCAATCTGTAATTTACAATCTATTTGGCAGGTAATTGAAGCTCAGGTGAATCATCTCTTTTCTAGTATCACTGGATCTTTTTGGTTTGTAAATCTCAGATTCAAGTGCTAATGGCAGTCTTTCAAAACTAATAATTCAGAAAGACAAGATTTTATGTAGTTAAAACTGTCCTAGAAATAAAGTGTTACACTATGATCATAATTGTGTGGAAAATATCTATGACTCACAATTTTTGATAGGAATTATCTCTACAGTATTGATGGTCCTGTCACTCAAATAACATAACCAAGGGCACATTTTTTTCTTTTTCTGTGTAATGTCTTAAATTTTCCAAACTTTCTTTACCGTTTTCCACTTTATAATGAGAAATTTATTAGCATTTTATTTTTTAAACTTTTCTCTCCAGGGGCTTTGTTTTCAAAATTAATAAACAAAATTCTGGAAGTATTTAAAGCTTTTTGACTGCACAGGTGTTCCAATCGATTTACATCCTTATTTCCTCACCACATGTGCGTAGTTATGTTACAATCCAACAAAATTACCATGAGAGCCTTGCTTCACAGATAATTTAGTTGGATTTGTGAATTAAGTAGGTATAAATAAAAATATATTAATGTGCTTAGCATTCTGTTTGCCTCAATCTCTTTATCTTTAAAGTGGGAGGAGAGGTCACAGAATTAACACAGGTGGGTTATTCTAGCTCTAAAATATTATAAATTAAAACTGCTCATACCTAGACATTTTCCTAATGCTTTTTATGTAGGTGTTGTGATGGCCTAGGGAATGTGGCCATTATCTCAGTTAGATCAAGCTGAACACTGTAAATTCCTGTGTCAGAAGGAAGCTACCAACGTGATCCTCAGTCTCAGCTTCTGAAAGTTCCGACTGATATTTCAAGATGAAACACAGACCTAATGCCGAAGAAATGTGGTCTTCTTGCAATAAAGATTTTTGCAGAGTAAACGATTTTTGAACTATGACTCTAAACCACTATGATTATTTCTAAACTACCATAGTTTGTAAAAATAAATGAGATCTAGGAGCAGCTTAGCTGAAGGCTGCCACTGCCTTCACTGGGCAGGTACCAGTTGAATCCATCAATTCCTAGAGTGGCTCATGGTGGGTCTGGAAGAGCTTATTTTATAAAATGTACATTTTGTTTTATTCAGGTTATACTGGAGAGCTTTGCCAGTCCAAGATTGATTACTGCATCCTAGACCCATGCAGAAATGGAGCAACATGCATTTCCAGTCTCAGTGGATTCACCTGCCAGTGTCCAGAAGGTAATTAGTATTTATTACTCCAGAAAGAACTTTTTTCATTTTAAATCATAAACTAATTTGATCAGCCTTATACTTTGTTTCTGCAAAACTCTACACAAGAGAACTTCCTGTTTTGTTTGATTTATAAAACAAAAATAGAAGATAGTCCCCCTTTTTAGCTCTATGCTAGCATAGCTTGAAAATTATTTGAATATTAGACATAATCTAGGACTTTCTGTGATTTTATTTATACATTGAAAATGAATAGCTATAATAAAATAGAATCTCTAATGGTGACAATTTACTTAAGATTTCTATTTTGTTTGGTTTTTGATATGAGTTTACATTTAAAAATTCAACACAAAGTTCACCTGCTTCTGTTTTTAAATCAACTTCATAATGTCTTAGAAAATTCAAGTCACCTGAAAAACCACATCTTTAGGGCTACTTTTATTTTAAAAAGCAGTTTTACTGCTGGCATAGTTTTACCTGAAGAAGCAGGCAGATAATCACAGCTATCAAGCTGGTGTTCACAAAATTATTTTGTGATTTGAGGAAGTTTTGTTCCCATTTCTGCTTGCAGGGATGTTATGGAAGGGATTATTTTCAATTGTTAATTTTGTAAGAATAACATGACATTAGATTGTTTTTTAGAACCAGCATGTAAGCTTCTGATCCACAGAAGTAACATTGACAACTACATAGAGTCACATCCTCTGCAGAGATTAAATGTAGAGCCTGAGAACCTAAGGAAGTATCTGTGTATTCACAATTACCTTAGATTACCTAAGGCTGAGAGGCAGGGGGAGGGCGGTGGTCCAGGAGGGTGTTGGTAAGAGGCCACTGGCTTCCCAGATAACGGAAGTGCTTGGGTTCTCCAGGAGCTGCCCATGTGATCGGCAGTACCTCATAATCGAATATTTCGGAGAAGTGAACATCAACTAAAGAAGGGCAGGTTCTTGTCTTCCTGCTCACTTGGGCAGAGCAGGGGCCAGGGTGGGGGCCGGAGTGAGATGGCTGTGGCCCACCCAGCCATCCCTCTCTCTCTCTGTGTGCTGGTGATGAGTTAAATGTGTTTGGCAAGCCCTGCTCTTCACCCTCTCCTTCTTTTGCAATTTAGGCTCAGCTCCCTTAAACAAATGCGAAAACTTGGAAACGTTGCTGAAGGCTGATGACTGAGCAAGCAGCACCAGTCTTCACTCACATAGAGCACTTTGCAGTTCTTAAAGCTCTGTCACGCCCTTGGTTAGTCAGTCGCCACCTAACTCTGATTGAAGGCCTTGTCGTTTAGTGTTTAGTCAAGGGCAGCCTGCAGGGTCGTCCTGGGACCAAATGGAATTTTTGTGAAAGTGCTTTAAGAACTCCAACATGCTTTCCTATTATTGCTGGGATTGTTACCTGAAAGTTACAATCAGGCCTCTGGAAGTTCAGATGGGGGTAATTTGCACAAAATCACACTGGTAATAAACAATGGCCCTCGAACTAAAAACAGAATTTTGCTTGCACTCGTACTACAATTTCCTAGTTGTTAATGATTTGCTGAGCACTTTACGTATACCAGGCACTGTGCCAGGAGCTAGGATATAATGCTAAGGAAGGCTGAGATGGCCCCTCCAGTAGTGCACACACAGATAAGTATGTAATTACATGCAGGAATAGGTGCTTTGAAGATGCACAGAAGGGATCTGCCTGGGCTTGGAGAGCTGGGAGAGACTCCCATGTACAAAGACCCTAGGAGAGGAGAGGGAGGAGATGGCGCAGTTGCGGGCATGACTGAGCTAAGAGGATGAGAAGAATCATGGTGACAGCAGGTGGAAGCAGGCAGGGCAAGGCTTGCAGGGCTGGGTGAGCCCCGCAAGGCCTTTCATCTTCATCCTAGAGGGGAGGGAGTCGGAGGGGGAGGTTTGAAGGCCAGTTCCACTATCACCAGCTTTGTCCCATGGGCATGTGATTTTATACCTCCCTGCATCTTGGTGTTTTTAATCTGTAAAATGGGGTGATGATTGTGTCTATGTCCTGGGATCAGTGTAAGGATTAAATGAGTTGAGACAGATAAAGTGCCTAGCACAGTGCCTGGCTAAGTGCTGAATTCATAGTAGCTATTTCATCACTATTGTTTTCATGATAATGATTACTATTAAACCATTGATAAGCAGGGAACTTTGAACTTTTCATTCTGGAACAATGTTGAACATAGAGAGAGACAAGAGTGGGAATAAGGAGAAAAGTTTGGGGACTGTTGTAGAAGTCCAAGAAATAGATGTTGGCTGCTAGGAATGGAAGGGTGGAATTTGAAAAAGAGAGAGGCAGACGGATTTGGAAGAACTTTGGAAAGAAAATGGAGGAGGCCTGAGAAGGAGCAAGGTGGTGGGAGGTGAGGGAGGGTGAGGCAGCGAGTCTGGGGCTTTGCAGTGGGTTGTGCTGTTCATGGAGAAACAGAAAAATGAAGTGTTCTATGTTGGAACCCTTGTGAGAGACCCTTGTGATAGTCAAGTGGAGATGTCAGCTAGGCTGTGGCTCTATGAGTCTGGAAGAAGCCTGGTCTCATCTAAACACAGAGACATTGGCCTTTAGGTAGTAATTTAAATCCTGGATGCTGATCTAGGAACCCTTCTCCTTTATCCGGTGGCACACCAGCCCCTCCATGCTGCCTAGATAAAGCCTAGAGAAAATGCGAGGCTCTGGAATTGACAAGATGAAGATGAATTTTCCACTACAAAGACTTTTATTCGAAGGTTTATCTTCAATGAAGCCTGAGCAGGGAAAAGCAGGCTTTCATTAGAGTTTAGAAGAATTTGCTGGAATGTGTGGCAGCCTCTTAGCAGGAGCTCATACCTGGTGACTGGCATTTTTTAAGCTGCCTCTCCCACTGGCCTATCCTTACAGTGCTTGCTTTTGTGTGTCGGCAGTAACTCATATTTATAGAACACTTTGCACTTTAAAAAGAGCCTGTGTCACCAGGTGTGGTGGCTTATGCCTGTAATCCCAGCACTCTGGGAGGCCAAGGTGGGCGGATCACTGCAGGCCAGGAGTACAAGACCAGCCTGACCAACATGGCAAAACCCTGTCTCTACTAAAAATATAAAATTTAGCCGGGTGTGGTGGCACACACCTGTAATCCCAGCTACTTGGGAGGCTAAGGCACAAGAATTGCTTCAACCCAGGAGGCGGAAGTTGCAGTGAACCGAGATTGTGCCACTGTACTCCAGCCTGGGTAACAGAGCAAGATCCTGTCTCAAAAAGAAAATAAAAAATAAAAAGAGCCTGTGTCTCCAGGATGTTTCTCACATCAGACATGCTGAGAGCAAGTCTGAGCAGAGCCTCAAATTCACAGAATGTCCTGGGGTTCAGAGCCAGCCCTGACCCTTGCCTGCCTCCTTTTCCATTTCTCCATTGTAGGTTTTTGTTGATTCTGTCTGCCCTGCTTCTCTGTGTTATTCTTTGAGGAAAGGGAATGTATTTTATTCATCTTGTTTCCCACACCTAATTCCAACACCTTTCCTACGGGTTGCGTTTTATGTTAGCAGGAGGGATTAATATTTGGTAAATAATTTAATAATAGAAGTCAACACTTAGCTATCACTCACTATGTCTACTAACTAATTTGACTCTCACAACAATGAGAATCAAATTAGTATTGTATGCTAGGAAGCACACACTGTTAATATTTCCATTTAACAGATTAGAAAACTGAGGCACAAGAGGATCAATAACTTGCCTGAGGTCACATAGCCAGAAATGGAGACTAAACCCAGAAATGGGCTCTAGTGCTCCCAACTACTGTCCTATACCATCTCTGAATATATTCTTTAAAAGAAATCACATTATATTTTTAAAGATTATCTTTGTAACCATAATCATAAGTAAAATGCATGCAAAGAAAACTTCTAAATGTCTCTGCTGTTTACTTTCTTAAATCTGGAAAAAGTGAGAAGTTATTATTTTTGGTAAGCAAGTCAAATCCTTTTATACCAATTCCTCCCAGGCTGGAAAGCTGTTAAAATGGGGTTTTCCCTCTAGATAGAGTTCTCGACAGCACACATCCGCATCCTTTCTCTTTTCCCCCCTTTTCATCTCCATTTTGTTTCCTTCAAGGACCTTTTTCCATCTGACCTGGGTAGGCCCGTAGAGATTGAACATCTGTTCTGGGTACTGTCTCTGTGACTCCTGCTCCTTCACAAAGTTCCAAATCGGGCAGCCCGAGAGCCAGCTGCAGTCACCTTCATAGCTGCGCTCCTTCAGGACACGTCTGCCCTTCTACACTGAGATTTTTATCCTTCATCAACAGGTTCTGTATTTCTCCTGAATTTCGACTTAGCTTTTACTAGGTTCATATTGGGAAAGTGTAGCTTCAGATTCTGGTTACGGTGGGGATGATAAGAAATAAAAGTGAAATATCATGAATGTTTTCTAATATCCACCTAATTGAATGATAACAGCAAAGACAAAGATAAGCACTTAGAACCTGGCATTATTGCTTAATAATTTATTGTCTTCGTATTTGGTTTAGAACTTTGAAATCCTTAAGTTTTAAACTAAATGCATTTTAATTCTGAAGATGTCTATATATGCTTAGGATTACTGCATATTGGTATTTAAATATGTATATTTAAATATATGAATGTATTTAGATACATGTATAAATACAGTCTGAATACTACTCTCTAGCCATTATCAGTATCTTAATTCCATCTCCCTTCCACTGGGAATTTGAAGTAGAATACCCATAAATTAATAAAGAATAAAAAGAAATCAGTAGTGATGAAAGCCTCCAGCAATAAAGGACATCCATTGGCTCTGCAGCATGACCATCCCCTTCTGGAGAGCACAGCTGGTCAAACGGAACCACCTTCCTGGCAATTACCTATTACGGAAGACATATGGCAATCAGAGACCAAAGAGAGAATATGGGGCTTTATGCACTATTTTGAAAACATATCATTTTATCCAATGCATTTTAAAAGCATTAAAGGTATTTTCTCACACTATTCCTATGGGATAAGATTATGGAATACATAGATTTTGTATGAACCACTCTTGCACTGTAATTATGAAGTCAAGTATTACAACCAGGGAGAGGACTCACATCTTCCAGTCCTATAACTATTAGAATGCAATGTTGGATTTTGCTGTCAGACATCAAAGATCTTACAATCTGGAAACTCTCATAGCCAAGGATGGAGATTTGGTGTCGTTCTCTGGCCTGGAGGTCAGTAGATTTGAGTCTAGGCCCCGTGACGAGGCTGTAGAGTGGAGTGGTTTATGCATGTGGTTTGGGGTCACACTGCTTAGGTTTGAAATCCGGACCTACCTCTTTTGACAAGGTCTTGGCTTCTTTGAGGCTCATTTTTTAATTTATAAAGTAGAGTAACACTCGTTTACATGTTTAAAGTTAGTGTGAAGGTTGGAGAAAGCCCTTAGCACTGTGCTTTGCAAATAGTAGGTGCTGAGTTAATGTTAGCTATTATGATGATTGTTATTAATTAGTCATCTAACCTCGGTTAAGTCACATAATTTTATCTCTTCCACCCTTAGTTTTCTTCGGTAAAAAGGATGAAGGTTGACTACTACCTTTAAGGGACCCTATGCTTAAAAGTCTTTAATTCAAATATATCAGTTTAAAAGCTACTTGCTGAGTCAATAAATCCATCATGTTTCAAGTCATGTTTATAGAGAAAACCTTCATAACCTCTAAGTAACTCTAGGGAATGCCTGGGGTTTAAATCTTTATGTTGGCCCAAAGGTCCTGTAGGTTAAATTCCACTGCAACAAGCTCCAAGCATTTACAAAACTATTTTTTTTTTTCATTTTATAGCCTTGGGTAACCTAGCTATATAAATCCTTTTGTCGAACTCAAATTTCAGTGGTAATGCTTTTCATCTTAAAGGGATTTGCAGGCAATAGCAACACATGTCATAAAAGTTATCTCTCAGATAATGTGTATTGTTTAAAAACTGGGTATGTTACCCAGTCAGGATTTAAGGGTGATATAGTTTTGGGATTTAGTTGTTTTTTTTTTCCAGCACCCTAACATGTATGATCTTGGTGAAAGCACTCTATTAGAACCATATGAAACTCCATGTATTTACATAAGAAACATGCCACATACCCTCATAAAATTAACAGTCCTGAATAAAATGCTGTTCTTGTTCTTTCAAAATTTGGCATTATCCCTAAATCACCACTTCATTTAGGAATCACAGCAGCTGAGATCCTTGGAGTAGTATATAGTTTCACCTTTTAGAATCAAAGCAGGGTATTAAGATTTATTAAGTGTGAGTAAAATTTTATCTTATTTTATTTTGTGTTTGAAACAGCATTTTGCTCTTGTTGCCCAGGCTGGAGTCCAATGGCACGATCTTGGCTCACTGTAACCTCCGCTTCCCAGATTCAAGTGATTCTCCTGCTTCAGCCTCCCGAATAGCTGGCATTACAGGCGACCATCACCACACCCGGCTAATTTTTGTATTTTTAGTAGAGACGGGGTTTCACCATGTTGGCCAGGCTGGTCTCAAACTCCTGACCTCAGGTGATCCGCCCACCTCAGCCTCCCAAAGTACGGGGATTACAGGCGTGAGCCACTGCGCCCTTCCAAAATTTTATTTTTATGTTTGGCACACAATTCATTAATTTTGCTTTACAACTGAATTATTATTATTATTATTATTTTTTGCATAGCAGTTTCTCTGAGGTTGTTTAAATAAAAATGCAGCAAGGAATTTTAGTTGCCTGCTTTTTTTCATTAGCACTGGGGAAAATGGCTGCACTAACTTTCAGTGAATGACCAGGACCCTCTTCCCACATTAGCTTTCTTTCCCCTTTGAAAATGGTTCCGATGCCCACTTTAGTGCTGACAGAGGGCAGTCAGAAGTTACAGTTTGATGAATGAATGAATGAATACTTAAATGATACCTTGATGGTTTTCTTCTAAAAAAGAGATGGGATATACCTAAGGGATAAACATAAATTTTGATTTCTAAAGGTGTGTGTCAAGATCTGCACGTGACAATTATTTAGCATTCTTACAACATTTTAGTTTTAAAACTTCAGGCATAGGTCTTGAACTTCAACGATGGTTTTCTTTCTTATGCTTCAAAGTAATAACAACAGCATCGGCAGTACCTATAACAGTACTGATGCTGTCTGCCATTTGTTGAGTGCCTCCTATGTGTTAAGCACTGTGCTTGGCACTTTGACATTATTATTATTATTACTTGAGTTGGAGTCTCAGTCTGTCCACCCAGACTGGAGTGCAATGGCGCGATCTTGGCTCACTGCAACCTCTGCCTCCCGGGGTTCAAGCGACTCTCCTGCCTCAGCTTCCTGAGTAGGTGGGATTACAGGCACCCACCACCATGCCCAGCTATTTTTTGTATTTTTAGTTGAGACGGGATTTCGCCATGTTGGCCAAGCTGGTCTCGAACTCCTGACCTCAGGTGATCCGCCTGCCTTGGCCTGCCAAAGTGTTGGGATTACAGGCGTGAGCCACCATGCCCGGCCAGCACTTTGACATTATTATTCAGCATAACTTAGCAGTTAACAGCTGAGGCTCAAGTAGACTTTGCTGAGTTTGAACCTGTTTGATTACTTACTCCCTGGCGACCTTGAACAATTTACTTAAATTCTCGATGCCTCATTTTCCCCATCTATCGAGCGAGGGTAGTATTAGTGGCTACCTAAAGGGGTCGTTATAAGAATTAACGGAGCTGTGAATATGCAGTGCTTAGACCAGTACCTCGCAGAGAATAAGTAATTAATAAATTTCACCACTTAATCTGCACAACAGCTGTACAAGACAGGTATTATTATGCCATTTGTCAGATAATTCCTGAGGCTCTAAACAGGTTTGTTTGATCCTGAAGTTCATGTTCTTTCTGCTGCACCAATTCCTCCCTGATCCAGTTTTACTTCAAGTGGTAGCTATTTGGATGTACACCCGCTGTCCCTCATGGGGCTCTGGGCTCGTTGAGGACAGGGATGCTAAACATTTCTGTATCCCTTAAAGCATCTGGCATGTAGAAACATACGAGACATTTGTTGAATGAATGAACGAGTAAATATCTCAAAACTGTCCTGACAATAACATTTTATGTATGAGGAAACTCCCCATATCACAAAGATGCATTAACCAATGTTCACTGAAGTAAATGTGCAAATCTCACTGGCTAGACTCACTGCAAACTCATGATGCCTGCGGGGTGCAGGAGCTCTCATCTCATCTGGTTACTTCCAGTGCCCAGTTTAGGGGTGGTGTAGGGGTCATCCAGAGACTCCGGGAGAGTTCATATTCAGAATTGGAGGCCCCTTCTTTGGCTGTCTTCCTGCCCAGAACCCTCCCTCACTCCTCGTGGTATGCCTTCTCCAGGCTCCTTCTGTAACTACCTAATGGGTTCACCCTGCCCACTGCCTAGACAGAGCTGATTTATCAAGACAGGGGAATTGCAATCGAGAAAGAGTAATTCACGCAGAGCTGGCTGTGCAGGAGACAGGAGTTTTATTATTACTCAATTCAGTATCTCTGATATTTCGGGGATCAGAGTTTTTAAAGATAATTTGGCGGGTAGGGGCTTGGGAAGTGGGGAGTGCTGACTGACCAGGTTGGAGATGGAATCATAGGGGGTCAAAGTGAGTTTTTCTTGCTGTCTTCTGTTCCTGGGTGGGATGGCAGAACTGGTTGAGCCAGATTACCTGTCTGGATGGTGTCAGCTGATCCATCGAGTGTAGGGGCTGCAGAATATCTCAAGCACTGATGTTAGGTTTTACAATAGTGATGTTATCCCCAAGAACAACTTGGGGAGGTTCAGACTCTTGGAGCCAGAGGCTGCATGACCCCCCAAACTGTAATGTCTAATCTTGTAGCTAATTTGTTAATCCTGCAAAGGCAGACTGGTTCCCTAGGCAAGAAAGGGGTCCTTTTGGGAAAGGGCTATTAGCAATTTTATTTCAGAGTCAAACCATGAACTGAATTCCTTCCTATAGCTTGGCCCATGCCCAGGAATGAAGAAGGACAGCTTAAAGGTTAGAAGCAAGGTGGAGTTGGTTAGGTCTGATTTCTTTCACTGTCATAATTTCCTCAGTTATCATTCTGCAAAGGCGGTTTCCCTTCCTGGGTACCTCTGGACTGAAACGGAAGGTTCAGTGCTGTCGTCTTATCCCCCTGTGCCACTGTCACGGCTGTGGCAGCCGGCCATGTGAACCCCCCAAATGCGAAACTGATCTCATGCTGGCTGCTGCCTCTGTATTTTGACTCCCTTCCAAAACCTGCCTGCTTTGGTTCACTTTTCAGAGCCTTGAAGAAGTTTTTCGCTTTTTATTTTTATTTTTTTTCTTGTCAGATTTAACAGCTGTTTTGTGGGAGGATCTGTTTATTAAAAGCTAACTTCTCCATGCTAAACGCAAAACATTCATATTATATCATGGTTCTTGAATGCAACAAAGATCCTTTACGATAGAAATATAAATACCCTAGTAGTAAATATAATTTTCATTTTTTCTTGTAGCAGAATTATCTCCTCACACATACCCCTCTTTAGACCACAACAATGGGGGAAGCTAAAGTGAAATTTTTGTTTTTCACTTGGACCAAAATATCATGTGATACAGTCCTGGCCCTTCTTCTGAACTATTCAGGTCGAGGCTCTGACTCTGACCACCTTAAGGCAGGGGACATACAGAGAGACCCAGGCCCAAGACAACGTTGAACAGACAGAAGACTGGGAAAGTAGAAGAATGTTTTGTTAATTGCTTCATCATATATTATTTTTGGTTAAATAAACCCTTCTTTGACTCTGTTTTTCTAATCTAATTTCATCTCCTGTGACCTGATACCATAATGATAAAAGGCAGCTGAAGATAGATACTGACGCCTCTCCTCAGTTCATTTAGCCCATTTTTAAAGACATTTTCCCACTGCTCTTCTTTAAAATTGGCCTAATTACATTTAATTATAATTTCTATGAAGAAGTTGTCATGTTTAGAGTCCCTTCCTCACTTTCTACTCCCAAATAGCCTACCCTTAGCAATGCCCTTGGCCGCTGCGACCCAGGACACTCACAAGGGACTTTCTGTTCACTACTGGCCACCATCATTGCATTTGACCAGGGTCCTCTTTTCCGTGACAGTCCAAGACTTGACACCGCACTTTAAATCATTTTCGTGATTTTTTTTCCCTGATGACCAAAGAAATTTATGCTCAAATGTGCTCAAAGGAAAAACAATGCCTCGAATTCCAACCCCAGGAGAAAAATCATTTTACATTTTAGGTGAACATCTTTGAGGTCACTTTATTAATGCCCTTTTTAGAAAACCAAAATCGGATCTGACTGTGTATTCGCTTTTGTAATGAGTGTCTTTAACTGAACAGTGTGCTCTACATGTTCTATATTTTTAAGTATTATTCTAAAGAATTATTAATGATTGCTTCTATCATATGAATATGGCATTATTTATTTAATAAAACACTTAATTCACATACTATTTCTTGATTACCTACCTTGCAGTGGTTATTGTGTTGATCACAAGGGATTCAGCAGTGAGCGAGACATATGTGGCTTCGGCCTCATGGGTCTTATGGAATAGTGGCCCCGAGAGACAGCATGGACAGTATGATCAGGGGTGTGACAGGGCTCCTCTGGGGTAATCAGGTGGTAGAGTCTGAAGAGGGACCACTCACCTACACTGAGGGCTGGAGGGAGAGTCAGGAAGTGTTCCAAGGGAAGTGATGTTCAAACATACTTGAAGACTAAGTAGTAACCTAAAGAATGAGTAGGGCTGCAGGCAGAGGAAAGACTCTTTCAGGAAGAGAGAAAAGCAGGGCGAGGTTAGGGAGGGAGAGGGAGACACAGAAATCTGAGGAACAAAATGCAGTTCAGCAGAGCCGTACTGCAGAATGTGATGGAGGGAAGACAGAAGGCTAGAGAGAGAAGTAGGAGTCGGCTCAGGTAGACCTTTAAGCAGTGGGCTAAGTGGATTGCACATGGCCCAAGAGTGTGGACAAGGGCACCATGAATGGGTTTAGCAGGAGAGGAGAAGAATTTTAGCACTTGGAAGAAATTACTGTGTTTAGGGGGGAAGAATGGATCCAGGGAGGACAAGAATTAGAGAAACCTGTTAGGAGCCTGTTACACTGCTTTAGATGAGCTTTAATGCTGAATGCATTGCAGAGGTGACAATGGAGATAGAGAGAAGTGGACAGATTTGGCTATAAGAGGACAAGGAGAAGGCCAGGGAGAGGACACACCAGTTTTCGACAAGTTTTACACGACTTGATATACGGGGGTGCTATTGGGAGCTGAGCATTTTTGAGGGGGAGGATGAGAAAAGTGATCCCTCTAAAATGCAGATGACATGTTTTCCTTCCCTGCCTTTCGAATCTCTGCTGATTTCTCATCCAAGGTGTTGTCTGGGGCCAACATATCCCTGGCTACCTCTCCAACCTAATTTCTTCTTTTATTTTTTGCTTTTTGAATTTTAAGATACATACAAATCACTAAGTGATCTTGTTTAAATGCATATTCTGATTCAGCAGGTATGGGATGGGGGCTGAGATTCTGTTTGTTTTTTATTTTTTTTTAAATGTTATTTTAAGTTCCAGGATACATGTGTAGGATGTGTGGGTTTGTTACATAGGTAAATGTGTGCCATGGTGATTTGCTGCACCTATCAACCCATCACCTAGGTATTAAGCCCTGTATGCATTAGCTGTTTATCCTGATGCTTTCCCTCCCTCAGCCCCCTGGTCCCATTGTGTGCTGTTTCCTTCCCTGTGATCACGTGTTCTCATTGCTCAGCTCCCACTTATAAGTGAGAATATGTGGTGCTTGGTCTTCTGTTCCTGCATTAGTTTGCTGAAGACAATGGCTTCAAGCTCCATTCATGTCCCTGCAAAAGACATGATCTTGTTCCTTTTTATGGCTGCATAGTATTCCATGGTGTATATGTACCACATTTTCTTTGTCTAGTCTATCATTGACGGGCATTTGAGTGGATTCCATGTCTTTGCTATTGTGAATAGTGCTGCAATGAACATACACATGCATGCATCTTTATAATAGAATGATTTCTATTCCCTTGGGTATACACCCAGTAATAGGATTGCTGGGTCAAATCGTACTTCTGGTTCTAGGTCTTTGAGGAATCACCACACTGTCTTCCACAATTTCCAACCTCATTTCTTATTCCTCTCTTCCTTTCCTTTTCTCCAGATTCTGACTTCTTGTTGTTGTTCAAACATGCCAAAGGCTTAGAAATTGTCCTCCAGGCGGAAGCCATTCATTCACCTTACATCCAATGCTACAGGGAGCGTTTGCACCTGACCCTGTACCCTTCTTCATAGGGGCCCTCACATGGCTCTCTCTCCCCCTTGTGTCACTTAGGTCTTCCTGACTCCACTATCTTACACAGCCCCCACCATTCTCTACCCACCGCACCCTGCTTCAATAACCTGTAGCCCTGACTGAGGATACCTATTTACTTGTTTTTTTATAGTATGTTTTCCTCACTAGAATGGAAAGTCTTGAAGCAGTGCCTGATGCATGGCTGCTCCCAATTAGTCTAGGTTAGATAAATGAAGACCCAGAGGGAAATGCAGACCTTCTGACCAAACCTTTAAATCTCCATTGTCAATAGCCAATTATTTTTGTTCACATAACTATATCCTTTAAATAAGTTTTATCTCTTATGCCCTTCTATGTATTCCAAATTAAGGGAGAGTTGATTTAACATTCTTCTGATGATTTCCTAGCTGTTTTTCATTTTCCTGTCTTAAATCTAACTTTGACTTTCTGTTCTGCTCAAGAAAAAGTCCTTAAGATATTTTTTACTCTCTCAAATGGATTTTCTTAAAAATTCAAAGTCACATTTAAAATGCAATCCTATTGGGTCTTTTACAGCTGATGATTTTGTAATTGATTTTCCCAGATATTCCCCTTTCTCTTTATCTTGCATAACTGTCTGCTTTCTTAGAACCAGAACAAATGTGGTCCCAATTAAGTTTTCCATACACACTGGCCAAAACCCCTTCTCTGATTTGAACATCACTCCTTGTCCTCTTCTGCCAAGTCAACTCCTGTGCTTTCTTTCAGGCCCAGTTGGAAAAGCCAACTGTCCCATGAGATTTTTCTGACCTGCACACATCATAGGGTTCTTCCTTCTGAATTTCTGCCACAGTTAGAGCTGGTGCCACGCACACTGATTCCATTTTGACAGGCTGGGCTGGTCTTTCAACCCTTCCTGCCAGGCTGGAATCATTCCATCAATGTTTGCAGGAAGGAAAAATGGCCTCAACGTGTTCTCTCATTATCTCAAATATGTCCTTCTGGTCTCCTCTGTACAAGAATGAGCTCTCTGAGAGTCAGGATTCTTCCTTCTCCTTGCTTTCCCGTGCTACGCAGCAGAATACTTCATAAACCATTTTACCTTCAGCTGGGCACAGCGGCTCAATGCCTGTGATCTCAGCACTCTGGGAGGCTAAAGCACGAGGATCCCTTGAGGGCAGGAGTTCAAGACAAGCCTGGGCAACATAGGGAGATCACATTTCCATAAAAAAATTGAAATTTAATTGGATGTGGTGGAAGTGCTTGTAATCTCAGCTACTCGGGAGGCTGAGGCAGTAAGATCACTTGAACCCAGGAGTTCAAGGCTGCTGAGAGCCATGATTATGCCACTATACTCCAGCCTGGGAGACAAAGCGAGACCCCATCACAAAATAAATAAATATATTTTCTACTTTCATTTTGATCTAGTGATTATTCATTTATATATCTGTAATAAAAACATCTAATGACTAATATTTCTCCTTTCATATTCCCTCATTGTAATTTCTAAAACCCCATCCATATTTGTCAATTTGCTTTTCCTAACTATATTGTGTTGCAAATCTGTTGGAATATGTTCTCTATTACACCATTCATTTAATCCACTCATTTATTCCACAAACATTTACTGCACACTTCCCATAGCTCAGACACTGTGCTGGATGCCAAGGCACAATGGTGAGAGGAAAGAACCTGGTTCCTCCTCCAGGAAGCCTGTGGTCTTATTCTGGGTGGGAAACAGGTGATAAACAGGGAAACCAATACACACCTATTTCATTGCAAATAAAAGTGCTATGAAAGGGGTGAGCAGGGTACTGTGATACAGAATAAGAAAGGGATATGTACCTAGGATGAGGCGATCAGGAGAGACCTGCTTGTCTAACACTTATGTCAAAAATTAAGACATAAGGAGGAGTCAACTCTGTAAGCAGGTAGGAGCAGCAGCTTCTGGACAGTGGAAATGGCATGTGGCAAGGATCAAGGTGAGGAATGGCTTGTTATTTCTGGAAACTGAATGGAGGCCAGTGGGGCCAGCTTCTGAAGCATGTGGCGTAAGACTGGTGAGCTGCGCTTAGAGCCCACAGGACTTGTAGCCTATGGAAAGGAGGTCAAATTTTATTCTAGGAATTACTGGAAGTCATGATAATATTAACATTTTAAGAAAATGATTATTGCTGTTTGGAGAATTGGTTGTAGGGGTAAGATGGACAGGGAATCTCATAAGAGAAAACTGTTATAATGGGAGCGAAATATTAATAGTTGTATCTTTGGCTAGGATGGTAGCAGCCAAGTTGCAAGAAAGTGTTTGGGTTCATGATGTATTTTGGAGATAGTGTCTATAAGATCCACTAATTGGATGGATATGGGGGTTCAGAGAAGAAAAACAATCAGGTATGACTCCTAGGTTTCTGACTGGAGCCATTTGCCAAGGCAATGGAATGCTGAGTTGAGTTTAAAATGCCTATACACATCATTTCTTTGATGTGAATTGTCTTTACCCTGTCAGCAAAAAATGCCAGTGTCACTTTATTCTGTATTTTCCTTTAGTATTGCAAAAATTTCTGACACCTCTATTGCTTTCTGACAATACATAGAGTGACTTCATTGTCTTGCAATTTAAAATCTTCCAGAAATGTTTTCTTTTGGTCTTAAATATCTGATTCCATAATGGGTGTATCTCAAGGGTATTGATTTCTTTCTACTTACATAATAAATAATTCAGCAGTAATGTTCACTTTAATATTGGTTCAAACACAAAATTTGAAGGAAAGTCAACTAGCTAAATTACTTTATTTGCATTCCTCTTCAGTAGGTTTCTTTTGTAATTCTATTTTGTTTATTTTCCATTGTAATTCTTTAATCTTTCATCCTTTTCTAAACTTTTCCCTTGTTTTAAAATCAGTTGTTTGAAATCTCTTGGCTGCTGCCATTGTTTCCATGTGTTTGAAATAGACCTTTTCTCTGGAGCTGTTGTGTTTTCTTTCCAAGATTTCCTTATGTCCATCATCTTAGGTCTGTATCATTTGAATTACACTATTGCACACCAGAGATATCACTATGTTCATCTTTCTGCTTGCACTTTTTGGCTACCATCACCAAATAGTTTTTCATTTTCTACTCTTCAAGGAAGATTGTAAATCCAAATATATTTGCTTATTAGCTTCCAGTTAGGACTGTATATTATTCCTCTGTTATAGCTTATTAATCCTTTAGTCATTTCATAAATACTACTATTATTTTTATTATTTATATGACATCATTCTACGTAGCAGTATTGTATTTGTTCTCCTATCTATCGTTTTTCATATTTTGGAGGTTAAATGTGTCCATGAATGTGCTTGAACCCAGGAATGTTAAATTTCCTTTTCCAATTCTCTACCCTTTGCCACCATAACTAATTTAATTTGCATATTCTATAAGGGGAATTTTAAAAAAAACACTTACCTTGAGAGATCATTATTACTAGGTTGACCGGTCAGAGCTCTTAAAGAGCCGTGCTAATAAAAAGAGAAACTTTACCAAAGGCTAGCTCAAATAATTTCTTTTAGAGTTATAACATTATGTAGGAACAGGACAATGCAGAGAGGTCCCTAGGTCTGGAGATTGAATTGAAAACTCTTTATATATAATGTATGTCTGTATATTTATATTGAGAGAGAAGGAGGGAAAGGAGAAAATAGAGTGAATGAGAATATTGGTTTATTTTTAGAATTTTTTGGGGAAGATGAAATCTGTTCTGACCGTCTCAGCCACAGATGACCCAAAGCCTTTTCCACCTTGTGTTGTAAAATGTCTTTTTACTAGCACTCATCCTACTGCCCTACACTCTGTAACTCCAACACAGGGATGCGTTTACTCATCTTTGCTTTAGCTTTGACTTGCAGACTTCTATATTTCTACAAGGGGGAATCGGACTCACATAGTACTGTATCTGAGTTTGGGATCACTTACACAGGTGCTTCTTCTGAATATACATTGTTTCACATGTGGTCTCCGTTAAATTTTGAAACTATGTTTGTAACATTTGACCTTCTTGTGATCACTATCAGGTTGACAAGCTAGTTTTGACTCAAAATTTCAAAATATATCCATCAACAAACCTGTAACATGCATTGTAGCTAAGAGCCACCAATCAACCAACGTCTGGTCTCCATCAGCAGATTAGTAGGCTATGCCTGCATCTTGAATATTAAAAACTAATATTCAAATTTGATGGCTATAATTTTTGTTCTGAAAATTTATAATGTCATCAGATGTTTCTTATTGTGTTAGATTTTATAAATTACCAGTGTAAGAACTGGTTGCCTTGTGCATCCTTATGAAAAAAAGTTCTCCTGAAAATATGGCTTTAGGTTTGTATTTAAAACCAATCAGCTCTAAAAAGAAATAATAATTTATATATTTCATATATAATTTTTGTATATTGACTTTGTATGCTGGTAGTTTTTAAAAAGCTCTCAACATTACACATTGGCTTGTAATAGTTTTTAAAAAGCTCTCAACATTACACATTAGCTTGTAACACCAAAACATTTATGATTTTCTCTTAAAGTTTCTTACATAAACATCTTGGCTCTTAATTTGATATCTGAATTATTTTAAGAGTTCTGATTTTATAAGGAGTTGGTAGCACATGTTTATTCCTTAGGACTCAAATTTCATAATTTTTTTTTTTTTTTTTTTTTTTTTTGAGACGGAGTCTCACTCTGTCACCCAGGCTGGAGTGTAGTGGCGCGATCTCTGCTCACTGCAAGCTCCGCCTCCCAGGTTCACGCCATTCTCCTGCCTCAGTCTCCCGAGTAGTTGGGACTACAGGCACCCCCCACCACGCCCAGCTAATTTTTTGTATGTTTAGTAGAGACGGGGTTTCACCATGTTAGACAGGATGGTCTCGATCTTTTGACCTTGTGATCCACCCGCTTCGGCCTCCCAAAGTGCTGGGATTACAGGCGTGAGCCACCGTGCCCGGCCTCTTTTTTTTGTTTTGAGATGGAGTTTTACTATGTTGCCCAGGCTGGTCTTGAACTCCTGCCTCAGCCTCCTGAGTAGCCGGGATTACAGGCACACACCACCATGCCCAGCTGATCTGAACATAATTTCATATGCTAGCACGGCGTTTTCGACTTGTCAAATGCTTTCACACGAACTCTCTTGTGAGAAGCAGCAAATAGATTGGGGCTTAAGAGCACAGATTTGGAGTCAGACAAACCTGATTGAATGTTATTTTTCCCAGTTACTAGATGAGTGTTTCTAGGTTAGTTCCCTAAAGCGAAGTCTCTGAACCTTCGTCTGTAAAAAGTAGATGGTGGTAGAACCTACCTGAGCCAGTGGTTGTGATAAGTAAGAAAGAATAGATACCAATTGCTCGGCATAATGTCCCGTATGTAGTAAGAACTCAATAAAATTTTTCTATTACTTTTAACACAACAATTTCTCTTCTTTCTTCTTCTATTTCTACTAGTACAACTATAACTACTGGATGCATACAGCTATTCTATTATTTCCATTTTTAACAAATAAGATAACAGACATATAAGAGATGTATAAAACATATAAGAGCTACTTACTTGATTGCGCTGACATAATTTATCAATTAGAATTTGATTTAGTTATAAACAATAGGCATCCCCAAATAATTAGTACTGCAGTAAATCAATTTGAATAGAACTTAAATATTAACAATAGTGAGACTTCCAACCCATCAACGTGGTATATGTCTTCATTTATTTGGGTATTTTTAATTTCTTCAAGTAATGTTTTATAGTTTTCAGTGTAGACATCTTGCATATCTTTTGTTAAATTTAATCCTATTTTATGCTTTTTGATAATATTATAAATGCCAGTAAAACATTTTTTAATTTCCAGTTGCTTATTACTAGTGTATAGAAACACTATTGATTTTTGTATATTGACTTTGTATGCTGACAGTTTGCTAAATTTACCTATTAGTTCCCCAAATTTTTATTTTAGATTTCTTTGGATTTTCTTTGTATAAAATCGTAGATTGTTGAATAATAAGTCTTATTTTCCTTTCTACACTTTATGTTTTTTATTTCTTTTACTTTTTTTTTGCATATATAGAACCTCCAGTAAAATATTGAATGTAAATGCTGAGGGTAGACATCCTTGCTTTGCTCTCTATCTTAGGGAGAAAATATTTATTATTTCATCATTGAGTATGATATTAGCCATAGTTTTTTTTTTGTATATACCCTAAAAGATACAGCAAGTGTTACCTTCTATTTTAGTTTGCTGAGAGTTTTTCTTTCTTCTTAAAAATGATGAATGCATATTGAATTTTGCCAAATAATTTTTCTGTATCTATTAAAATGACTTATTTCATGTGCACATGAAAAGAATATGTTATTTAACTATTGTATAAACTAGCTCATTTTGTCAATTGATTCTGTCAGTTACTAAGAAAGGGCTTCTTCTCTGATAATTTCTGTTTCTCTTGCTAGCAGTTTTTCTTTCATGTATTTTGAAGCTCTCTTATTAGGCGCCTACATATTTGGGATTGTTAAAGCTTCCTGTTGGATTACTCACTTTTTCATATTAAGTGTCCCTTTTTATGTCAGATAATGTTCTTAGTCTTGAAGTCTACCTTTTCTGATTTTAACAGAGAATACTAGTTTTCTTATGCTTTCTTTTTCACAATGTATCTTTCCCTATTCTTTTACTTTCCTTTTTTTTTTTTTTTTTTTTTTTTTTGAGATAGAGTCTTGCTCTGTGACCCAGGCTGGAGTGCAGTGGTGTGATCTCAGCTCACTGCAACCTCTGCCTCCTGGGTTTAAGCGATTCTCCTGCCTTAGCCGCCCCAGTAGCTGGGATTACAGGTGCACACCACCACACCTGACTAATTTTTGTATTTTTAGTAGAGACAGGGTTTCACCACATTGGCCAGGCTGGTCTCGAACTCCTCACCTCGTGATCTGCCCACCTTGGCCTCCTGAAGTGCTGGGATTACAGGTGTAAGCCACCGCACCTGTCCTTACTTTCCATTTTTATGTGTCTTTATGCTGGAGTGGGTTTCTTTTAGAGAGCACATAGTTAGATCTTTTTTTTTTTTTCCAAATAAAGTCTGACAATCTACGCCTTTTAATTGGGGTGTTAGTCTACTTATATTCAATATAACCTTGATATGATTGGATCTAAGTCTACCTCATTGCTATTTATTTTCTATTTTTCTCATATGTTCTTTGTTTTATTCTATTCCTGCCCTCTTTGGTGGTGGGGGTGGGTGGGTAAATAGAATATTTAAAAAGATACTATTTTCTTAACTGGCTTCTTAGCTATACTGCTGGGTTTTTTGGTTTGGGGTTTTTGTTGCGTCTGTTTTAGTTTTAGTGGCTGCTCTGGGAATTACAGTGTACACCCTTAATTTATGAGAGTCTACTTAGAATCAATATTTAATCACTTCATGCAAAATGTAAGAACCTAACGGTAGTAAAATTCTATTAACTTCCCTTATTATTTGTTCTCTTGTTATGTATATTCCTTCTATGTACGTTACAACATCATAATTCAATGTTCTTTTTGCTTTTAACCATTTTTAAAAGAAATTAAGAAAAAAATGAATATTTACTCCCCCAGACTGCCATTTCTAGGGCCCTTAATTTCTTCCTGTAGACTTGAGTTTCCACCTATTATTGTTTCTATTCAGCTTAAATAACTTTCTTTAGTATTTTTGTAGTGTGGCTAGATCTGCTGGCAACAAACTTTCTCAGCTGTTCTTTATCAGAAAATATCTTAATTAACCTTGATTACTAGAAGTTATTTTCCCTGAAACTAGAATTCTGTTTGACGAGTTTATTTTTCCAGTGCCTTAAAGATGTCATTTTGTTATCTTATGCTTCTGTAGATCTTGGTGACAAGTCATCTGTCAATCTTACTATTGCTTGATGTGTGTATCATGTCTTTTTTTTTCTTTTTGGCTTCTTTTAATGTTTTCTCTCAATTTTTGGTTTTCAGCAGCTTGTCTGTGACATTCCTGTATATTTGATTTATTCTCCCTGGGGTTCACTGAGCATATTGTGTATGGGTAGATGTTTTTCACCAAACTTAGGAAAAACTCGGTCATCATCTGTGTGGTCTAGATGGTAGGATGGATGAAGGGGGAAAATAGTGAAAGAGCAAAGGGTGCTTGCCAACTTCTTTCAAGGAATTTTCTATAGAGGTGACTTCAGGACATTTTCACTTGTGTCTGTTATTCAGAAGGTCATCACAGATGTACATGTAGCTGCAGAAGAGGCTGGTCCCTGTAGACATTGTTCTATGTTGCCATGTGACCAGAAGTGTAAGACCATGGGAAGTGGAGAGATGGATGTTAGGACAAAAAGTAGTTTCTGATACACATGGTCAGGAAGGGACAGAGGCCTGACAGACCCTGGAGCACCTGCCCTCTCATTCTTGGCCTTTCTGCTTGGTGTGGTTTAGATGTTTGTCCCCTTCAAATCTGATGTGGAAACGTAATTCCCAGTGTTGGAGGTGGGGCCTGGTGGGAGGTGTTTGGATCACGGGGATCCATCATGAGTGACTCAGTGCCATCCCCTTGGTTCTCACTCTGAGTTCACGTGACAGCTGGTTGTTTACAAGTGTGTGGCACCTCCTGCATTTCTCTCTTGCTCTTGCTCTCACCCTGTGATACGCCAGCTTTCCCTTTCACCTTCTGCCATGATTGTAAACTCCATGCGGCCCTCACTAGAAGCATATGCTGGCACCATGATTCCTGTACAGCCTGCAGAACCGTCAGCCAATTAAACCTCTTTTCTTTATAAATTACCCAGTCTCAGGTATCCCTTTGTAGTAATGCAAAAATGGACTAATATACTGCTATACCCCAGGTGTTGGGTGCCACAGCACAGAGTGCTGGTTAGGAGCTTGGACCTGAATCTGACTGCCTGGGTTCAAATCTCAAACCTGCCGTTTACTAGCTGTGTAACTTTGGGCAAGTTACTTGATCTTTCTATCCCTATTTTCTCATCTGAAAATGGGGAAATGATAGTTCTTATCTCATAGGATTGATGTGAGAGTTAAATGACTTAGTATATTTAAAACCCTTGGAACAGTGCCTGGTACATACAAGTGTTTGCTATTAACAAACACAACTTCAGCAGATTGTCCTTTCGAGCCTGTACAGAGATGTTCTCAGGGACACTCCTACCTCCCACCTCTTGCCACGGCTGTCTGCCCTGGGACCCCACCTCTGTTCACCAGCATCACTGCATGGCCCAGTAACTGTTCGTGTGTTTAGAGAGCAGTATGTGAGCACCTCCCAATTCCAGAAATCTCCGTTTATAGACATCCAGGGTCATGACCCTGTGGGATTCATACAAATGTGAAAATGGATGGTATTCCACAGACTGACTGACAGGCCAGCTTCCTTTCTCTAACCACAAACTCTGATTATACGGGCAACTTGAGATTACCCCAGAACCACCGTTTAAAGGGAAAAGAATCCGACATTTATTGACCACATGTGTCACCTTACTTGACTTCATGGTAGGAGCCAACACCATTTTGTAGGTAAGAAAATTAGAGAAAAAATGATTAAGCCTGAGGTCACACGGTAGTAAGAAGATTCAAACTTTGGTTTTCTGGCTCTGCATTCTTTGAATTATAAAACCTGTTCTTGCTTCTCTTAGGAAGGTCACTTAGAGGGTGGCTGAAGGAGATGTGAGTCATTTGTAAAAGGATGTCATATGAACAAGAAGATAATAGCTTAGCTGATAGAAGGAAATGGAGAATTTACTCGTTAAAGCAATAGCATCTCAAAAGTGACTCAGCCTTTAAGTCTGGCATTCCTTTTCTAGTGGTCATTAATAATCATGTGAGCCAGGAAAATTATCTCATAATTGCTGTACCTCACATTCATCTCTTCAAAGTGTATTCAGATATACCTTGCATTCATTTTCTTTTTGCTTTGTCATTCTTTGTAACAGAAGAGCATTTTATATCCCACTTTCTTTTTTTAGACTGTATAATATACCAAAAGTGTATTCTCTCCTCAGTATATACTGAGATATGCTAGCAGACTCTGAAAATATTAAGTATTAGTTCCATTCTCATCCTGCATTATATTTTCTTGAATTGGTAAGAAAAAGCAAAATTTTAAGAATAATAAAACACAGATCCTTGATTTAATAGCAGTGGGCCTTTTTGATATTCAATTCTACAAGCATTTATTGATATCTCTTTAGTGAAATTTTCCACTTTCTTTTTTAGACTGGATAATATGCCAAAAGTGTATTCTCTCCTCAGTATGTATACTGAGGTATGCTAGCAGACTCTGAAAATATTAAGTATTAGTTCCATTCTCATCCTGCATTATATTTTCCTGAATTGATAAGAAAAAGCAAAATTTTAATAATAATAAAAAAACACAGGATCCTTGATTCAACAGCAGTGGGACTTTTTGATATTCAATTCAACAAACATTTATTGATCATCTCTTTAGTGAAATTTTCCTGTAGTGTATGATCAATTACTCTTTCAAGTCTGTTCCATAAAGCAAAGCAAAACAAAAATCTCCCTCTGGCCTGTATTCCCACATAGATACAATCCTGTAGCTCCTATTAATTTTATCAGTTAACTTTGGCTGCATGACAAACCACCCCCAAAATGTAGTGGTTAAAATGGCAGCCACTCATTTAGCTCATAGTCCTTGTACATTGCAATAGCAATTTGGGCAAGCTTAGCTGGTCACTGGCCACACTGATGGAGGTCAAGTGGTCTAGAATGGCCTTGGCTGTGCTAGCTTCCTTTGCTCCATGCCGTCTCTCATCTTGCAGCAGGCTGGCGTGGGCTTGTGCATGTGATTTACAAGCAAGGTTCAGTGCCATTTTTTCACATTCTCTCTTCCATTGTTTTCAGTGACACCTTTCTCTCCTGGTTTCTCTTCTTTCTTTTTTTTTTTTTTTTTTTTTTAATATATTTTATTCCTGACCAAACCCTGCAACTTCTTTCTTTCTTGAAACTTAGCTAGCTGTCTATTCATCCATCCGTCTGTCTGCCTGTCTGTCCATTTATCTGTCCCTGGTCAAATGCCTACCATCTTCCAAGCTTCATGCTGAGCAACAGGGATACAAAGACATGTAAGTTACATTCCCTGATCTCAAGAAAATCAGAGACCACTTATGGAGGAGGCAGAAAGGGTGGGGTAGGTGCTAGGAGAGAGTGAGATCTACAGAGAGCTGCAGAACAAGAGGAGAGGTCTCTCAATGAGACATGCTCTTGGTTTCCTCTTCTTTCTTGTGCTCACAAGAGCTACAGTTGTTCAGAGTTCCAGCCTTGAGCTTTCTTGTCTCTCTGTTCATTTGCCCCAAGTGGTGTCATGTATACCTATGATGAATCCAATTCCCATCCATGTGCATATGGCTCCCAGTCAACAGTCTAGTTCATACCTCTCTCCTGAGCACAAGTTCTGCATATTTAATGACTATTGAACAACTGCAAAAGCATCTCAACTCACTTTGCACAAAGCTGAACTCATAACCCTCCCCTAGCAGCCTCCTCCTGTATTTTCCACTGCATTTGATAACAACACTATCCACATTGTCCCCCCATCTGAAAACCTGGAAATTACATTATAATTATTGCTGCTTCTTATTAACACTTAACAATTGGAGAGTCACTGTGCCAAGTGCTTTGCATAGATTTTTGCAGTTAAGCTTCATAAGAAATGAAAATTGTAAGCATTAATATCTTTCTTTCATGGATACAAAAGCAGAAAGTCAGAGTGATTAAGTACTAGCCCAAAGTCCCACAGTTTAGTGGGCTGAGATGGTGTTTAAATCCAATTCCCCTTGGTTCAAAGCTCTTTAACATTAACTCACACAGAGAAGACACATATACAGGGCCCATACATATGCTTTATTTGCTGGAGAAATTATTTATCAACAGTTTAAAATGACAAGCCTTGGCTGGGTGTGGTGGCTCACGCCTGTAATCCCAGCACTTTGGGAGGCTGAGGCGAGTGGATCACTTGAGGTCAGGAGTTCAAGACCAGCCTGGCCAACATGGTGAAACCCCGTCTCTACTAAAAATACAAAAATTAGCTGGGCGTGGTGGCAAGTGCCTGTAGTCCCAGTTACTTGGGAGGCTGAGGCAAGAGAATGCTTGAATCCAGGAGGCGGAGGTTGCAGTGAGCCGAGATCATGCCACTGCACTTCAGCCTGGGCTACGGAGCAAGACTCCATCTCAAAAAATAAATAAATAAATAAATAAAATAATAATAAAATAGACAAGGCTCAAACAGGAATTTGGATTTCGGACTTTTCTTGAACACTCAGAAGATATGGTACCTGGCCCCATGTTTCAAATTGGCTGCAGGTTATGGCGGCCGTCTTTTTTGGAAGGGGCATGCTTTCTCCCGTTTGCCACAGACCCTGCCAGTCCCTATTGTATTACACCTGATCCACCCTCTGTATCAACATTATCTACCGGAGTCCTGCTGGCATTTGCATTTTTGACTTATGTTACATTGTGTCTCTGGGCTCTGTCGTCTCTTCCATTCTTCTACAGTCCAAGTGGTCCCTGAATTGATAATTTTACTTATAAAATCATGCTCTAATATATTTCACATTCTTTATGTTTATTGCTACAAATTGGCCTTCACAACCTCAATTATTCGAGTAAACAACTGGTTTCATGCTTCCGGTCTCAACCTCTTCTGATTCCCTCTCCACATTGCCTATAATTAGAGATATAAATAATGAAAATAGATGATATCCAGTAGCCTCAGAATGAAATGTAAGCTCCCAAGTGTAACATATAAGACCAGTCGTGACCTGGCCTGACCAGTGCTCTCATTATTATTCATTTTCTGCACTTCTCTTCTTATTGAAATATTGGCTCTCTCCAAAGCCATGACCCTTTATGTCTCCTTGTTACCCATTTTTATTTCTACTTGGACTATTCTGTGTGGCTTATATTACTATTTATAACTGAGTATATTGACATAAAGCTAGAGTGATTGCCTTTCTAAAATTCACTTTTTCCTTTATTTTGACCTGATCAGTAAATCCTCTATTCTTTCACCAAGACACAAACAGGATAGAAACATAAGTCCTGGTTTTGCTTACACATCATAACATCTTAATTGGTTGGTCATTCACTTCTCTTCTGTGCAGTGTAGGAGACGTGTAAGCACTTGGCCTTGGTGTCCCAGCTCTGCCATATACTAGCTATTTAGACTTGAAAAGGTTACTTCACATTCTCATGTCACTGTTTTCACATTTGTAAGATAGGGCTATTATAGTTCTTACATCCTACTATAATAGTAGGATTAAATGAAATAGTTCACCTAAAGGGTTAGAACCAGGTGATGCAAATCAGCCTCCAGTGGATGTTAGCTGTTGCTGTTATTTATTTATTTGTTTATTTATTTTTCGAGACAGAGTCTTGCTCTGTCACCCAGCCTGTAGTGCAGTGGCACTATCTCGGCTCACTGCATCCTCCGCCTCCTGGGTTCAAGCGATTCTCCTGCCTCAGCCTCCCCAGTAGCTGGGATTACAGGCAGGCACCACCACACCCGGCTAATTTTTGTATTTTTAGTAGAGACGGGATTTCACCACGTTGGCCAGGCTGGTCTTGGACTCCTGACCTCGTGATCCGCCTGCCTCAGTCTCCCAAAGTGCTAGGATTATAGGCATGAGCCATCACGCCTGGCCTGTTGCTGTTATTATTAGCATTTTTAATTCATTCATTCTTCCAGCCTTGGACTGGGAACCGTACTAGGAAGTTTGATATGTATTTTTTTCAGAACCCACAGTGACTTTGTAAAGAAAACAGTTTCAGCCCTGTTTTCCAGGTAGAGGCAGTGGACGATGGGAGAAAGGGGGCCTTGCCATGGTCACTCAGACTGCTGGGGTGGTGAACACAGAATCAAACACAAGATCCTAATTATCGCTTCCCTGTCTCCTTATGCTCCCTATTTGTATGAGTCTTCTCAGGCTGCTGTGACCAAGGACTACAGGTTTAAACAACAGACATCTTTTTCTAGCTTTGGAGGCTGATAAGCAGTTCATCTACTTCTAGTTCTGGAGGCTGGAAGCTCAGGATCAAAGTGCTGGCAGGGTTGATTTTTTCTGAGGCCTCTCTCCTTGGCCTGCAGAGGGCCACCCTCTTGCTTCCTCCTCACAAGGTCTTTTCCTTTGTGCACAGGCATCTCTGGTGTCTTTTTCTGTGTCCTGATCTCTGCTTATAAAGACACCAGTCAGATTGCATTAGGGCTCAACCTAACAACTTCAGTTTAACTGACTCACCTCTTTAAAGGCACTATCCCTGAAAAGCCACATTCTGAGGTATTGAGAGTTAGGGCTTCAAAATATGAATTTTACTCAACCAGAGAAAGCTAATTTTAAAAAATATGAATTTTGGAGGGACGCAATTTAACCCATGACATTGCTAATCCAATGCTTAACTATCAACCTCCACTGAGAACTATATTTAATATTAACTCTTCTACTGGGTTCTAGTAGTTCTAAGTAATTTTCATTTTTATGCTCCTAACGTAGGTATAAGCTTCTTGTTCCTGATTTTTCTTATCTTTGACCCTCCCTAGATATTCTTTCCATCAAGTTCTCACCCACCTAATCTCATAGAGTTTTCAAGGATACAGTTCCTATGATCACTTCTCTTCTCTGTGTTCTCAACTAAAAGAGTTGACAGAGTTGACAGTTCTCAACTGTCACCTTCTGTCATCATTAGTTCAGTTCTTCTGGAGGAACAAAAATAATCAAAATGTCCTCTTAAATTTGATTTCTGTGCCCAGGCACGGTGGCTCACGCCTATAATCCCAGCACTTTGGGAGGCCGAGGCAGGTTGATCACGAGGTCAGGAGTTCGAGACCAGCCTGACCAACATGGTAAAGCCCCGTCTCAACTAAAAATACAAAAATTAGCCAGGCGTGGTGGTGTCCTCCTGTAATCACAGCTACTCAGGAGGCTGAGGCAGGAGAATCGCTTGACCCGAAGGCAGAGGTTGCAGTGAGCCAAGATTGTGCCATTGCACTCCAGCCTGGGCAACAGAGTGAGACTCTGTCTCAAAAAACAAAACAAAATAAAATAAAATAAATTGATTTCTATTTCTGAGCATTAACATTTATGATTTTCTGATTCACCTTGAGCTGCTGATTTGGGCAAACTGGTACCCAGCCTTGGGTATGGAATTTATCATGAGCCTGAATTTCTTGTAAAGAAATCAGTGCATCCACAAGGTTAACCTAGAACCTGCACTGCTCCCCACTGGCCACCGCCCACCCCCACCATTTTTTTTTCCTCTCAAGTCATAAGATGCAATCTTGGGTCACTATCTAACTAAATGCAAGCTGTAGGGTGGCTTGGTCAATTCATTTCTCAAAATTATTCCTTCATATTAAGAAAAAAATATTGAATGACTTTTAGTGTCATGCTCGAGGAAATCAAATGGGCCTTTTAATATTTTAAGCAGCTATGCTGCATTTTCTAGACAGATAAAAATTATTTTATTGTCTAAAATTAAAAGATTTGAGATATTAAATCCTATTTTTGAAATCATGTTAAATAGTGACGGTAACATATAGTACTGTCATATGTTGAAAAATGTTTAAGTATCTTCTTTTCAATCAGAGTAAAATGGAACATATCTCATGATGGGTAGAATTATATTCCACTTGAGGCTGCCAAGAAACTTTTTGGAGAATTCAAGTGTTATTAAAACTGATTGTATGGTACATTTTTAGTAGGATTTCTAAGATTTAAAAGCTACCAGGAATTTTATAAAATGCTGAATAGCATTGGATTTTTTTGGAGGATAATTTTATATTTCTATACTGCACAGAGAAATACCAAGTTGATTATGCCAATTTATGAGTGGTGCTTCACATAATTAAATCTGGGAGTTATTTTGGTTTGTTTACATATTAAATGTGTCCTTAACAACAACAAAAATTGTCAGTATTGCTAGGAGTTCTATAAGAAGATGAGTAAATAGAAACTTAAATGTAAACAAGAGACGTGTAATAGACTATTAGAATACAAACTATATGTGAGTGAAATTATTTAACTTTTATTTCTAAAATTTGAATAATATTTAATTTTCAAACTGCTCTTAAAGTATTGAAAGAAGTATAGTTTTATGGAAAGCATTGTTAAACATATATACCTACATGTATGCACAGATGTAGAGACCCACACATATGCACATGTATAATTTTTTAACAAGAAATACTGAATCAGATACACAGGAAACAAGATAAAAATCACCTACACAGTAACCATATTTAAAAGAAAAAGTTAACAGCCTTACATAATTTTATATAACATAAAATTTTATTTAAGTGTACAATTTATACATTATAAAATTCATTCATTTGAAAGTACAGTTCAAAGCATATTAGTAAATTTACAGAGTTGTGCAGCTATCACCACAATCCAAGTTTAAAACATTTCCATCCACCCCAGTGGACTCCTCATGTCCATTTGCAGTGAACTCCTCTTTCCGGCCCAGCCATAGGCAACCATTTATCTACTTTCTGTATCTACAGATTTGCTTTTCCTGCACATTTCTTACAAATGGGATTATATAATATGTAGTATTTCGTGCCTAGCTTCTTTTACTTAGCATAATGCTTTTGACATTCATTCATGTCATACGATGTGTCAGTACTTATTTTTTTTTTTATTGCTGAGTGGTATTTCATTGTGTGGGTAGATCACTTTTGTTTCTCTTACAACAATCAACTTTTTAAAAAGCATATATTCAAGAAACTGTTAACAGTGGCTGCTTGTAGAGAAGGGAATTAGAGACAAAGGGACAAGGATGAAAAAGAGACTTTTTCATTGTTTACTATTTGATATGGTTTTAATTTTTTGAATTCAGGATTATGTCATATCTATTAAAGCAAAATAAGAAATGTGTTCCCCATTAATATATACAAAATAAGAGGGGAGAGCCCTCTGCTGATCCAAATCCCATATTCCTTTAGGAAATTACCATTAATTTATTTTTGATATATTTCTAGAGTATACACACATGTTCATATACACATGTGTGCACATAAATATATTCATGTACACGTATGTATGTACTCCTAAACAGTCATATACCTTATATTTCAATAAAAATGGAATTGTGGGGCTTAATATTTTTAACCCTACATTACTAAAGGTGGGAAAAACAACCTACCTATCTTGTTGGGTTGTGACATATCTGGAAGCTGTGAATGAATTAATTGTTATGCATATACAGTGGAGCAGACTCAGTTGATTAGTTATTATGTGCAAATGTGTTTTAGTTTTTTTAAGCTCTCATGTGTTTTTTCACAGGATACTTCGGATCTGCTTGTGAAGAAAAGGTGGACCCCTGCGCCTCGTCTCCGTGCCAGAACAACGGCACCTGCTATGTGGACGGGGTACACTTTACCTGCAACTGCAGCCCGGGCTTCACAGGGCCGACCTGTGCCCAGCTTATTGACTTCTGTGCCCTCAGCCCCTGTGCTCATGGCACGTGCCGCAGCGTGGGCACCAGCTACAAATGCCTCTGTGATCCAGGTGGGTACCGCCCCTACACAGTACATCTTCCTTTTCTCAATCTCAAACCAATCTCAAAAGACCATTACTTTTTCTTTTGCATCTTGGTATACTTGTAAATAAAAGTGGTATACTTACTGGTATGCTTGTAAGTAAGTATACTTACTGATATACTTGTGAATAAAAGTGAATTCCACTCATTTATGACACACTTTCTTTTTTAGATTTACTCTTGGCAGGGTTAAAAAAATACTCTTTCATCATTTCATGATCAACTCACATTCATTGTAGAAAAAACAAGCAAAATAAAGAAAATTGAAAACAGGCTTAATCTCATCACAGGCTAAGCATTTTTATCAATTTACTGTAAGTCACTGCAGAACTTTCACTGTGTTGTGTATCTTTTACTATTGTGTGCTTAAGTTAACAGAATATCTTCTTTCATCTTAACGTGCATGAAAAGCACGGTGCAATACATTCAGAATTGTGTCATCTATTAAAATTGTTACTCTATGCACATTATGTTATATCACTGGCTCCCTATGTAAGAATTTAAAACTTTTACCATTTAATTTCCAAATGCCTTCTGCATTTGCATTACAGATTTTTAATTATGGAGGTTTTGATACCTAGAAGTGAGTGATTACTAGTCAAAATTTTGTGTGTGCACAACCCACTAGTGTAGTCAGAAAGGAATGCACGGGGCAGCCCTTTCCTCTCGTTTCTATTCTGTGTATGTCTCCATCCTTACACGAGCTGGCTCTTTAGAAAGCTTCCCAGCACAATGAATCCCCACACATCTCCCTGGCCAGTCAGTATGGCTGGCCAGTATCTGGTTTGGCTTGACCCTGGCTTTGCTGGTGCAATGGCCTCTAGCTGGAATGCGTGCTCCCCGTTACCCCACCTCACTGTACAAACTTCTACTTCTGGGGCTGACTCAGTTTCCCTTCCTCTGGGTTCCGACAGTCACCTACAATATCACTTTTGTGGTCTTGGAAACAGAACATTAATTATCCTTGTATGTGTCTCTCTCCTCCTTAGGGCTGGGAGGAACTGTGTTTTATTAATAGCTTTTGTATCAGCAGCAATCACCCTAAGCCACTATTTAGTGAGCACTGATCTTTCTAGATTCTGAGCCGGGTGCTTCACATCTCTGGTCTTTTTAGTGTCACATTTACACCAAGGTTTGAAATGCCTCTAGAGGTTCAGTCATGTGCCTGTGGCTACACACCCAGAATGGGGGCTGAGCCCAGATTCGAATGCCGGTGTCCCTGGTTTTGCTGCTCCAGTGCCTGGCCTGGAACTTCCAAAGGGCATGTCTCATACTCAACGAATAACTCAACAAGTTACTGAGAAATGCAATTTGGCACTTGAATGGTGTTGAAAAGCCTTTTTTCACATAGACTCTTAATTCCCCGATTTTCTAAGCAACTGATATTTTGCCAAGTGCCTCTTTCCTCTCTGCTCTGACATTCAGAGGGAATAGGGCTGTTTAATCTGCTTTGTAACAATGTTAGTAGTTAGGATTCTCCGGAGAAACAGGAGACAGAGAGCGAGGAGAGAGAGAGAGATTTATTTTAAGTAACTGGCTCATGCAATTGTGTGGACTCACAAGTCCAAAATCCGTAGGGAAGCTGGCAGGCTGGAAACTCAGGCGAGGTTTCTGTGTTGTGTCTTGAGCTGAATTATTTCTTCTTTGGGAAACCTCAGTCTTTGTCCTTAAGGTCCTCAGCTGTTTGGATGCAGCCCACGCACATTCTGGAGAGTCATCTGCTTCATTCAAAGTCTGCTGATTTAAACGTTAATCTCATCTAAAACACACCTTCATACCAACATCTAGATTAGTGTTTGAGCGAGTATCTAAGAACCATGGCCTAGCCAAGTTGACACCCGAAATGAACTATCGCAGTAACATTTTTGGATCTCATAAACCTTGAAGTGAAACAGTTTCTCCACTGTGTTTGACATGAGGATATTTTTCTTGGTTGACCTCCATGCTCTCCTTCAGAGCCAGGGTGGAGACAGGAATAGCTGCCCCTCAGAGGGTCCAGTTTTCTTCCATGTGGATTCGGGCTCACATGCTGTGAGCTGCGTGTCCTGTGGGAGGAGGCAGTGTGGCGCTGGCCCTTACCTATTGGGAATGTGGATCACTGAGACAACTTGTGTTTGCAAACTAAACAAGCTGCAATTGTGCTGGAAGAACAGAGGCTTACTCACGTACTGACTCACGAGCACGCTGTTCCCAGCTCTGCTCTGGATGTCGTAACACATGTGAAAATACCCCTCAGCAGCATTCTGAACAAAAACTTCCTTAATACTTTATTACCTGTCTCCTGAGAGTTCCGTTCTCTCTGTGAAGCCCCACAAAGAAGAATTAAATATTGTAAGACCAGAAAACAACTTTATTTTCTCCTCCCTTTCTCCTCTGACTTCTTTTCTTAATTATATCAAACTTTTTCTTTTTTAAAATTTTTTTGAGATGGAGTTTTGCTCTTGTTGCCCAGGCTTCAACCTCTGCCTCCCGGGTTCAAGCGATTCTCCTGCCTCAGTCTCCCAAGTAGTTGGGATTACAGGCTCCCACCACCACACCCTGCTAATTTTTGTATGTTTACTAGAGACAGGGTTGCACCATGTTGTCCAGGCCGGTCTTGAACTCCTGACCTCAGGTTATCTGCCTGCCTCGGCCTCCCACAGTGCTGGGATTACAGGCCTGAGCCACCATGCCTGACCCAAACTTTTTCTTATAGTTAGTTGATTTCTAAAACTTAAAATTGAAGGGAGTTAGAGATAAATAGTGTTTTTTAATAATACCAAATAGAGTTTTTCAACACGTGTGAGGCAACCAAATAGAAAATATACTGCCTGATGTTTCTCTTTCCACATTGGGAGAGGCAGCCGAGAGTGGTAGAAAGGACCTCTCTAACATCCTCGCTTATTGACTAAAACCATAGGAAATTTACAGGCATCTCTGGGACTCAGTTTTCCCCTCTATCAGAAAAGAGAGGAGAGTTATATGTCAGAGCATGAAATGAGAGGCAGGCAGCCCATTTCCTGGCATGGACTAGTGAAAGCTCTTCTTTCTTTCTGTCCGTGGAGATTCCAGCAGGATTCTCGAGCTATGTGGGGGTGAAATCACTCCTGTTTAATTTCCACTTTCCTTCCGTCTATTCTCTGCTAAAACATTCATGCCCACTTGGAGCGTTTGACTTGATAATTGTCTGTGGTCCAGCAGTAGCCCCTTAATAGCCTTGAAAAGCCTGAAGACGTGTGCATTCTGTTCGTGGAATGAACATGATCCCTTCATTTGTTCAGCAGTCTCAAAGCAGAGCCTTGTAATCGTGACAGGGCCCTCTTGTTGAACCTGGGAGCTGAAACTGCCTTCAGAGGGGATGTTTCTTCAGATTGTTAGGTGACTGTGTAAAATAAAAAAGGCATCTTAACACCAGGCAAGAACTTACATTTTAAGAGGTGAACATGACAAGTCTGTGAATGTGAAATTTCTCGTCTTCATCTTTTGGAGCATGTAATTGCTTCAACACCAGTTTGCATAATGGAAGAATCTCACGAGAATAGGTGAAATTGGGCATCTAGCTATGGAGCAGCAAGGCTGATCTTCTTTACAGAGAGCAAACGGATCTCATTTCATAAAATGGCAGCAGATTGAAGTCATGTCAGGTTGATAATTAGTTCCCATCTGACAAAATGCCATTTTGATTACTGCAAATCAGATTTGCCGGGTGTTTTATTTTCAAACTTCGTTTGTAGCTTTTCGGGCTAGGGATTTCTGATGGGATTTTAAGATTAAATAATAAAATGTCAGCACTGAGTAATTACTGAAATGTTATCTTCCAGTGACAGTGTTAAGTGATAGGCTACCCGTTCTCTTAAAAATTGCAAATTGAAATCTGCTGAAGAAAGTGAGAACTTGGAGCTGCTACAAACAGGATGAGGTGGAACTCGCTGGGGTGGGGGTGCCATTTCCCCTGCAGGTGGGAGCCACAGTATTGCTTGTGTTCTCAATACAATGGTGGCCTCTGCAGATAATAGCTGTACATGACCGGTATTGGAAGGAGTCCCTGGCAGGAAGGAAGATAGTTTGCACTTGAGTTATTACTCTAAACTTGTGGAATTGAATTAACCCTGCCATTATAGAATGTGCCTCACATATTACTATTTAAGGGAATTTAAGGGACAGGGCATTGGAGATTTTTACGTGGAAATATGTTTATAATTTTTTTTAACAAGCAAGATCTAAGATGCTCATCATTTCAACTGCAGTTGAAATCCCAGACTAGACATGGCACAGTTGCCAACCAAGTTCCTCTGCCCATTCTTCTTCACCAAAGGGCTGGTAACTCAATTAGATCATCCAGATATATAATAGGCTGTAAACCAAAGGAAATGTAGACTTTTTCCAAGTGAAATTTTTTGAAAGAAAATTATATTTGTAAGGATTTTAGATGTAATTTTTTTTTTGTATTTTCTACATATGCCTTACATGTGAGCTGCATTTCTGGTCTGTATGTCCCGAAAGACACAGTTGACACTGCTCCTTCTGTTAAACTCAGACCTGAAAATATCAGTAGTCCGATAATATTTGCTGGAAACAGGATCAAGGATAAGACTTAATGGTCAGGATTTTAATAGCAATTGAACAGCAATAAAGAAATAAATATACCTGCAAAGGTTTGAAGACATTTAGCTCACTAAGGCCCATGTGCCTTTACATTTTTGGATAAGTATAGTAAGTATAGTGGACAACTTTCATCTGTTATTAACCAGAAAAACTTTATCTAGTTTACCAGCATTTTTTTTTTTTTTTAAGACAGAGCGTTGCTCTGTCGCCCAGGCTGGAGTGCAGTGGCACAGTCTCAGCTCACTGCAACCTCCGCCTCCCAGGTTCACACCATTCTCCTGCCTCAGCCTCCCTAGTAGCTGGGACTACAGGCACCCACCACCACAACCAGCTAATTTTTTGTATTTTTAGTAAAGATGGGGTTTCACTGTGTTAGCCAGGATGGTCTCCATCTCCTGACCTCTTGATCTGCCTGCCTTGGCCTCCCAAAGTGCTGGGATTACAGGCGTGAGCACTGCTCCCGGCCGATGAAGGCATTCTTATATTTAACATGCTGTAGGGGGTTTCTGATCTGCATATCACACTATTCTTGAGAGTTGTAGATTGTATAGAATATATTACCTTTTTCCTCCAGATCCTAATCCTGCCCTCATGTCCTTCCTTTTCTGTATTCCAAAATATGATGCCCACCTCACCATTGGGACCCCAAATGGAATCCTGATCACCCAGCTGCATCTGTAGCAAGGGAGAGTTTGCTTTACTCTTCATAATCTGTGCTCTGCTTTAGAGAATGTTTAAATCTGTATATTGACATCATGATGATGCTGAGAACTGAGAAAAAGAAGAGCAGCCGCTGATGTCAGGAGCTTGCTTGGCACTTACAGGTAGACCTTGAGGTCGTTAGGAGCTGGTCTGATGCTTACAGCTGGGCCATGATGTCTTCTGCTGGACTTAAGAACATCAACAATTCCACATAACACGGATATTGGATATGACCATTCAGAGGCTATGATAGAGTCAGGCAAAACAAGACCACTTTATAATTTTGTCCAATACAAAAACAAGGTCACCCTGCAACCCGCAAAATACCAAGTATCCACTTTCTCTCAGTTCTTAGTGTCACATATGTAGAGTGACAGCTTCCTCTTTACCAAATACAGCATTGGTCTTGCTCTAGCCTTCCCATTCTTTAGATAAGAATTGCTCCTGCTTTCTGACAGCATCCAGCATTCACTCTAGAGTGAAATCTCCCCAAATAACCTAACCAGAGTTCAAATCCTATAATAAATCCCATCTAACACCTTCTAATTGAGACACTCCACGATTCCCATGGCGTGCAGTCTCTCTAACTGCAATGGGTAATAAACTCAACTTGTTCAACTACAGGTGTGTCCTTAGTAGTCTTTGGTTGAAGGGCATTGACAGAACTTAATTAATTAAAATGCTTGAAGTATTGAGGATGGCAATTGATTGAATTTTTATATGAACAATAGTTCATATAAAATTCTGAACAATAGTTCAGAATTTCCAATGAGTTGGACACTGAAATATTGTTTGGATTTATACGTGGGGGAAGTCCTGGGTCATGGGGGAGGAGTTCAAAGAAGAGTGGATCCAGTTTGCTGCAGGATAAGATGCATTAGATGCAGCAATAGGTAGTAAGGCTGAAAATGCTCATGGGGACACATGTGGGGAGAATGTAGATGCTAAGGAGTTTGGATTAAGAAGACTTGCAGACATTTGGCATTATTGGGTATATATGAGCTGATATGTATTTTAGACAGATTATTCTCATAGTATTTGGCATATATTATGGTCAAAAAGAGATGAAAAGATAGAGATCTTCTAGCAAGTACCAATAGAAATAAAGGCATGAACTTGTGTGTGGGAATGAAAGGATGGGTTAAACGTTTATGTGAGGATCGGGATCATCAGGGTTCAGTTGTCAGTTGGATGCGGGGAACAAGGGTGTGAATGGAGTCAAAGGACCCCTCTGGGTGATTCAGAGGAAATGGGAAATGTGCATACGCACCCTCTTTAGGGCTTGGGTACAGCAGGCTGAGCAACATGGATGTGTCGGTAAATGGTTCTTACTTGGGGCTGGAATGTGGGAACAAGACTGAAACCAGGGGAAAAAATATAGAGAGAGTTCCCATTGTATGGATGCTAGAGAAAGTCATGGAAGCCATCAAGATAGGAGAGGGTGAGAGTGTAAAAAGAAAGGGGAAAAAATTGGAAGAGAGTTGCAGAGTTCTTGCTTTGAGGTTGGAGGTAGTAGTGGCCACAGGAGAGGGCAGAGGAGCCAGCAGTGAGTTGGGAGGTCGGGAGGTTGCAGGGTGAGGGCGGTATCCTGGGAGTCAGGGGAGGGAGGAGGATGAGAGGGCACTGCCCAGGGCGTGAGGAGCTGAGTCAGGCTCCACTAGACGTCCAGACGCTAAGGTACCTTTCCTAAGCATGCTTCCAAACTGTGGCCACAGCCATTCTCCATCTTCATCTTGTTTGATTGTAAGTTGTGGGGGCATTCAGGTAGAATTCGTGATATTTGCCTTCTTTAGGCTTCTGACCTGAGAAATTAATACAAGGGGAGGAAGGACACTGCTGTTAAGCCAAGGGCACTTGCTGGTGGAGCATGAAATTTTTATGAGATTCCTGATATTACAAATCTATTCACAAGGCTGCTTTTTCACCTCACTTAAATTGGTTAATCCATATGTATGAAAACGTTAATGAACTGGTCTTTAATTGTAAGGGATTTCTGCTCCCACCACTCCCTGACTTTCCCTCAAAATTCAAATCATTCAGAACTCATTCTTTGCTGCAGTAGTGTTGAAAAGGTGTGAGATTTGCCTACTAAAAATAGGAGTTAGCAGAGTCTGTGAGGACAGCAGAAATCATTTTACGTCATCTTGCCTGGAATGAAAGTTGCAAATGGCAGCTGGTAACAACTTAACGTCACTAACCTATGCATTTCTGAGGACAGCTCGTTTTGCAGCCCTGCCAGCACAGTATCAGAACATTCTCATCAAGCTTATGGCCCTGGAGGGTCAGATGGGGACCTCCCTACCACTATTTTGTAACAAAGCCATTGACTCTTACTATGTGGTTGAAAATTATTATGATCCAATCACTGTTTTCTTTCACTGTTGAGAATGTCTGTGAATCTGGATTTTAGAACTGAAATCCTGCATGCCTTGCCTTTCTTCCTTGGCTGGATGGAAAGGGGCCTGAGCTTAGCGTTGAGAAGAGCTGAATTTAAGTACCAGCTTTGCCTCCGAACAGCTGTGCCATTGGCCTCTATCAGCATTACTTTTCTCACCTTTAAAATGCAGACAAACATAACTGGCTTGTGAAGCTCAAATGAAATGATACAGATGGTCCTCCACCTTGAAATCTATAAAATGGTGGAGCATTAGCGCAGACATTGGATATTCCGTTACTTGGGAAAGACCACTGAGGACATTTTTACATTTGTGTTTTTATTCTTTTTATATGAGGTTCAAGGTTAGAGTTGGACTGGAGGTGAGATGAAATGGCCATAGTGGGCATTCTTGAATAATGGGTGCACATTCAACTTCTTGCAGGGTTAAGCGACTGCTTGCCTTGATGGTGGCTTTCTGTGACTCCGGTGATAACTATTTAAGTGCCAGATGCTGGGCAAAGCTCTTTGATTGAATTGGCTTCTTGAATCCCCATAGTCCTTATGAAGTGGGACCCATTGTTGTTGTCATTTCTCTGCCCATGACAATACAGCCAGTTAAGGATGAAGCTGGGACTTGAATCCAGGCAATTGGGACCTGCTGGAGCCTCTGTTAGCTCAGAGTAAATAGCAAATGGGGTCAAAAGTGGCCTTGACTCACCAAGGGTAAATAACTGACTGAAAAATTTTTCTGTTTTTAAAAATTTGTATAAGCTTATGAAGTGTAAGTATAATTTTGTTATACGCATAGATTGCATAGTGGTGAAATCAGGGCTTTTAGGGTAGCCATTACTCAAATAATGTACATCGTACCCATTAGGTATTCTAACCAGATTTTTCAAGTGGTAGCTGTGTTAATAGCCACTTCAAATTAATATATTAAATTGGGATTTGTCAGCCACATTGATTCAGCTCTGTTGACCCAGAGAGTGACTTCATCCCATCTGGCTTTGACTAGAGTAGCGACTATCTATGAAAGCTTACTGCATTTATAATAGACTGTGTGCCAAACACCTGACACTTATTTTCTCTTACTTGCCCCCCGTTGGAGTATTCCTATTCTTTTATTTAAGGATAAGGTAATGGAGGCATTGAGAGTTTAAACAACAGGAGGCGGAGGTGATATTTTAACCCTAATCCTCAGAAGCCTACATGTGACACCCCAAGTTAGGTGCAAACCTGGGCTCTCACTTATGTTTGAACCAATCACAAGAACAAGATTCCAGACTCCTCTGTCTCAGCATAGCTCCTGAGATGGATCTTTAAGTGGATGCCTCAAAGCTTGGCATGAAAGGTGGCCTTCATTATAGTTCAATGGATGATACTTGACCAATAGACGTTTCCTACTTCCCAGCACAGAGAAGCGCAACTCTGACTTCCAAGGGTATTGAACCGCATCTAGGTAGGGAGCCCCCTTCTTCTGTCTTTGCTTCATTCTGTAGATCCAGCAATCCACTTCTTTGAAATTGATGCTGAGAACTACCTGTGACTGAAGCTTATGATTTTATTTGATTTGATGCCTGCCGGATGCACCTAATTAAAGAAACTTCCTTTCCTGTGACTCAAATGAGAAATGCAGACATAACCACATGACAGCTATGCACCCTTCAGCCTAGGTAGTTTCTCTTGATTAGCTCTTCTCATTTCTGGGGTCCCCAATGCCTACTAGCAATTTTTCTTACCACCTGATTCCCTGAAAACCTCCTGCATTGATGATTATATGTCATGGATTCCTTTGATGTTGTTTCTTTTCACCTGGCTCTGGTGACATTATAGTCCCTGAAATGTTCTTTCCTTTTCATATTTGACTTTTGTTGTTTTTAGTTCTCTACTTTGAGATAGCTTTGATGACATGTTCCTTCAGTAGCACGCCTTCCCACAAGACTGGCTTAGTGGAAATGATTTGCCGTCAATGTCAATCATGGAGGATTGGAAACTCTGTAACAATGTGCCATTATAGGTGATGTTTGAGATATATTGTGACTTATGGTAGTCTACTTCCTGAGTCCCAATTAGACCACCAATAAGGAGATTTGCTGCATGTCCTACTTTTTTCTGGACTTGTAGCCTTCACTATGCATTTAAATTCTTCATTGGTTTGGATTTATACAACAACCTGGGGACAATGCCCTGTATTTCTTCCATTGTTTTCTATCATGCCCATTAATTTGCAGTTTGAAAGCACACTGTGAAAGTTGCTGCATTCACTGAATGCTTTTACAGAACAGCTTCAGTTTTAATGAAGATTCAGAGCTCTTAGGTTTGCCTGAAGCAGATTGATACATAACCTTTTCTTTAAATCCCAGAACATTGTCAACTCATAGCGGGTATTGATTTTTCAAAACAGCATTTCCTCTTCCATCTCACTCACGTGCTTCTTTATGCAGTGCCTCAATGCTCTCTTTAAAATCCTATTTGTATAGCAGCCCCTGCCTTTTTATGTTTTCTGTTTGTTTGGTAGATTTTTCTCCATCTGTTTATTTTGGCCTATGGGTATCATTGTGTGTGAGATGGGTCTCTCAAAGATAGCATACCATTGGGTTTTGCTTCTTTATCCAACCGGCCACTCTGTGCCTTTTAATTGGGGCATGTAGCCCATTTACATTCAAGGTTAGTATTGATATGTGTGGATGTGATCCTGTCACCATGTTTTTAGTTGGTTATTGTGCAGACTTGCTTGTGTGACCGCTTTATAGTGTCACTGCTTTATGTACTTAAGTGTGTTTTTGTAGTGGCCGGTAATGGTCTTTCCTTTCCATATTTAGCACTTCCTTCAGGACCTCTTGTAAAGCAGGTCTGGTGGTGACAAATTCCCCTAACATTTGCTTGTTCAAAAAGCATCTTATTTCTCCTTTGCTTATGAAGCTTAGATTGGCTGGACATGGAATTCTTGTTATAATTTTTTTTTCTTTTGAATGTTGAATACAGGTCCCCAATCTCTTCTGGCTTGTAGGGTTTCTGCTGACAGGTCTGCTGTTAGTCTGATGGAGTTCACTTTGTAGGTGACCTGCTCCTTCTCTCTAGCTGCCTTTAACATTTTTTCTTTCATTTTTGACATCGGAGAATCTGATGACTATCTTGGGCATGGCCTTCTTTTGTAGTATTTCATAGGTGTTCTCTGCATTTCCTGAATTTGAAAGACACATACATACATATGTTCATCACAGCGCTATTCACAATAGCAAAGACACGGAATCAACCTAAATGCCCATCAGTGGTAGACTGGATTTTTAAAAAGTGGTACATATACACAATGTAATACTGTGCAGTCATGAAAAAGCAGGGGATCATGTCTTTTGCAGTAACATGTATGGATCCACAGGCTATTATCCTAAGCAAACTAATACAGAAACAGAAAACCAAATATTTCATGTTCTCGCTTATAAGTGGGAGCTAAACTTCGAGTACATATGGACACAAAGAAGGGAACAATAGACGCTGGATCCTGCTTGAGTGGGGAGGAGGATGAGGGTCGAAAAACTACTTACTGTGTACTATACTTATTACCTGGGTGAGAAAATAATCTGTACACCAAACCCCTGAGACATGTAATTTACTTATATGAAAAACCTGCCTGTGTATCCCTGAACCTAAAATAAAAGTTAAAAAAAATCACAATCAAATGTTGTTAACTTGTTAGGCACATGTTTATCTTTTACCAAACAGTTTATATTGTGAATAAACATATTGCCAAAATCATTAAAAAATTACAATCCCACTTGGTTTTATAGGAATTGCCTAAAGAGGTCCTTAGTTGGTTGGACTGAAGTCTTAATGATATGTTGATGATTACCAAGATCATGTTTCAATTTTACTCTACCAGATGGTTTCTGATGCCTCAGATCAGAGTGAATGTCCTAGGTTCAATTCATTAGTAGGTGTTGCTTTTAGATTGGATAAGCCCAATTAAAGTAGGTCTAAACTAAGGAATATGTAGTACCTGGTGGTACTATTTTGAGAAGACTCCTCTTTACTACTCCGTAAAAATACCTTTTTTACCAGGTCTCTGATGCCTAAAAGTTTATCTTTGTGGTTTTATTTATTTAAGTTAGACATTGTACCTGGCAATCAACCTTTGTATTAGTTAGTCATTGCTGTGTAACAAAACATTCCAAGACTTGATGGCTTAAGAAAACCACTTATTGTTTGTGATTCTGTGGGTTGATAATTTGGGCAGGGTTTAGCTGGGATGTCTCTTCTCTATTCCATGTGCCCACTCATGCTTTTGTGGTCAGCTGGCAAGCCAGCTGGGGACTGCCGGGTCCTGGATGACCCCTCTTATATTGCTGGCAGTTAGCTGGAGTGATGGGGGCAACTAAGCCACATGTCTCTCTTCATCCAGCAGACCAGTCGGGGCTTCTTCCCACGATTGTAGGGTTCCGAAAGCAGCAACAGAACACAAGGTCCCATATGCATGCTCTCTTTAAAGCTGCTTCTTCTGTTGTTTGCCAATGTCCCAGTGGCATGAGCAAGTCACAGGGCCAAGCTTATAGACTCTGTTTCTTGATAGGAGGAGCTGCACAGAACTTGTAGCTATTTTTTTTTCAATCTACCATAACCTTAAACCTAAATATGTGAAGAATGTGATGTGATGTGTCTGTGTGTGTGTGTGCACGTGTGTGTGTGTGTGTGTGTGTGTATATATATATATATATAAATTGTCTCTATATATGTAAGCAGATTTGAGGAGAAAGAAAGTTGAAAAACAGTGTTTAATCTTTGGTTGCTTGAAAAGAAATGGTGAGGTCCCCTGAACTTGCCTACTCAAGTGATAAGGAATGTCTAGGAGAAAACTTCTTTACTTACCTCATAATTCCATATAGATTGAGCCTTGTTCCTGGCTTTATTTCAAAGAAGTTTCATTTTTCCCTTCAGGTTATTAACATATATATTCTCCTAGAATCTTAAGTCACCAAATAAAAACACACTTCTGATTTTTCACTGCTTTATCAACTCTTAAATGAACAAATGCTGTGTGTTTAGGCATCCTTAATTTAATAAAGAAAGTTGGAAGAGAATTCAGAATTTACTCATATAATTGAGTTGTCATTTCTGATTTATTTACATTTTGAAATTTTCTTTGTAATCCAGTTGCATCAAGGCTGAATTTCCCCATGAAATTCTTTAGCTGAAGTCCTGACTGTCAGCTTCAGCCCTTGGGCATTTGTAGCCCTTAGGGATAGTGGCCAAGTGGAAGGTGTGTGCTTCTAAAACTGTTCTTAAAGGATCATGAGAAATTTCCCTGGTGTTTAACAATATTTAGGATTTAGCATATTTACTCGAGAATGGCAATGACTAATAGAAAGCTTAGAGGATGACACGATTGCATTGTGCCTGTGAATGTCCCCAGTGATAGGGGAATGAAAGTAAATACAGCCAGAAAGATAATCGTGGTCTGCATTGTGGACTCCGTGTACCAAAATTTTCTGGAATAATCCCAGTCACAGTATTTTGTTTTCCATCACACAAATACTTTGCTACCAAACTATGTATCTATGAGGCCACCTCTGATATATAATTGGAAACAGCGCAACTTTGTCAGATCATGGTTCCCAATTTTTGGTTTGCAAAAATTGTTACCTTAGATTGTTTATGCTTTTTTCTTTCTTTCCTTTTTAAAGTAGAGCTTTTATGTTTTATTCAAAATATATTTTAAAAGATAAGCAACATAAATTACCTTCAGAGCAAATTTTCGGCAAGATAATTAGGAATGCAAAAAGCTAATTCACAAATGTCTAGTATATGATAGTCAATTTGAAACACACTTAATCTTTACAAAACTATAATATTATTTTTAATATTACCTACTGGTCTGTATGTTACTCAAAATCTTAATCTTGGTGCTGTATTAAATACTTCTAATATCTTCCATTTTCTGACATTCCTTTCTGCAAAAATATTATTCCTGTGGGTTAAGGAAGCTAGATCAGAGATGTGGGAAAAATTGCCCTCACGAATTTGAATATGAACTTGTTTATCCTCATTCCGCTTAGGCATGTGTGACTCCTAGTCATACAGTGAGGAACTAGAACACATTGTGCCACAGCTATATCCTTATTACTTTCCCTCATTCTGGCCTTTCTTTTCCAATACGTCATTTGTTGTCACTTTGGGATTCCTTTGTGTTACTTTTTTCCCTTATGTAAACCTCGAGAGGAGGGTAGCTTCCTTTAGTCCATGTGCCGATGGCTGGTAGATCATTTGACTATATGTTTCACTGTTGGTTTATTTATATGCCCATAGCTGGTACATGTTCTGACCATATGTTTTGCGGTTGGATTAGTTAAACGCGCTTAGGAGATGCCATGGCTGTTAAAATACAAAACCGGCTGGGCACGGTGGCTCACGCCTGTAATCCCAGCACTTTGGGAGGCCAAGGCGGACGGATCACATAGTCAGGAGTTCGAGACCAGCCTGACCAACATGGTGAAACCCTGTCTCTCCTAAAATTACAAAAATTAGTCAGGTACGGTGGCAGGCACCTGTAATCCCAGCTACTCAGGAGGCTAAGGCAGGAGAATTGTTTGAACTCAGGAGACGGAAGTTGCAGTGACCCTAGATTGCGCCTTTGCACTCCAGCCTGGGCGACAGAGTGAAACTCCATCTCAAAACAACAACAACAACAACAACAACAAAACACAAAAAATCCCATAACCACACTATATGTAGCATTTTCCTTGGACAACCCCTACCATTTCCCCGCATTTGTGAGAGTCAGAGATTGTGGGAGACGTTGTATACTTTTCTATTCTATAGCTTAGTGGCTCTCAAACTTGAGTGCTCATCAGAACCATGTTAGAGGGTTTAAGTCATGGAGTTCTGGGCCCTACCCTTAGAGTCCCTGAATCAGCGGGTCTTGAGTGTGACCTGAGAACACGCATTTCTAACTAGTTCCCAGGTGGTGTTGATGCTGCTGGTCTGGGGACTGCACTGAGACCCAAGTGTGATGAGTGCGGATACCTCAAATGAATGTCTATTAGTAACTAAGAGGTCAACTAAACCAAATTTAACCAATTGATTGTGAAATAAATTAAAAGGAAATAAACATTTTAAAACTCTTCTATACTTTTATACCGTTTAAAATTTCTCTTTGTTAGTATGCATACTTGTGTAAAAGTAATTATCTAGGTTTTATTTTCTCTTCAAAGTGCCATAATAGAGTCTTAGTCTTTGATTTTCCCCCCTCCCACCCATTTGTTGCCTTTGCTGGCCCCAGCACCCATCTTTGTGCATCCCATAATGAAAAACTTCTGGAATGTGAGGGTGTATGTCTACCTTTGCTTTTCTAAACTTTCTTATCATCTTCCTCACCTCAATTATAAACCAGCCATTTTTATGTGTTTATAAACATGCTAGATAATCAATTGAGGGTATGGGATTATTTTATTAAAATGCTTTTCTTACTGTTTATATGTAAACACACATAGCACAATAATCTTTAACTCAAATTATAAAATATTATTTTGTCATTATACTTAGTATTTAATCTTGGTGCTTTAATCATGGTATTACAAACATTTGCATTAAAAATATTTTAAATAAAAAGTAAGAAAAATAGGCCACTTTACAATGGATAATTTAAACTGTAGACACCATATGTTTATAGAGGACATATTGGTGAATTTGCAAGCTGTAGAGAAATATTTGAATGTTATGTTTTATTATTAAAGGGAATGGGATTTCTTCTTTAAATATAACCTGGCAGATTCATTTGCATCCCTCTGTGCCATCTATTTCCTTTTGTAAAAGACATCTTTTTTTTCTTTTTTTTTAATTATTATTATACTTTAAGTTTTAGGGTACATGTGCACAATGTGCAGGTTAGTTACATATGTATACATGTGCCATGCTGATGTGCTGCACCCATTAACTCGTCATTTAGCATTAGGTATATCTCCTAATGCTATCCCTCCCCCCTCCCCACACTTATCTTTTTAGTCCTCCTCTTTTGTTAAACTCCTGAGTAACTTTTTTTTTTTCCTTTTTCACTTGCCTAGATAATAAGTAGAATCCACCCTCTAGTGGCCAAAAGCAACATTAAAAAAAAAAGTCATAAGACATAGCTAAAACATTGTGAAGAGATTGATTTTTCTCAGTGTGACTAGTTTGTAACCTAGTCCTGAAGCCAATTCCAAGAGAAAGCTTTCAGAAATGTTTAGATCAACATGGCTAGAAAGATTCCCCAGATGATGGACAAGTTTAAAGTCAAAGGCCTTTAGACACTGTTTCCGTTAAAGCAGGTTCACTGCCAATTTCTCCTGGCTTCCAGTGTCCTTCATAAGCACAGTCACAAGTGAGCTGTCGTCTTCCATATAGTCCCAGATTTTCTTAAATGTTTTTGAGGGAGAATGCTCATTTTTAAGGAGATAACTCCAGATAGTGGTCGTTTGGTTTTTACTGTATATTTAAGAACTGTTTCCTTTCCAAATATAAATTAATTATGATTTACACTCAGTACATCTACAGAAGTTACAGAATTTTTAACATCTTCAAAGATTTTCTTTTCTGCATATTAAAAAGTATAATTCTTCTTTTAAAAAACAATTTCTTTACTAGCAGTGCGTTTATTATAATGTCTGTTCCCTGCATCTCAGAAAATCTCCTCTAATAAGTCTAGTCTTTTCCCTTTATAGACTATAGGAAATGTTCTTATCTCTCCACTAAAAAAATATTTTAAAAAGTTAGGGTTTTTCTAATATTATCTGTTTTCCTTACTGCCAATCAAGGGTTAGACATAAAGAATGGTCATCATTTCCCTTGTAATCGGTGACATAATTTAGAGTTGTGTTACTACAAATAAAATACCCATAAAACATGTGTATTAGTCAGGGTTCTCTACAGGGACAGAATTAATGGAATATATATATATATATATATTTACTAAGTATTAAGTCACACGATCACAAGGTCACATAATAGGCCATCTGCAGGCTGAGGAGCAAAGAGAGCCAGTCCGAGTTCCAAAACTGAAGAACTTGTAGTCTGATGTTCGAGGGCAGGAAGCATCCAGCACGGGAGAAAGATGTAGGCTGGGAGGCTAGGTCACAGTCTCTCTTTTCACATTTTTCTGCCTGCTTATATTCTAGTCATGCTAGCAGCTGATTAGCTGGTGCCCACTCAGATTAAGGGTGGATCTGCCTTTCCCAGCCCACTGACTCAAATGTTAATCTCCTTTGGCAACAGACTCACAGACACAGCTAGAATCAATACTTTGTATCCTTCAATCCAATCAAGTTGACACTCAGTATTAACCATCAGTTAATCAGTATTAACCATCACAGCATGGATGATATTACCCGCTTATATCACACAATAACATATCTCTGTTAATGGAAAATTAGAAAACATGAATATACATATTTAAATTAATAAAAGAATCCCTTAACAAAACAATTGTCAATTTTGGAAGATGTTTTTCCAAGCCTTTTAATGCATGTTTGTGCAAAACAGGCACTGGTAAAGAAAAGAACTCTTCTGTATTTATGTATGCAAAGGTTATTTGGCCCTCTGATTCTATTTTTCTAGCAAATTCAATTTACCCAGTTTGATCAAGCATCTTCTATATTCCTCAACCTGTGTGCTAAGGAAATGAGAGGAGAACAGCCTGTTGTTAAAGAGAAAATGCAGAGTTTGGAATCAAATATTGAGCAGTGAATCGAAGTTTTACTGCCAAGCAGGAAACCAGATCCAGCCCCGAGGTTAATCTCAGGGGATGGGGCTATGAAAAGGAAAAAGGGTAGGTTTTAAAAAGCCAAACATAAACAGGCTGTTTCGTATTGGAAAAATTTAGATCTTCAAGTTCCTGGGTGGTGAAATCTGGGCTAATCAGCCAGGCACCATGTCAGTGCTGAGCTGGTGCTATTGTGCTTCTCTAGTAAGCGGTCTTTGCTGACCATGTGAAACTATGGCTCAGGGTAATGGCGTCCTTCAGGGCTATGGTGCTTAGGGCCTTTGCTGTGTCTGCAAGGTGGGCACCTATTTCAGAAGTACGGCACCCAGGTTGTCTTTTAAAATCACGTTTGCCTCACAGGCCAGGTGACCACACATCACATCATGATGTGCTTACGCCAGGCATTGTGCTTAATGCTTCCCTTGTGTTACCACCTCACGGACAATGCCAGGCCCGTGTCCTCCTAAGGGAGAGGCAGAAACTCCTCCTTTTATAAGTATCCTCTGTTGCCACAAGTGCCCATGAATGGCCTTAATGGAAGATGTGACACACTGGCACTGAGCTGCAACTGTATGCCTGATGGTCCAGTGCTCCCCATCTAGAAACACTCTCAATACTGAGTTACAAAAAGTACTTAATAAAAAGAAAATAGCATCAAATACATTTTATTTTAATAAGGGAAGCAAGAATATGTATTTCACTTGGGAAGCAAGAATCCTGCTGTGTCCCATTGTCTCTCAAACTCTCACATTGTACCCCCAGCCCCCATATGCTCCACCATCTTGGTGACCCTCCAAGGGCAGTGCTCAAGGTCATTACGCCAGTTGGAGACATCACTCTGCAGGGGCCCACAACATTTCTGGCAGCGACCTTGCTGTCTGCCCAGTGTAATTCCATCATGTTCTGGACCAGTTTTTCTTTCTCTCTATTTTATCTTTTTGGCTTTTTCTCTTTCTATGTCTCTTTCTCTGTTTCTTTTCTGTCTCCATCTTGATAACTCTGGGTCTCTCTTTTGCTCTTCCTCTCTACCCATCCCATGCTCCCCTGATCCTGCTCTCTCTTTTTCTGCCCTCCCTCCACCTCTGACTTCTTGTGTCTTCTTACATAAGGCCTTTCTTTCTTAACTACAGCACAATTGAACCCCTCAGCAACTAGTTCAATGCTTGGCTATATAGTCAGATTTCAGCAAATACTCATTAAAATGAACTGATTTTTTTTTTTTTCAAATCACTTCCGTTTTTCTGGGAGAACCTGTCAATTCTTTTTGTTCAATTAAGATCTGCTTCTTCTAGAATATGGTTCCCTTCCACTCCATTCCCCTCCCCAGCCCCTTCCTTCTAATGAGCTTCTGTTGTATTTTAAAGTGCCTAGAAGAGAAATTGGCCCATAGAAGGGGACTCAATAAATGTCAATTCCTGCACTCCTTTGAAAGAAATTGCAGTATCTCTGGACAAAACAGCCAGGAATCTGGGCCTCCCCTTCCACCTCTCCTTCCTTCTCACCCTTCACATTCTATTCATTACCAGGTATTTCTATTTACTGTTTAAATGGCTCTTGACATTTATATTCCACATGGCCCTGTCACCACTCTCATCCCAGCCGTGATTTCCCGAGACGATTGCAGCAGCCTCTTCACTGATTTCTCCACATTGATTCTTGCAGGTCTTATCCCCATTCTCCAAAGGGTAGCTGGAGCAATCTCTCTGAAATGCAAATCTGATTTTGTATCCCCCCACCACCCACATGAAAGATACCACCAGGCCTGACACCTGCCTGTTTCTCTTTTCTTTTCTTTTTTTCTCTTTTTTTTTTTTTTTTTTGAGATGGAATCTCGCTCTGTCACCCAGGCTAGAATGCAGTGGTGCGATCCCAGCTCACTGCAACCTCTGCCTCCCGGGTTCAAGCAATTCTCCCGCCTCAGCCTCCCAAGTAGCTGGGACTATAGGTGTGTGCCACCACGCCTGGCTAATTTTTGCATTTTTAGTAGAGACGAGATTTCACCATGTTGGTCAGGCTGGTCTCGAACTCCTGACCTCGTGATCTGCCCGCCTCAGCCTCCCAAAGTGCTGGGATTACAGGCGTGAGCCACCATGCCCAGCCCAGTGTTCTTATTTCTTCTCTGCCCTTTGCTCTACAGTGGGTTGCAATCCATGTCTGGAACAAATCACAAGCCGTGGTCCCTCTACCGTGGGTCTTTTGCACCCACAGCTTTTCCTGCCTTGAATTTTCTCATCATTCTTCTGCACACCCCTCCCTCTTAGCTCACTTTCCCCTCTTCCTGGCAGCCTCCCTGGGGCAAGGTCAGCTCTCCTGCATCTCCTCCCTCTCCTCCCTCCTGGAACACCAGGCCCCTCATTGCTTATACTTCCCAGTTATGATTTTCCATTGACTTGAATGATTGATTGATGTTTTTCCCCTCATAAGCGCCCCAGTAAAGGCACTTTATCTGTTTTTACTCACCAGATAGCCCCAGTGACTAGCACAGTGCCTGACACATAGCAGGCATTGAATAACTATTTGTTGACTTAAAGAATGAATCGATCAAGGAGGCAAATATGAGAAACAGAGAATTACCAACCTTCCCCATGTGGCTATTAAAGCCAGAGAGCCTCTGCACTGAGGGAGAATATAAACTCATGGTGTGAACAGTGAGGATATGATTTAGAGCTGGCTTTTCATCATCCATCCTTTTGGAAGCCCAGGGAGGGAGATGGAAATTTGTAGATGGCTCAGTAACATAAATAATAGGGAGGTTTTACAGTCAAAAACTTTAATTTAGCCTCTGTCTTTAGTCCTTTCAATTTAATGTTTATAAAAATCACAGCAAGTGAAAATATTGACTGATTTGGGTCTTCTGACATTTATTTTCTTTTCTGGCTTAGTTGCCATGAGCAATAAAAGGATAAGAAATTAGAGACTAAAGAAATAAGAAACATCAGCAGCTATTGTCTGCCACACACCAACGAATGCTCTGCATTGACTTACACAACTTCCTCCATGTTCACAAGTATTTTCTGGCTTTATTGTGTGTGTTGTGTGTGTGTGTGTGACAGAAGCACGATTACTCAGTGAAAACCTGTGCAGTTATCAAAACCAGCAGGTTCGTTTAAACGAGAGCATCTGAACACTTAATAGGATTAATGTGAGCCCAGATGCTTGCCTCTGTTCTTATTTCTGTTCTTTAATCGATTTCTATTATGAACCTGCCAGCAACAAGAGAGGCTAAGGGAGATAGATGCACACACTCACTCACACACACACGCACCCACACAGATTCCCTTGAAATAAAGCTCTACACAGCAAAATGAATGCATCTTGTCCCACATTCCAGAGCGCCAAAGGGCTCTATGACCACCAGTGAGTTTAGCCAGAATTTGAAAGCTCACAATCATGTTAATATAATAGGATTATTTTCTCTGTGACCCATATCTTTTTTTTTTTTTTTTTTTTTTTTGAGATGGAGTCTCGCTCTGTCACCCAGGCTGGAGTGCAGTGGCGCAATCTTGGCTCATTGCAAGCTCTGCCTCCTGGGTTCACGCCATTCTCCTGCCTCAGCCTCTGGAGTAGCTGGGACTACAGGCACCCGCCACCACGCCCAGCTAATTTTTTGTATTTTTAGTAGAGACAGGGTTTCACAGTATTAGCCAGGATGGTCTCGATCTCCTGACCTTGTGATCCATCCGCCTCGGCCTCCCAAAGTGCTGGGATTATAGGTGTGAACCACCGCGCCCGGCCCCCATATCTTTAACTACTATGGGTGAGGTGGAATATTTGATCTCCCAGGAACTGGCCTAGACTTGAATCAGAAAGTCATGGGTTTTCACATTTTATCCACTCATGCTGAAAAGAAGGGAAAACATCCTTTGAGTTGTGTTGCATCATTAAAGGAACCACTCTTCACAGCCCTGCACTCACTTCAGCCTGACTATAAAGTAAAAACAAATAAAAGCCCCAAACACCGTAAATTCACTCTTGCCTTGAATTCAGTCTGTACGAGGGGAGTGAGTGGCATGACCTCCCCCTGGTTGTCCTGATCACAGCACCATGGTCTTCGAAGGTCCTGTTTGCCTGAGGCAGCAGGAAGCACAAATCACGCTCCAGAGGTGATACTGACAGATGAGTCGCTGGGAATTTGTTGCACGAAGTGTGAAAGCCATCTGGCTACAGCTAGAATCTTACAGTTTTGGATATTTTTGAGTGTGATGAGGGACGGGCGGGGAGAGGGAAAGTACTCCTGTGAGCAAACACACTGTGGAACCAGAGCCGGTGGGTCCTGGATTGATGTTTAAATCCTGCCTTGCGACAGTGTTGAGAGGGAAGATGGTGAAAGGCCATGGAAGGCTTTGCCTTTTACTGGGGAGAGTAGGAATTGAGTGACTCTTAAGACCTTTATGCAGCAAAGTGTCCTGTTCTGGAGCAGGTCAGGGTCTGTGGGCTGGAATCTGGGCTCCACCGTGCCTTTGCTGAACTGGTCAAGGCTGTAGGGCTGTGGTCTTTTCATGTGAAAAGTAGGAAGAGCACTAGCTAGAAACCAGCTTCACCATGTGGCTGGAGGCTTCATAGGGGGCACAGAGAGGAGTCCCAATCCAAGGACACAGCATTCAACAGGGTTCTCGTTAGCTCAAAAATCACCAGGCAGGTTCTCCCTTCTTACTCCGCTCTATCTCATTTGCTTGGTATGAGCCAGTCCCAGATATACCCAGGGCCTGTTTCCTTCTGTGGGATAGCAGTACAGGAGAGAGTCACCCCATGGACTGTGTTATGTCAAACCCACAAGGGCAGAAGCCCTCCTAGGTATTGTCCAGAAATCCTTTTGCTCTGATGAATGAACTCTCACCCTTCACAACAATTTGAAACCCTCATGTTCTCAAATCTCTTCAAGTTGTTTTCATCTTATAAAAAGGATCTAGAACAGTGGTTCTCCAAAAGGGATTTTTGTCTTCCAGGGGACATATGACAATGGGGACATTTTTAATCATTACACCTGGGAAGGATGGTATTATTGGAATCTATTGTGTAGAGGTCAGGGATGCGACTCAACATTCTACAGTGCACAGGGAAGCTCCCCGCGATTATGATCTGGTCCAAAATACCAACAGTCTTGTGACTGAGAAACTCAGATTCTAGGTGTTAAGGACTAAATTAGGCCCTCCACCCCAAATTCATATGTTGAAGTTGTAACCTCCAATGTCTTTGGAGATAGGGCCTTTAAAGAGGTAATTAAGGTTCAATGAGATTATAAGGGTAGGGCTGTAATACAATAGCACCGGTGTCCTTATGAGAAGCACTCACACACAGAGAAAAGGACATGTGAGGACTCATAGAGAAGGCGGCCGTCTGCAAGCCAAGGGGAGAGGCCTCAGGGGAAACCATACCTGTTGACACCTTGACATGGACTTCTAGCCTCCAAAACTCTGGGAAAATAAGTTTTTGTTTAATTCAACCAGTGCTATAGTATTTTCATGGGAGCCCTAATAAACTAACATACTAGACAATGCGTTTGGAGGCAACATGGGAAAGAAGGAAGAACACACAGGATTGACTACATGGCTTTGGGCAAATTTCTTTACCTCTCTAACTCTTAATTCCTCATCTATAAATTGGGATGATTCATGCCCATCGCCTTGGGTTTTTATGAGAATTAAACAAGTTAACACATCTAAAGGGCCTGACATAAGGCAGATGCTGCTAACTTGCTACCACACTGGATGCTCCGTGTAGGTGGAGACCCTGTTCTTTAGCTTTGTAGGCAGTACCCAGGGCACCTGGAAGGTCCTGGAGCACCATGGAAACATTTTAAAAGTGCATCGAATCAATTGATAACATTTTGGGTGCTTATGTAACAGTTTTATTTGTGTAGCCTTTTCCGACACAGATACCACAGGTACAGCTGTGAATACTGCGTTTGCAGACTCTACCCTCAAGCTTATCCTGTAGTGGAGGAAGAGACGTGATAATCAAGTAAAGAACTATGATAAAAATAGGATTTCAGACAGTTACAAATGCTACGATGGAAATCAGCTGAGTGTCGTGATGAGTTGCTGGTGGGAAGAGCTACTGTAAATAGCATTGTCAGAAAACTATCTGAGGAAGTGATTTTTGTTGATGTTTTTGTTTTATGGATATAGATATTCTTTATTGGAGATTTAAATTCCACTAGAGCTGTTGTTCTTGTGAAGTGTTTTTTTAAAATGATAAATAATTCTTGGTACAATCTTCTCTTGGTTTATCAAGTAGTACATTCTAGGAAAACTCAGTATATCTTTTTTTTTTTTTTTTTGAGATGTAGTCTCGCTCTATCTCCCAGGCTGGAGTGCAGTGGCACAATCTTGGTGCACTGCAACCTCTGCCTCACAGGTTCAAGTGATTCATGTGTCACAGCCTCCCAAGTAGCTGGGATTACAGGCGCCCACCACCACGCCTGGCTACTTTTTGTATTTTTAGTAGAGATGGGGTTTCACCATGTTGATCAGGCTGGTCTTGAACTCCTGACCTCAAGTGATCCACCTGCCTCAGCCTCCCAAAGTGCTGGGATTACAGGGGTGAGCCACTGTGCCCGGCTTAAAACTCAGTATATCTTAAAATGGTGCTGTACATATAAAGAAGTTAGGTTTTAGTTTGGGAAAGTTATCAACAGGGTTTTTGCCTACATGAGGGTCCAGTGGAACAGTCCATTGTTGTGAAGAATGAGGAGGCATTCTTTGTTGTGCAGGAATATCCAGGGCATTGCAATATTTAATAACTTTGCCCTCTCCCACCCTCCTAAATTCCAGTAGAACCCTCCAATCATTGCATAAGGATCACTCCCACCCCTAATTTTCTCTAAACACCATCTAAGGGCTAGCACAGCCACCATTAAGAACCATGGTTTTGAGGGTGTTCAGTGACCTCCTCATTTTCTAGTCCAGTGGTCATTCTTGCTCATTAGAGCCTCTGACACTGCTAACCCACCTTCCTTGATATCCTTTCATCCTCTGGCTTCCATGGCACTGCATGCCTTGGGCTTTTCTCCTCCTTTTTGCCCAATCCTTGTCCAGTGTCTTGATCTGGCTCTTTGTTCTCCACCTGCCCATGTGGTCTGACCTTGACCCCTTCTTTTTTCCCTTCCATTTTCTTCTTTCCCTTCCATTTTCTTCTTTAATGAAAATTTCAAAACCACTTCCAGGCAACTAATTCCCAAAGTGCTCTTTCTAAGCCATTTACACGCATACTTCCAACTGCCACTTGGACCTGCCCAAGTGTGCCCAATCTAAACACGTCCAAAGTTAAACTGGTCTTCTTCTAAGCCTGTTTTTCCTCCTCTAAGTCTGTTTTTCCTTTGGTGGTACCTCTTGGTGATAATGACTTCATCCGCTCACTCAGCTAGACATGGCAGCCATCTCCACCGCTCTTTCTCACTCCCCCCATCTGGTTGGTTGCTGTGCCCCGTCAATCCGAAAGAAATAAGGGGAACTGATTATTCGGGAGCAAATCATGCAAAGATGGGAGCAGTGCTGATAAAGATCAGTGCCTTGGAAAGGGCCACTCTGATCCCACCCTTTGATTGTTTATTTTATTTTTAAAAAATCTTTGGATTAGCCTAATTTTTTTTCAGACACTGGGCATACTGCCCTGAGCTAATTTGTTTGCCTGAATTAATTATCAGCAGGGGGTGATAGCCTCATTTTCACAGAAGCCCTCTCTTTTGGAAGGAGTGCCTTTTTATTCAAATCGTCCGATTGAGGCTGCTTGGCACTGAGTATAAAGGGTGCCTTGACATTTCCATGAAGACATTTAAATGTTACCGTCTCTGAAGAAACGGTTTTAGAATATGAAAACTTTATCTTTTTTCCCCCCCAAGGAAGAAAAACATCACCAGCTTAATTATCTCTGTAAAATAACTTCCTCATTTGCTTTTCATATTGCTAGTATAAAAAGATAATGATACTGTTTTCAAAAATGGAAACAATTAAAGATGATCTTGCAAAACTTGCTTGTTTGATTTTTGTCTATTTAAATGCCACCTCAATTCAGAGGTCAAAGATGCATGCAGGGTTATGGTTATATATTACCCTTCCATGTTGATTGTTAAAAGATCTCCTAGGAGGGCAAATGCAATTGAAAAGGTGCTGCTGGTGATTGTACTCCACAATGACCTCAAAAAGCTTCTCATATTAGGAGAAGCAAAAGACACTTAACTCTTTACATATACATGGATATATATGTATATATTTTTACTCTCTCTCCCACTTTCTCTCTCTCTCTCTCTCTATATATATATATATATTTCATGTTGTATGTTTTTTACCACTATATATATTTTTTATGTTGTGTATTTTTTACCCACTATATATATAGTAGGTAAAATATAGATATAGAGATATAGATATAGATATACAGATAGTGGTAAAATATATATCTGTATATAATAGTGGTTAAAATATGTATATTTAATAATACATATATATTTATATATATAGTGGTAAAAAAACACAGCATTAAATGTACCTTCTTAACAAATGTTTAAGTATACATTACAGTATTATTTACCATACACACACTGTTTTCCAGCAGATATCTGGAACTTATTCATCTTGCATAACATCTTGCATAGTTAAATAGCAGCTCTCCATTTTTCCCCTTCCGCAGACCCTGGCAATCATCATCATTCTACTTTCTGCTTCTGTGAGTTTGACTATTTTAAAAATACATCATATAGGTGGAACCATACAGTATTTGTCCTTCTGTGACTGGCTTATTTCATGTAATGTAATGTCCTGAAGGTTCATCCATATTGTAGCACATGACAAGATTTTCTTCCTTTTTAAGGCTGAATAATATTCCATTGTATTATGTACCACTTTTGCTTGACCTGTCCGTTCTTCTGTCAATGGACATCAAGTTGTTTGTACTTCTTGGTTATTGTGAATAATGCTGCAATGAACATGAGAGTGCTATTACCTTCTCCAGATCCTGTTTTCGATTCTTTTGGTTGAGTACCCAGCAATGGAATTGCTGGATCATGTGGTGGTTCTATTTTTTATTTTTTGAGGAACCTCTGTAGTTTTTCATAGCAGCTGTACCATTTTACCTTCCTACCAACAGTGCACAAAGGTTCCAATTTCTTCAAATCTGCCCCAACACTTGTTATTTTCTGTTTTTGTTTGTTTTGTTTTGTTTTTTATAATGGCCATCCTAATGGGTGTGAAGTGATATTTTGTTATGATTTTAATTTGCATTTCCCTGATTTTTAGTGATGTTGATTAGTGATGTTATTTTCATATGCCTGTTGGCCATTTGTATTATTTTGTACCTTACATAACTGCCAACTCAAAATGGACTAAAAGCTTAGATGTAAGGCCTGGAAGTATAAAACTTCTAGAAGAAAACGTAGGGGAAAAACTTCATAACATTGGCCTTAGGAATGACTTCTTGGATATGATATCCGAGGTACAGGCAACAAAAGCACAAATATACAAGTGGTGCTTCAAACTTAAAAGGTTCTGCATAACAAAGGAACAATCAACAGCATGAAAAGGTGACCTATGGAATGGCAGAAAATATTTGCAAACAATACATTTGATAAGGGGTTAATATCCAAAACTCTTGTTAAAAGAAAGATCTTTCATTGAATCTAAATCAAGAATCAGCAAACTTGTTCTGCGCAAAGGGCCAGACAGTAAATATTTAGGCTTTGCAGGCCATATGGTCTCTGTTGCAACCACTCAGTCCTCTGTTGTAGTGTTAAAACGGCCATAGACAATATGTAAATGCATGACTGTGGCTGTGTCCCAATAAAACTTTATTTGCAAAAACAGGCTGGGATAGATTTCATCTGTGGGCCATAGTTTGCTGACCCCTGGTCTAGAACAGAGTTTCTCAACCTGGCTGTATTGTTATTTTTTTCTGGATAGTCTTGTTGTGAGAGGCTGTCCTGCGCAGCCTCCTGTAGAACTGTAGGATGCTTAGCAGCACTCTTGACTCTGCCTACTAGATGCCAGCAGCAACCCCTCCCCCTGCCTCCAGTTGTGACAACGAAAAATGTCTCCAAACATTTTCAAATGTCCTTTGGGGGACAAAATTGCTGCTAGTTGAGTACCTCTTATCTACATGATGAAAATAATCTAATGAAGGGTAATAGAAATATTTCCCTAAAGTTACAAAAAGTAGGGTAACATACTACTTTTCAGAAGAATTGAAAACTATAGTATATTTGTCTTAGGTAGGTCAAGGGCTCCTCAAAGGGGCCATTATCACAACCTAAATTTGGAAAGCTGTTCAAAAACAACTGAAATGGCAACATATTTGAAAAGTGCTCTGTTAATAATGCAAATATGAGCTTAACCTACTTTTATGATAGGCACAAGAAACAAAGCAGTTCAACATATTAGCATGTTCTAATGGGACTTTCTGAGTTTGAGAGTTGGTTGTGAGCTGGAAAGGCTAGGGAAAAGCTAGTAGTTCTAATTCCTACTTGGATAAGGGCTTATTTTTTCTGCTTATCTGAATTCAGAACGAACACAGTCAGTGTGACTTTTGAAAACACTCACATGTTTTTCATTGTTTGGACAGGGCTGGACAAAAATGGCCTGGTTTCACTGCAAATTGGCAGTAACACATGTTTTCAAAAGTTGAAAACAGCATAACCCTCATGAATGAATCTCAAAGAATGTTGTCTTCTTGTCCTTTAGAATAAACACCTGTTTTGCAAATAGGAGGGTAAAATCCACTTTATCAAGAAATTGTGGGTTTATTTTCTCTTCACTCACATGATTATTTCTTTAGTAATTTAAACATTTAGGTACAATTTAAAATATTATAATTTATATAATCATATCTTTAAACAAGCAATAACAACAAAAATACCCTCACATTTCATCAATAATTTCAGTTAAGCATTTTGAGCTAATTTTCTTTTCTGACTTGAAAAGGAAATACAGATATACTTTTCTAATGTGGCTCTCACACTTTTTGTTTTCTTTTGTTTTTTTTTTGAGATGGAGTTTTGCTCTTGTCGCCCAGGCTGGAGTGCAGTGGTACAATCTTGGCTCACTGCAACCTCTGCCTCCCAGGTTCAAGTGATTCTCCTGCCTCAGCCTACTGAGTAGCTGGGATTACAGGCGCCCGCCACCACGCCTGGCTAATTTTTTGTATTTTTAGTAGAGACAGAGTTTCACCATGTTGGCCAGGCTGGTCTCGAACTCCTGAGCTCAAGTGATCAACCTGCCTCGGTATCCCAAAGTGCTGGGATTACCAGCACTTTGTGGTGGCATGAGCCACCACACCGAGCCAGGTTCTCACTCTTGAAGGGAGCTGTTTGCTCCTCCCCTGCCGTAAATCCTGCTCATTCACTATCTCTGATGGCCACAGCAGACACACTCAGTGACTGGATCACCCTAACACCAGCACTGTTGGATGCACTATGATGAAAATGTCAGTGGATAAATGGAATCACTTCTTTTATACTTGGGATCATGAAAAAGTGTGATAAGAACAGGCGCTTTCTTCATAGCCTTCCCCCAAATCCACCTTTCAACTTTACCCCAAGAGATCTAGCTCCTGAAATCCCATCTGTTTATACCATACTTTCTAATGAATACCCCCAACTGCCTTCCTTGCAGGCTGGTCCCGCGTGGGTTGTAAATGGGATGCATTTGACAGTGGGCCTTTCTCTCTGTCCCTCAGGTTACCATGGCCTCTACTGTGAGGAGGAATATAATGAGTGCCTCTCCGCTCCATGCCTGAATGCAGCCACCTGCAGGGACCTCGTTAATGGCTATGAGTGTGTGTGCCTGGCAGAATACAAAGGTGAGAGGCCGCCTGGCCTTCCTGTGCCAGAATGGCTCTAAATGACGTCATGTATTTCTCAGTGTAAATGCATAAACCTCTAATTGGACCATGAATTGTTCAGAATAACAATCAAATGCTGAAGCTGGCATGATTAATCGGTCCAAGGAGACCAATTTGCAAGTCTCTGGTTTCTTCCTGATAGATTGAGAAACAACCCCCTTTCCTGTCCTGTTCTTTGTGGATCCTCGCTTTCTTTTTTATTGAATGTGTAAAAAGCTGAAAACAAAAAGTAATATTAAGATGGACTGTCAGACATAGGTTAGAGACCATGGCTGTGAAAACTGTGGAAGAGGAAGGATGCCGTCCTATAAAGCTTCTTATGCAGAGATAGAATGCTGTGCTTTCTTGGGGAGGAGGCAGGCGGAGTCCCATGTATCAGCAAGTAAGTTAATGCTTATTAAAAACAGGCGACATTGACAGAGTGTTTCCAATGTGTGGACCCCGTTCTAACCCCTAATGTGCATAGCTCACTAAATCCCCCCGAGAACCCTATGAGGTGGACAGTAATGCTCTTCCCCTATAAGCCTGGTCAGCGTGGTTCCTAAAGCCCTTTCCCAGCATCTTCACTGGCCTCTGGCCACGTTTTGTGGATGGCAAGGCTTCCTGGAGCCCAGATATCCTCAGACGGCCCTGTTCCAGGAGAACCTATTTATCAGCTGTTGCACACATTTCTCTAAGCCATAACTACGGGGCCGGGTTTAGATTTTGGAATGCGTTTGTGGGCTCTATTTATAGCCATTTCATTCAACCGCTTGCTCCTATTGCTGCTTGCTTGATGCCATCCACCTGGCTGGAGACCTTGCATTGCCCTCACCGTTGCTTCTCTTTGGATGAACCTACCTTTATTTAGTAACCTTTTTGGCAAGTCTCATGGCCTTGTAGGCTACACTGAAAACTTGATTAAGCTCCTGGATAAGAGGGCTGAAGCTGGGCCAGGTCTTGACTTTGTGTTCCACAGATCTGATGCTTCTGTTGGAGTATGACGTTCGGTTAGAACCAAACTCCACTAACATCTACCAGGACACAACAGCAGATGTGCTGGCTTCATTCTCAGGCTTCTCAGTTCTGAGTCTATCTATCTATTACCTTTCTCTCTACATATCTTCAACCTCCTTCTTTCCCCTTGCTCCTTTCCATGTGTATAAATATTTTCATGGATTTCTTACTCTGAACAAATGAAGATTCTAGGAAGATGGCAGCTCACATTGACATTCAATATCTCTGATCCCTCCTGACTCTCTGCTAGGGATGGCTCAATAAGGTAGATGACCCTGAATGGGGTCATCTGAAGATTTGGGGTCTCAAGAAAGGGTATGTGTGCTGGGAGCCTTTGCTTAACCACAAGAACAGGGGATGAGGGCTCCAGAGAGAACTGATGACTCAATGAACAGATTAGTCCAAAAAAATCCTTCAGCTTATAGAGAGGAAGTGCATGCTGTAATTGTGCTGCGTCTGACCCTAGGAGGCAGAGGGGTGTACTGATCTCATGGCTACGGGCTGCTGTCTAAGGAAATTGCACAGTAGGCTGAGCTGGCCCCCCCATTTTTTGTGGCCTTGAGAACACCAAACTGGGAGGCCTCTCTCTGCCTCATGCCTTAGTACACAGGGCCCCATTGGCTGCCCATCCATCCCTGAAGGGGAATGTGTTATGTTGTCTGTCTCTGCCAAGATTTCCACCCACTAGCCTGGCCAGTACACTAGCCCACGCCAGCAACTCAGAGAGGGAGAAAAGTTTTGGGAAATAAAAACAAAAATTGCAACAACAGCTCTAAACACTCAAGAAAGGAAGTGAAGAAAGTAATGTACACTACTCAAAATTGAATTTGGATCTGAATAAAAAGGAGGAACTAGTGCATGAGAGAATCAAAATATGAGGAAGTGGAAACCACGAGTGAAAAGACAGGAAACATGGAGAAAAGATTTGAGAGATCTGCTTCTGCCTGAGCGATGGGTGCTCCAGAAGAAGGAGCATGTGGAAATAGAAGCAGAATTAACTAACTCCTAGAAGGAGGTGTCTGTGAGGTGAAGAAAGTCTTATTTTCAAATAGAATGGGCTCACAGGGCAGTAATGGGATTAATGAAGGAGATGATACACAATTTGAGATTTCCTGGTAAAATTTGTAACTGCAAGGATAAAGAGAATTTTTTACAAGATTCTTCGAAGGGATCACAGGTTACATACAGAAGAAAGAGAATCAAATCGGCATTGTACTGCCCCTCTCTATCATGAGGTAAAGAATAGCAGAGCAGCGTTTCAGACTTTTAAATGAAAAGGACTAGGAGTTTGTTGTTTATATTTGAGGGCAAAAGAAAGACATTGCCATACATTCAAGGATACAGAAAATATAGCACCCTATACCCTAAGATAAGTACCTTAATAAGCATCGCCACCAAATAGGAACTAAATCAAAACAAAGATATCCAGATAGGGGAAGATGGAGAATGGAAGGAAGAGATGTATGCCTTTAAATGCAGGCATAAATCTAAATATTTGATATTTATGTGATTGTGAATGGTAATATAATGGTGAAGGAAAGTCTCTTGAAAAAAGTAGATCCGCCTTCTGTATCAGCTATCTATTGCTGCATAACAAATCAGTACCCGGTACTGGCTTAAACAACATGCTTTTATTACCTAACAGTTTCCTAGGTCCAGGTGTGGCTTAGTCAATTCCCAGCTCAGGGGCTCACAAGGGTGAAAGCCAGGTATTGACTGACTGAGCTCTCATCTGAGGCTTGAATAGTGAGAAATCAGCTTCCAAGTCCCCTTAGGTTATTGGCAGAACTTATATCCTCGTGGCTGTAGGATTTGTGACAGCTTGCTCTTTGAAAGCTAGCAACTATGACAGAGACCCCACTGCTTCCAGTCTTGAACTTCCGGGAAGGCCTGGACTTTTTTTTTTTGTGATGGAGTTTCACTCTCATTGCCCAGGCTGGAGTGCAATGGTGTGATCTCGGCTCACACCAACCTCCACCTCCTGGGTTCAAGCGATTCTCCTGCCTCAGCCTCCTGAGTAGCTGGGATTACAGGCATTCACCACCATGCCCAGCTGATTTTGGATTTTTAGTAGAGACAAAGTTTCTCCATGTTGGTCAGGCTGGTCTTGAACTCCCGACCTCAGGTGATCCACCTGTCTTGGCCTCCCGAAGTGCTGGGATTGCAGACATGAGCCACTGCACCCAGCCTGGACCCTCTTAAAGGTCTCACCTGGTTAGGCCAGGCCCACCTGGGAGGAACTCAAAGTCAACTGATTAGGGACCTTAATTGCATCTTCAAAATGTCTTAACTGCCATTTGCTCTTGGTTGGAAGCTCACACTCAAAGGGAGGGAATTACACAAGGGTGTGACTCCCTAGGGGTCACTCTAGGCTGTGTCCACCACTCTTGCTCTTAAGGAAAAATTTCAACAAGTAAAGTGGTTTCATATTATTTAAAACAAAGCCATGTGTTGAAGGGGGTGAGGATAGGAAAGACTGAAAGGCATACAAGTGTGTTAAACATTTCACTCCTGGCTTGGTGTGGTGGCTCGCACCTGTAATCCCAACACTTTGGGAAGCTGCAGTGGGCAGATCACCTGAAGTCAGGAGTTCAAGACCAGACAGTGAAATCCCGTCTCTACTAAAAATACGAAAATTAGCCAGGTGTGGTGGCGGGTGCCTGTAATCTCAGCTACTCAGGAGGCTGAGGCACGGGAACTGCTTGAACCTGGGAGGTAGACGTTGCAGTGAGCTGAGATCACACCACTGCACTCCAGCCTGGGTGACAAATCCAATGGGCAGATAAAGTGTTTATTTAATTTTAGTATATTTATAAAGACTTTTAGGTTTAGGTTTAAATAAGGCTGCTGAAAACAGGGAGGTAAACCCTAGTAATGTAGCAGTAAATGGTAGAACTTCTAAACTAAGAGTGGTGGGGACATGGGGAGGGTAGGTAGAAGGAATTAAAGGAGAGACAGGAGGATCTAATCATGCTCTTCCACCCAGAGGAAGAGTGAGGGGAAGTGAGAGGCCACATGATCCTGTGCTTTTCTCTCCGTGGGGGGATGGACATTTTCCCCCTTTTGGAAATATTTTTGCCAATATATATTTACATATCGTATGTCTGTATACATTCAGGAAACTGTCAGATGGATGGGTTTAAATTCCTAACTAGTACTTACCTGGAGTTAGAACTTAGATAGGTAGTATTTTAGGGATAAAGTTAAGCTTTAACTTTTTACTTTATATATATACTTTTTAAGTGGTAATTTTTACTGCTTAATATTGATATTTTTTAAACTATATATATAGTTTTTATATTTTTAGGAGGATATATATAATATAACTATATATAACACTATATATATAACACCCTCTCTATGTATATATATTTATCCTCCTAAAAAGAATGAGTGCAATAGGGAGTCAGCCAAATATATAGCTAAGAACATTTTGAAAAAGGAAAAAAGGCCGGGGGCGGTGGCTCACACCTGTAATCCTAGCACTTTGGGAGGCTGAGGCCGGCAGATAATGAGGTCAGGAGTTCGAGACCAGCCTGGCTAACATGGTGAAACCCCATCTCTACTAAAAATACAAAAATTAGCCAGGCGCTGTGGCACATGCCTGTAGTCCCAGCTACTCAGGGGGCTGAGGCAGGAGAATCACTTGAACCCGGGAGGCGGAGATTGCAGTGAGCTGAGATCGTGCCATTGCATTCCAGCCTGGGTGACAGAGCGAGACTCCGTCAAAAAAAAAAAAAAAAAAAAAGAAGAAGAAAAAGAAAAAGAAAAGCAATGAGGGGGAACTTCTGCCAGATGTTGAAAAACCCACTATAATGCTGCAATTATTGTTACATTCATATATTACCCTAGCAAGAATGGACAGATAACCAAAACTGAAGAATGGCCCAGAAACCATTGTCTATAATAATAATGTAAGACTCTTAGAGAGGAATTGCTAGGAATGAGAAGGGAATTCTTTTCAAATAAGCCCTTCTAGAAAAACTGGGCTGCTAAAGAAAAAAAAAGTTCTTAGACTTCTAAGTAAATTCCATATAAATAATAATTTTAAAAACCTCTTCTTTGACTTTTTGTGTCCCTGCTGTGCTTAAAGTCCCTTTCTTCCCTTTTGCTTTTTCAACCATGGCTCTTGGCCCTTGTCCACATCATTCCACTAAAAGAGGTTTCAGGAAAATTCATGGTGAAGTAATTGAAGTCATTTGGTGAAATCTATGAAGCCTCCCCTTCCACTTCTGACTCAGCCAGCGTTCCTGTCCCTTTGCCCCACTGAGCCCTGGGGTCCCTCTTGCACGTCGCCTTGCTGTGTCTTCTGCAACTTCATTCCTGACGGGGTTCTCCTCTCTGCCCTCACTAAGTCTTGGTCTCCCAGATGCCATGAATGACGTGGGTCTCCAGGCCCCTTTCTCTCTCCCTCCTCTTTGCTTTCATCCACTCCTATGGCTGTATCCACTGTCTGAAATGTTGACCCCCAAAGAGATGTGGCTTCTTCCTCCTTTAACTCTCTATTTTCTTTCTATTTGCCATGACAATTATGTTTAGCCTTGTATTAAATTCTTTTTGGTTTCAGACTTTCTTCTTCCCTATACTAAATCATAAGCTCTGGAAAGACAGTGACTACATAGGCTCTTTTTCTTTTTAAATTCTCTACAGCTCTTACTATGGTGGCTCGCACAGAACAAATGCTCAATGGCTACCTTTACTTGAGTTAGAACTACTGTTTAACACATGAATTAAGTAAAGGAAACCAACTTAAACATTTTCATGGAATGTAAGTCTTCACTGTAGATTATGGAATTGTTAGAAAGCAAAATTCATGGAGGACCTCTGTGTAACCCGTCTTCAGACAAACCAAAATACTGCTGTGTCCTTCAAAACTAGTTCAAGCCTGGTTTGTGACGGAACGTCTAAGACTTTGTTAAGTGTTCATACCTCATATTGTCAAAAGGTTAAGGAACAGCCCCATAGTGATTGATTTTTATTTCTAGAAGATCCAATGAAATGATCAACAATATATATATTTGAAATTTTTGGTGATACAATTTAGAAAAAAAATTCGATTTTTAATTTTGAAAATAATATAACAATAATAAATATTTAGAAGAAAAGAGAAAATTCATAATTACTCATGTTTTTACAACATAACATGAGCCATAATAATCTGTGTTGCTTCCATTCTGATTTTAGTATCCATGTTTTTACTGTTCAATAATTGAGTATACCTACAATTTTATATTGTTCTGCTCACTCATAATAGGATATTATGTTTGATTTATGTATTGCTAGGAAGTCTTACTAGTTTTATTTTAAATGGCTTTGTAATGTTCCCATGAGAGAATACTTATCCATTGCTTTGTTGTTACATGTGATGTGGGGCTATTACAAATATTTCTGGAATTAATATCTTTACATTGTTTTCCTACTTTCCAGATTTCTTTCTAGGGATAGAGTCTCAGAAATGAGATCACTGGATTATAGATTTAATTACATTGTACATTGTACCTACTTTTTTTTTTGAAACAGAGTCTTGCTCTGTCACCCAGGCTGGAGTGCAATGGCGCTATCTTGGCTCACTGCAACTTCTGTCTCCCTGGTTCAAGCAATCCTCCTGTCTCGGCCTCCTGAGTAGCTGGGATTACAGGTGTGTGCCACCATGCCCGGCTAATTTTTGTATTTTTAGTAGAGACGGGGTTTCACCATGTTGGCCAGGCTGGTCTCGAACTCCTGACCTCAAGTGATCTGCCCGCGTTGGCCTCCCAAAGTGCTGGGATTACCGGCGTGAGCTACTCTGCCTGGCCTGTACCTACTTATTTATTTTTAAAGGCTACAGAAATTTTAATGGGAAGGAAGAGAACTCCTTCTTTGTTGGATAAAGTTATTGCCTTTGCTAGATTCCACTTAGCCAGGGAACAAGAATTTCTGGTTATTTTGTGCACCTAGTCCTTTCAAGTACTGTGATAAATACAAAAAGGATAAGTCAGAGTTTCTTCCTTCTTTGGGCTGTTATTTAACCAGACGAGCAGACTGAGTGACACACACAGGAATAATGAGGCTAAGGCTGAGATGTCAATTGTAATTTCTGAGATGGTTTAGAAAATGTTGAGATCTATAAAGATTGAAATACTGGAAAAAGTTTTCATAGAGGAAGTAAGTTTGGATGAAATGAGACGATGTCTTAAAGTAAATATTAAGTGTAATAACACTTCTTTACTGGCTTCGTTTCTTGGAGATAAAATATTGATTTTCATTTTTCAAATATTAATTGTAACTAAATTTGTTACAACAACAAAGACTTATAATTGGTGTACTGCTTTTTGAATTCTAGCTTATTTCAATTCTAAAATTAACTTCTGTAAAGAATGCTGTTGGAATCAAAGTCTTTTTAGAAACATTTCTTCTCCATCCCTTAATACGAAAAGTATGAATTTTTATTAGTTTTGACTGAATTACAGTTTATTTTTGCTTGAGACTAAACATCAGCTTTGTAATAGTACGTGCTGTGTCTTCTGCCAATGGGTGATGCATGTGTCATTCCACAGACTTAGTTTGAAGTGTGGACCTGGTTTTCTCTGACAAAATAGGGTGTTTTTGAGGCAGATTTGGAATTTGGAATCTCTCCTCTGGCAGCCTCACCTGTGTGTCAGCCAAAGTACACTGGCTGTCGCCCCTCTTGAAAGGATAGGATTCCGGTGTTAGGTCCATAATTTCTTCCACGCATTATGATACGGCCTCTGCTCTACAGGACTTCAGAGATTTGTGGGAGAATCAGACAGGAGAGCAGATAAGTTATGATTTGGCACAGTGAACTCCGTGACAATGACAGTCCCGGCATGCTCTCAAGGCACAGTGGTGGAAGAATGTGGTCTGTGTTGAGAAAATCAAGGTTCAGCTTTGCAGAGAGAGGGTGTTTGGATTGGGAATTGAGAGATTAGTTAAATATGCGAAGATCAGGTTGGGGGAAGGGTGTGAAAGAAGGTGACTCCTCAGAGGAAACAGGATGCCCAAGACTTGATGTTTTCTGGGAATGGGAGTGGTGAGGAGGGCAGGAAGAGGGGGCCTAGGGACCTCCAGAGGAGGAGGGTTTGAGTGGATACAACTTGGCACATCAGTAGTGTCCATGATTGTCTATTCTCCGTGTTTAAAGTTTTTAGCTCAGAGTTGTTCAGTTCTAATGACAAGCTGAGCAATATGACAAATATATTTTATATAGGGATTAGCAAGGTTTACGATATAGAAATGTGAGTCACCAAAGTGCTCTCCAGGGACTTTTAACACCATCTTGCTTGTCCGTAATCAGGTTTCTGTGAAGATTAGCTTTTGTCCAGTCTTGCTGCCAGAGAACTCTCAATAGATGCTCAAGGGACCAAATGTCTCACCATTTGAAAAAGAAAATTAACAAGGGAAAAAAGTATTGTCTCCCCGCCCTCCAAAAAAGAGCCATCTATCCAAACAAAAACCCCAAACACCCAAAAGATTGAAATTGCTTATTATCTTGGGTGTTTTCATCAAGTCTTATTTTGTTGAAGACTTTAAATAAAAGGTAAGATGCTTAAATATTTGGCCTAGAATTTGCTTTTCAGTCTGGTTTTTAAAATGTGGTAGTTTGGGTGCTAATATGTTAGTGATGTTAATGTATTACTAGAAACTCAGTGACAATCATTTGATTTCTTTGACTTCAGGTCTAATGGAAATGTTTTCTAGGCTTCAGGCACCTCTGAACTTTGGTGGTGGCCGTATTTCCCACTACAACCAAAAGTCTTTTTTGTCACTTGGCTCCCATTGATCAGCCCAGTGGGAACTTGTAAATATGTGAGTCTTTGTGTTGCAATAAACATTTTAAAGCAGAAAAGACTCTTCTGCTTTTTATTCTTTCAATTGAGCCCAGGCTACTTGTGTATCAGTAGGAAAGTAAAAATAAGAGACTCCTGGGAGAAGAGGCTGTACACACCCAAATGAAGAAGAATGACCAGATTTATGCTAATCTTAACATTATTTTGATCTTTTATGTTACCATGCAACCTGGGTTAGGGATGAAGGAAGTTGAGGAGGCTCGTTCAAGTCCCTGGAGACAGAGGAAACTAAGACATGGCTGCGGGATGCTGTATCCCACCAGGCACGAGGCAGTGGGATCACAGGGGTGGTCTCAGGAAGGAAAGAAAGGCAAAGATCTGAAAGACACTTCAGAAAAATACCTGACAGAATATTGTTGATGGCTTGGCTAGGAGGGGCAAAGGATGAAAAAGAATTACAGGTCATTTATTCTAAAATTTGAGCTTTACCTGGCTCAAATAAGTCATTAGTGTGAATATAGATAGGAAGTTCCATTTCTATTTTCTCTTACTTCCTTTCCTCCTTCCTGAGCCCTATTCTTAAGGCATTGAGAAATAAATAAGGGAAAAGCCCAGCAAGGATGATTTCAGTGCCTAAAGGATGAGTCATTGGGTGTGGCAGTCCCTTGCACAACATGAGCTAAGTAATGAAGTGCAGAGAAAATTAAGTAAATACCATTCAGTTACTATTTGCTTTATGCATATTTTTCTTGAGGCTGTTGGGAAGTGTGGGCATATCATTATGTACGTTCTTAGGCAAGGTAGAATGTAATTTATCTTTCTCTCCAAAGGGTGGGGATAGGGGAAGGGAGAGAGGGAGGAGGGGCAGGAGGAGGAGAGAGAGAGAGACACTAATCTATTCATCCATCTTGGCATCCAGTGTAACATCAGCAGATATCCCACCTTTCAAATAGCATTAGATTTTTAAAGTTTTTAATAAAATTATAAAAAAATAGATACTTGTAAAAAAGGTGCCAGTAATGTAGAAATACACAGATGTGAAAATCAAAGTAATCAAGTCTCCTGGAAGTAATCCAGTCCCACTTCAGGCATTTGCGTACATACATGCACACACAGTCTTTTTTTTTTAAAAAAAGTAAATGAGAAGCTGTCTGTTTTACTTTACAGATTTTTTAAAAAATGCCTCTTCTTTGTTAAACGAGTGCTGAGCTCCATAGAGTTTTGTATATTTCCACAGTCAATTCAGGGTCACTCTCAACAGCCTACTTAGCAAACACAGACTCTGGGATGGGATTACGGGCAGCTTCAAATCCCAGCTCCTTTCTTACCAGGCTTGTGATCTTCGACTCTTTCCTCAGTTTCCTCATCTGTAAAATGGAGGAATAAGGATAATTGTCTCATAGTGTTGTTGTGAGGAATAAATTAGACATAAAGCATGCAGTGATGTCTTTGAGAATGAAGTCTAAGTATCACACGGCTTCCCCTCTCCCCTGCAGTTCTTCAAAGTAGAACTGGGACTCACTTAAATATCTGATTCCAAATCTTCACTTTCAGGTTGCTAATATTATATTTTCTCAAGGCCATCTAGATATTTTCTGTTTCTTTTGGAGACTTATAAAGCATTTGCTATTGATTAATTTATCTTTCAGGCTTTTAACTTTCTGTTCCCCAGGCTTTGGGACACGTAGGCAGAGAAAGTACAGATAAAAGACTATGGTGGGACCTATGGACAGTGATCGAATGTGTTACTTTCTCATAAGGCAAGTTTTTACAACAATCTAAAATCATGAGTGGGCACGTGTGTATACACTCACCCACACACACCCACGCTGGGAATCTCCCTCGCATTGTTCCAGAGAGTTCCGACTTTGCTTTCAGAGGCCATGGGAGCCAGAGAGTCCTGGATGAGTCATCCTGTTTTGCTTGTTTCTCTGCAGGAACACACTGTGAATTGTACAAGGATCCCTGCGCTAACGTCAGCTGTCTGAACGGAGCCACCTGTGACAGCGACGGCCTGAATGGCACGTGCATCTGTGCACCCGGGTTTACAGGCAAGTGATTCCAGGGACTGAGTTTTCAAATTTACCACAAAGTGCCCGAGATTGCAGATGTTAAAAAAACCCAAATCCATCATGAATAAAATATTGCAAAATATAAACACCATTACAAAATGTAAGGAGGCATGGCTTGGATGAAGATCTATTTTAAAACAACCCATTGTGTGAGCCTCATTAAATGAGGCTTTTCTGAGATGGTTGTTTGGCGTCTAGACTTACAAAGACTATCATTACTGTACCTTTCCCAGGCTAGGACTATGAAACATGAGAAATGAGCCATTACATGAACACTTGAGAAAGGTGATGGGTTAATAAAAGTCAGAAGATGGAAAGAAGGAAGAGGTGTGTCTTCTGTAGATGCTGCTTTCAGCTGCCATATTTATTTTTATTGCAAGATATAAAAGTGTCAAGGGAGAGTGGGATGGGAGGCGAGATTGGCGGGGCAGGACTGGCTTCTCCAGAAATCTTGGTGGCCACTGAACACCGAACAGGAGGAGCCACTCCTAGATTGGGGGTTCCAGCCTAACTTGGGGTCCTTCTTCAAAGTCACCCCCTTATGAGCTTCAAGGACTTTGTGAATCTCAAAAACAGATGTGAAATGTGGTTTGTACGTGTATGTGCTGAGCGTAGCCTCTCAAATGTTTATCAGATTCTTTTGGAGACTTAGAAAACATTTGTTATTGATTAATTTATCTCTCAGGCTTTTAACTTTCTGTTCCCCAGGCTTTGGGACACGTAGGCAGATAAAGTACAGGTGAAAGAAACTAAACCACCGGAGACAAAATGTTCCATCCCCTGCTTTTCCAACAGAACCCAGGGATCTTGAAATGTAGAGAGTAAGACAAAGTCTATGTTTTTAGAGTTTTGCTCAACCAACAAAAGCTTAAGGGTCACTCTGGATTGCAAATTGGAAGAGGATGACATATCAAGTACCCACAGAAGAAGGTGGGCTCTGAAGCCAAAGAAAAACATATGTTATCATTGACTGGAGAGCATCTTGCTGTGTCCACCTCTCCCCTGCTAAGCCACTGTGGCCACCTCCCAAGCCCCGGAGAATTTCACAGAGCCTTGGTCCCTAAGCCATCCCAGGGGAGCCTCATCTGTGCTACTGGTGAAGGTGACAAAAGCCGAAGTGTAGGAAAAGCAACTTCTGATTTTCCTTCTATTTATCAGTGTCACAGCTTATGTTTTCCTTCTGGCTTTTCTTGGGACTGAGAAGTGGGCTCACTCCAAAAATGATTCGCAGATGGCTTTGTTTTGCTTATAAACACACGCAGACATTTATACTCACCAGTGGAGGCAAAAATAATATTAGGGGAAGCATCCCGGGTTTTTTTTCCCCAGATATTCTTATCCCATGAGTAAAAAAAGCATAGAAGGAAAATTAGAAAATATAGGACTATGGAAAAAAAATCCCACCACTGAAAATTGATCTGCTAGGAGGTAACTGTTATTAAGATTTTGATACATTCTGATATCCAGAAATTTTCCTGAAGGTCTGTGTGTGTGTAGTATATAGTGTATAGTGTATATGCATACATATTTGAATATAAAAGGAGTCATACCACTCATACTATTTTATAATTTACTTTTTACTTAAAAATATATGTATATCATAAATGTGTTTTTACATCAAGGAATAGCTTCTGTTTTATTTTTACTGGCTGCCCTATAGTCCATTATATGAAATATGATTTTTTAAAAGTTCCATCCACAATTCAACTTTTGGGCAGTTGAGAACTTTTCCCCATTATAAACAACATTACAAGGAATCTTCTTGTATTTACATCTTTGTGTACTTATCTTATTATTTTTAGTATAATTTTGCAGAAATAGAATCCCAGGGTACAGGAGAATACATACATATTTCGACATTACTCTCTAAGAGGAGAAAAAACAAACAAACATTGAACCGATATTTTCTCCTACCAAAAGTGCACAGGAGCATTTATTTCCTTGTCTTGACACAAATACTGAGAATTGTCATTCTAGTGGTCAAAAATATCATTTTAGTGTTGTTTAAATTTGTAGATCTTAGACTTATAGTAAGGTTGAATACTTCTTAAATATGTTTCTGGTTGTGTTTCTTCCTTTATGAACTCTCTATTCATATCCTTTGTCTGATTTTTTATGAGACCATTCATGCTAATCTTTACTCTTCTTTATTTGAAATAGCCCTTTATTTTAAGTATATAACAGTTTATCTGCCATAGGTTACACATATTTTTCCACTGTCATTTGCCTTTTAAATCTGGACAAAAGTATTTTGTTTTCCATATGTTATATTTTAGTCCATAATTACATATTGAGGTCTTGATTTCTTTTCGTGTTTCATGCTGAAAGATTCTATATATCAAGAGTTTAGAAATATTCTCCTCTATTATGCTAATCATGTATGAATTAATTTTATGCATTTAAGTCTCTAATGCATTTAAAATTTACTTCAGTATTTTATGAGAAAATGTCATGTTTTCTCCAGAATATTTAGCAAAACTCCAACTATCTACTCCACATATATCTTGAAAATCTCAGAGACACCCCAAACTCAGATCTTCTTCTCCTTTCCTTCTTTAAATATCTGCTAGCTCATCAAATGGCATTACCATCACTCCCAGTCATTCTGGCCAGAAACTGGGTAACCATTTTGATATCATCTGATATGGCTAAGCTTTGTGTTCCCACCCAAATCTCATCTTGAATTGGAATCCCCATAATCCCCACATGTCAAGGGAGAGGCCAGGTGGAGGTAATTGGATCGTGGGGGCAGTTTCCTTCATGCTGTTCTCATGATAGTGAGTGAGTACTCATGAGATCTGATGGTTTTATAAGTAGCTGGCATTTCCCCTGCTGGCTCTCATTCTGTCTCCTGCCGCCCTGTGAAGAGGTGCCTTCTGCCATGATTGTAAGTTTTCCGAGGCCTCCCCAGCCATGTAGAACTGTGAGTCAGTTAAACCTCTTTCCTTTCTAAATTACCCAGTCTTGGGTAGTATCTTCATAGCAGTGTGAGAACAGACTAATATACCTTCCTCTTTTTCCCTCTTACCTCCATCCAACTACCAAGGACTCCTAAAAACCTCTTAGATCTTTTCACTTCTTTGCAGAGTCAGCACCATGCTGCCTTCACCTCCAACCTACCTGCACCACTACAAGCCTTCCTATCTGGTCTCCTCACACCTATTCCTCCTGACTCCTAATCCATTTTTCATACTGCAGAGACCTTATGCATGATCATCTAATCTTATCACTCTTTACCTAAAACACCTATTGGCATTTTATTGTCCTTAGGAAAAAGATCAAAGTCCTTAACATAATCTTTAAGACCTGAGTGGTCTGGCCCCATCCAGCCTTTCCAGCCTTGTCCTGGGCCCCTCTGCTTGCTGCATAACTGAACATACCATGTCACGCTCTTCTCAGTAAGGTGCCTTTCCTCCATCTCTTGCCTCTCAGCCCCCCTCTGCTCATCCCTTTACCCCTACACCCACCATACCCATATATACCCCACCAGCAATCTCACCCTTAGGCATTTTTTCATGAGACCCACCCTGATCTCAGGGCGCAGTGGGACTCACTGAAGTAGGTTTAAACATCACTCTAACTGCTTTTTGAAAACAAGTGGTCTATTCTATTCAGCCCTGATAGTTTTTCAGCCTACAGAGGACCACAGAATAGTTCCTAAAGTCATTTAGGGGTTGTGCTGTTAATGCGTTTAACAGAAAACTGGTCCCAGGAGATGCTCCATGGAAAAAAGTGTTCTGTGGCCAAATAAATGTGGGACATGATACATCCCACGTGCAGATTCATAAAGGATGTCTGTGTGCTCAAGGTTCTCAGAGGTCTTAACAGTAAATTTATCTTTCAAATCTATTTGATCATAGAACCATTTTTTTCCTTAAAGAGAATCTATTGTTCCTGAGAACTAGTGTTCCACAGGAGAGGCTGATAAAATATTAACTGCTTCCATACAAGGAGTATGGTGCTTCTGCTCTTGAGGTTGAGCTACCTTGGAATCAAATACTCTTTCATTGTACCTGAGGTTTAGCAGAAGTTACACTTGGCCAGCTACTGAGTGTTCAAAAACTCTCTGCTTGACCGAGTGGAGTGAATCGGGCAAATCATTGCTATATAATTAGATACTCAATCCAATGTCATATTTACCATATTAAACTGGCTTTCTTAGGCCATCAGATAAAGTATAGGGTGTGGTATGTGGGGGACTCTGTCCTCTCTTGCTGAACCTAGGCTTCTGGCTGAAAATACGCTTCCTCCAGTCATCTGAACAGAGAGCCTCCCTGCTCTTCAAGCATTTCATTCCTTCTACACAGTTCTCTCCATAAGGCCCACTGTCCTGGCCTAGGTCCTGTCCACCCTTCAGTTACTGTCTTACTTTGGGACCACTCTTGTCACCGAAGCTTTGCAATTCTGCCCCCTTGGAATTATCTGGCTGAGGACCAGTGGATGGAAGGAAAGATACCCTGATGCAACATTAATTCTCTAGGATTTGCTTTATTTTTTTACCTGAAACCATAGACTGGACATAAGGTAACCGTACTTCAACAGGGAAGCCAAAGATTCTTCCAAGCCCATTGACATTGTCATTTGAACAGCTGGGACACAAGTGACCCATTCCTTTCTCACCAGAGCAGGAAATCCTTGTGCATTATTAAAGGTAGAATGATGTTACTATATCTTTCTCTCTGTCTTTTAACTCAACTATTTTTTGATATTTGTCTTTCAGTTCACAATAGAATATTACAATTTCTAGTTCAATTTTTATGGTAAAATACCATCAGTGCTTTAATTTCATTGACATTTTCATTGAATTTCTTTGATGCTCAGCATCTTTCATGTGGTTATTTGCTCTTCATATGTCTTTACTTGTGAATTATCTTTTCAAATAATCTGCCCATTTAAAAAATTTTGGTTGTTTGTCATACTATTGATTTCAAAGAATTCTTTACATATTCTGGATACAAGTTCTTTGTCAGGTATACATTTTGCTCATCCATGCATTTTTTTAATGGTATCTTTTGGGGAGTAAAGTTTTCAATTTTGGTAATTGGTCTAATTTATCAATTTTTTTTCTTTTATGGTTTGTGCTTTTCTGGTATTGTAAGAAATCTTTGTCTACTTCAAGATGGTGAAATTTTATCCGATGTTTTCTTCTAAAGTGTTTTTAAAATAGGTCTGCTTTTAAGTTTAGGTGTAGAGTCTGTTTTGAGTTAATTTTTGTTTACGGTGTGACTTAAGGATGGAAAATATTTTTCCCATGTAAACATCCAGTTAGTCCAGCATCTTATTGAAAATACAGTCTTTTCCCCATTGGATTTCATTGCTACATTTGTTAGAAAACAATTGATTATATATGGGTCTATTTTTCTCTGGCTAGTTTTTCAAAATTTTAGTTTGAGATTATTGAAGCTTTACCTGCAGTTGCAAGTAGTAATAGAGAGAGATCCAATGTAAGCTTCACCCAGTTTCCTCCAATGATAACATATTGTAAAACTACAGTACAATTTCATAACCAGGATACTGGTTACCCTTTTCCCTTGCGCCACAACTGTCTTTAATTCCTGGAAACCACTAGTGTATTTTGCATTTTTGTAATTTCAAGAATATTGCATAAATGGAATCATATAGTGTGTAGCCTTTTGAGATTGATTTTTTTTTCTACTCAGCGTGATTCTTTGGAGATGCATCCAGGTTATTTTGGGTCAATAATTTCTCCCTTTTTATTGCTGAGCAGTATTCCAAAGTATGGATGTCCCAGAGTTTGTTTAACCAGTCCCCTGTTGAAAGGAATCTGGATTGTTTTCAGTTTTCAGCTATTATAAAAAAGGTGGTGTAAACTGTCATATATAGGTTTATGTGTGAACATAAATTTTCATTTTTCCGGGACAATTGCCCAGAAATTCAATTGCTGGGTCATATGGTAGTTGCATGCTTAGTTTTATAAAAAGAGCCAAAATGTTTCCAGAGTGGCTTATGCATTTTATATTCCCCACCAACGATGTCTGAGTGATTCAGTTTCTCTACATCCTTGCCAGCATTTGGTGTTATCACTATTTTTTATTTGGGCCATTCTGATAGGGGTAAAATGATAGCTCATTGGGGTTTCAGTTTGAATTCCCCTAATGATAAATGATGTTTAGCATCTTTTCCTGTGCTTATTTGATATCTGCATATCCTGTGAAGAAATGTTTCTTTCTGTCTTTTGTCCATTTTCTAATCCTATCACATCACATCAAGGCTACATACTGTCAATGAGATTTATGATCATTGACGTTGATGTTGATCACTTAGCTGAGGTAGTGTTTGTCAAGTTTCTCTACTATAATGTTACTCCTTCTCTCCCTTTCCATACTTAACAATTTGGGAGGAAGTGACTTCCTTCCAAAGAAAGTGTTGTGTAGTCCACACTTATCAAGAAGGGAGTTATGCTCTTGCTCTTTAAGGGTAAAGTAGCTACATGAATTATTTGGAATTCTTCTGGATGAAAGATTTGTTTATTCTCCTCCATTTGTGTATTTATTTAATCATTTATTTATGGGTTCATGGATATTTATTTTATACTTTAGGTTATAATCCAATACTTTGGCCATTGGGAGTTCTTTCAGTTGGCTCCTATTACCTCTTTGCCACATCCCCATTAATGTGGTTAATTTTTTGTTTTGTGGCTAATTTTTTGTTTTGTTTTTTAAAACATATATACGTTCTGGCACTGCAAGATGCTTCAGCCTCATCTTGTGTATTTCCTGCTCCAGTTCTAGAGTCATTCATTTCTCTAAGGATCTCTGGTTTTTTTAATTGGAGAATAGTATTAAAAACAAGATTTGGGTGCTAAGCTGTGCTTGTTTTTACTGGGATATCATTGCTTTTAGGTCCTCTCAGCTGACAAAGTGAGGAAGTGCATGTGTATACTAACCCATGGACATGTGCTTATCCATAAATATTGCATGATGTAGTTATCTTTGTCTATATTAAGCTAAACATGAATTCACAGTGATGTCTCCAACTCTAGTTTGTTACAGCATGAATGGTTCTAGCCTTCTCCCCTTGCTTATTTGTAAACCCTTCACACCAACAACCAAATACTGCCTTTCATCATCCATCATTTATTTACTTAATTGTTCAATTTCAGTATCCAGGTATAGCAGTATCAGAATTGTTAACTTATACCCTTGTGGAAAACAACTTTATGAACTAGAGTATTGTGTTTATGTACCACTTATTTTGCATTTAGTCTTATCAATCCTACCCATTTCCAAAGTCACTTAGGTCAGCTCCCCCCCAGACCCCTTTGTGAGGTTGTTCCATACAGTTGTAATATAGTTAGAATCTTTTCTCACAGTTTGCATTCTTTCCTGAATCTTCTAACTAGAGGAGGCTCTTTTATTTACATTTGCTTATGTAAGTATAATTTTTCAAGCATCATTAGCTGAAAGGGCTATCTTTTCTTCATTGAATTGCTTTTGAACTTTCGTCAAAAATCAGCTGGCCATATTATGTGGGTCTATTTTGGGCTCTTCTTTTTCATTGATTATGTGTCTATTCCTCTACCTTTATTATGTCATAACAACTGTAGTTTCATAATAACTATTGAAATTGGGCAGAATAATTCCTACCACCTTATTTTTTTTCCAAAACTGTTATAACTATTCTAGATCCTTAGCCTTTTCATATAAATTTTACAATAATCTTGTCTATACCTACAAAAGATTTTGCTGAGGAATTACAATAAACCAGTATATCAATTTGGGGAAGAATCAATATCTTTACTATTTGGAGTTTTCCAATTCATGAACACAGTGTGACTCTCCACTTATTTAGATCTTTGATTTCTTTCATCAACATTTTTTCCCTGTACATGTATATCCAAGTATCCAAGTAGGTATGTATATATGCATGTGTGTGTGTGTGTGTGTATGGTGTATTTTTAGTGATTGTAAATAGAATTGTTCTTGCTAGTATATAGAAATATAATTGATTTTTGTATGTTTAAATTGTATCCTGTGACCTTGCTGAACTTACTAGTTTTAGGATTTTTTTTTTTTGTAGATTTCTTGGGATTTTCTACATAAATAATGATGCCATCTGAAAAGAGCGGCAGTTTTATTTCTTCCTTTCTGATAGGTATAAATTTTATTTTTTGTCTTGTCTCACTAGCCAGAACTTCTAACACTAGGTTCAGTAAGAGCAGACATCTTTGCTTTGTTTTCAACATTAGGGGAAAAGCATTCAGTCTTTCACCATTAATGATAATGTCAGCTGTAGTGTTTTTTTTTAGATGCTGTTTATCAAATTGAGGAAGTTCCTCTCTATTCCTAGTTTGCTGATAACTTTAACCATAAATTGGTATTGAATTTTGTCAATGGATTGATATGATCATGTGATTTTTTTCTTTGGCTTGTTAATATGCTTGGTTGATTTTCAAATATTGAATTAGTCTTGCATGCCTGGAATATACCACCTGGTCATAGTGTATAACTCATTTTATATAATACTTTGCTAAATTCTATTTCCTAATATTTTGTTCAGAATTTTTGTATCTATAGTCATGAGAAACAAGTTGTTTCTCAAGTTGTTGTTTTAAAAAAGAAAGAAAACAATTTTGTGTTTTGTGAGAAACAAGTATTTAATATGAACGTAGACACAAAATAGTTTTGTTTCTCTTTTTAAAAAAGTTATTATGTATTTGTCTAGTTTTGGTATTGAAGTAAAACTAGCTTCTTGGAATAAGTTGCGAAGTGTTCTTTTGTATTCCGTTTTCTGCAACCGATTGTATCAATTTGCTATTAATTCTTCTTTAAATAGTTGATAGAATTTACCAGTGAAAGCATTTGGACCTGAGATTTCTTTTTGGGGAGTTTTAAAGTTTAAAGTCTCAATAGTTATAAAAGTATTTAAATCATCTATTTTATATTTGATGAGTTGTGATTTTTTTTTGAGGAAGTAGTGCATTTTTTAAGTTGTTAAATTTACCTGTGGAGTTGTAATATAGTATTTCTGTTATCCTTTTGACATCTGCAGTCTTTGGTGATATTTTCTGCTTTATTTATGATATGGCTAATTTGTGTCTTTCTCTTTTTTCCTTTGTCAATCTTGCTAGAGTTTTGTCAATTTTGTTAATCTTTTTAATAAATAGCTTTTTGTTGCATTCATTTTCTCTATTGTTTTTGTTTTCAGTTTCATTGATTTCTTCTCTTATGTCTATGATTTTCTTCTTTTTGCTTTGGGCTTAATTTGCTTTTGTTATTTCTTTCTAGGTTTTTTGGGTAAGATCTTAGAGTATTGATATAGGCTTTTTCTCACAGCTAATGCATGCATTTTAGTGCTATAAATTTCCCCCTCAGTACTGCTTTGGCTGTATCTCACAAAGTTTATGTTGTATTTTCATTTTCAGTCAATTTAATTTTTATTTTTAATGTCCCTTTAGATTTCCTCTTTGATCCATAGATTACTTATGAGCATGTTGTTTATTTTTCAAGTGTTTTGAGGTTTTCCTGTTACTTTTTATCATAGATATCTAGTTTGATTTAATTACGGTGAGAGAACACTCTACGATTTCAACTCTCCTAAATTTGTTGAGGTTGTTTCATAGCCCAGAATATGGTTTATATTGGTATATGTTTTGTGAGTACTTGAAAAGATTGTGCATTCTGTTATTGTTTGGTGGCTGAGGTGCTTTGGAGGGTGGAAGTCCATGCTCTCCACTCGGCCTTTGGTGGCATGGGTGAGGGGACTTGCAGTTTTTTTTTTTTTTTTGTAGTGTTTGGCTGGAGTGGAGCAGTTATTAGCTATAATTTTTTGTCTTGTTAGGCTGCCCCTATCTTGGTTCTTTGGTTACAGAGAACAGGCTTTCGTGGGAGTTTTGTTTTCTGCATCTTTTGACATTTCCGGGTTGCTGCCTTCTCCAGCACCTAATCTGGAATATATGAGGTCAAAAGAAAACTCAGAGAGCTCACAATCATGTTGTTCCTTGGGTCCTGAGATTACTAGCCAGTCTGTCTCTTTCTCTCAACTTCTTGGAATTTTCTTATGTTTATTTTATGTACAATGTCTAGGGTTTTTACTTGTACTTGGTGGGAGGGATAGGGAAAATATATCTGCTCCATCTTTCCAAAAGCAGAACTCTCACTCTGGCTGTTTTTAGAAGTTTTCCTTTATTACTAGGTTTTAGCAAATTGATTGTGATGTATCTGTTTGTTCCACGGTGGGCAGGTCTATGCAAACCCACCCCCAAAGTCTGAGGAAGGTAATAATACCTACCTACAAAATGGCACAATTCCTTCACACTAGACCTTCTGATTTCAGTAGTTACTTGGTTTTGCCCTTCCCTCACATTGACTACCCTCTTGGTAACCAGAGTCTCAGAGGTACTTTTTGTTGCCCTGGCATAATTTTCCCCTTTGTGGGTTGCTTTGAGGCTAGTGACCTATGCTCAGACAGACCCACATCTGAGGTTGGTTCAGCCTCAAGGCCCAACCATCACTCTCTTGTACTTTTATTTTAGCTATGACAGATAACAATTACCAAGGGGTTTAATATTTCACTTTTTCCTTATTAGTTTGCATTTTCTTACACATCCAGTGAACCATCTCCCCCAGAGTTAAATTCCTAAGTTCCATTGGTAACTTTTACCTTTAGCAACTGAGTACAGCACAGATGGGCTCCATACCTTAGGTGGTGACCATGTGACCACTGTGGAATCAAAAATTCCTCATTCCCCACCCTTTTATTCTTTCTGTTTCTGTCCACTTAGTTTTACCTATATCATTTTTTTCCTTCACTTTGAAACAAACTTTAAATAGCCTCTAAACTAGGTGATATTACTTTTCCATATTAACTAGTATTTTAACTCTTTAACTCTTAAATTACTGAAAAAATCTTGAAACTAGTTTTAGTTACCAAAGATTACTAAAGTCGTGTAAACTAAAAGGCATTTGAGTTGGTTTCTATCTTCCTGGTAAAATATTTGTCTGAAGCACTTACTTTTCTTTAAGCTAAGTAATTAGAGCTCTTTTATATATTTTGGTAGGGATATATCACCCATGACACATATAAAATATAGACATACAGACACACAGAAGCAGATCTTATAGATTTATAAGATTTTTTATTTGCCAGTTTTCAGTTTCTTTTCCCCCTTTAGACTGTCAATCCAAAGACATGACTCTTAGGTGAAACAAGGTAGGAAATTTACATCTCAAAGGCAGAGAACTTAGGCTGCCATTGTTATCTGAAAACAAGATTGCCAGGAAAAGTGTCTTCTTTTTCACTTAGTTTATTTCTTATCTAGATTATTGGCTTTAGGGTGGAAGCTTTTTTTTTGAGACAGAGTCTTGCTCTGTCACCCAGGCTGGAGTGCAATGGCGCCATCTCCGCTCACTGCAACCTCCGCCTCTCCGGTTCAAGTGATTCTCCTGCCTCAGCCTCCCAAGTAACTGGGATTACAGGTGTGCCACCACGCCCAGCTAATTTTTTGTAGTTTTAGTAGAGATGGGGTTTTACCATGTTGGCCAGGGTAGTCTCGAACTCCTTACCTCAGGTGATCCGCCCTCCTCAGCCTCCCAAAGTGCTGGGATTACAGGCATGAGCCACTGCACCAGGCCCAGGATGGAGCCCTTTAAAGCATGCAGTTTGTAGGGCTGAACACTTGAGCAGGTACAGCAAAAAGGCAGAATATTTAGATCCCTCAAAACCAAGGATCCCATTTTACACTGAATCCTGGGTCCCCCAAAAGAGGGAAACACTACAGGATTGGACAGTGCAATGCTTCCACGGTGCACGTCACTGCAAGGACATTCCCCTGAGGCTGATGGGCAACTCAACGCTGATCAGCCCACTCTGTGATCAGCCCATCCCCCAAAGGGTGTTTTATCCCATAGTAGGGCATGTTTCTGTAGCCTTTAGGTATCCAAACCACAGTTTTCTTATGTAAATTCCCAAAGAAATGAGTATCCCCTTGTAGTAATAATCATTTTCGGCCAAGTGCCATCAACCACCTCTAAGACTGTATCTCTCACCTGCCAGTTATTACACACAGCAAAGGCAAGTCCTCTCATGGTACAAAGTAATCTCTGGCACCCCCAAAAACCAAACAGATCAGGTAACGCAACACAAAAGAGAGTCATGTTTTGGACCCAAGAGGAATCTGTCTGCTTATAACTCTTACGGTTCCATAAAGAAAAATAGAGGTACCTCCCACAAAGAGGAGTATTTTCTGTCTCCAAGGGATCCCAGACTGTCAGAAGTTCCTTTTTGTAGGTCCCTCATGTGGCATCGAGGGTGGCAAGAGGAAGGAGGGACAGACAGATGTAAATGGAGAAAACAGAATTCATTTGACTGAGAAGTTTTACGGAGAGAGAACAGAGACCTTAAAACAATACAGATGTATGTTTGACAATAGAGCTCTTTAGAAAATCTTGTCTAATTTTAATTCCCCCTCAAGCCATTTTACTTTGCTTTTGCTGCTAGATGGGCTCCCGTCCTCAATGGCCACAGAAGTGGCCATGTTAGAGCAGTGGCTGCTCGCCATCCTTCCTTACTGCAGTGCGACAGATGGCTCCCACTTAAAAGTCACTCTAAAGACGCTGGCATTTTTGGGGTGTCCCTGTACCCACACACAAGCGTCTAAAAGGTGAGCCACACCACTCCACATAGAAGTGGCTGCCACCTGGGATTACCCACACAGACGCTTCATTCCCTTTACCCATTTCTTGGTCTCTCAGCTCCTGCAGGCCTCTGCAAACCTGCCCCCAAAGTCTGAGGAAGCTGAGAGGCTGAAGAAAGAGGCTGACATATCCAGTTTATCAGAAAGAAATGTTTAATAGGGACTTACGAAGAGAAGCCTGTCTGTGTCTTGGGCAGTGGGGAAACAAGATGGCGGATCCCCACACCCACACCATTACCCTTCGGACCCAAGGCTTATGATCCACAGAGGGAGAGGTGGTTCAGAAGGGATGTGCAGGACAATCGAAGTACAATAACATCAAGGTTGTTTTGACCGAAGGGCAGGATTTATGGTAAGTATCTGTTCTTGTACAAGGAACAGTACATAAACTGGAATCCTTAGAGGCATTCCTGGAACTGGGGTTAATCAGTATCCAAGATGCAGTTGCTTTCGCTTCTGCACTATGATGTGTGTGTGTGTGGTTTTCTTGTGTTTATCCTGCTTGGGGTTTGTTGCACATCTTGAATCTGTGGTTACAGTTTTCATCAAACTTGGAAATTTTTAGCCATTAATTTATTAAATATTATTTTTGGCCTCATATCCTTTCTCTAGGATTCTGAGTACATCTATGTTAGACTGCTTAAAATTGTCCAATGGGTCAGAGTCTCTGCTTAGTTTTTGTTTTTGTTTTTGTTTTTGTTTTTGTTTTGAGACGGAGTCTCGCTCTGTTGCCCAGGCTGGAGTGCAGTGGCATGAACCCGGCTCACTGCAAGCTCCAACTCCCAGGTTCACGCCATTCTCCTGCCTCAGCCTCCTAAGTAGCTGGGACTACAGGCGCCCGCCACCACGCCTGGCTAATTTTTTGTATTTTTAGTAGAGACGGGGTTTCACCGTGTTAGCCAGGATGGTCTCGATCTCCTGACCTCGTGATCCACCCACCTCAGCCTCCCAAAGTGCTGGGATTACAGGTGTGAGCCACTGTGCTCAGCTTCTACTTAGTTTTTTAAAAAGTCTTTTTTCTTTCTGAGTTTCAGTTTGTCAAGCTTCTATTGTTCTGTTTTCAACTTTACTAATATTTTCTTCTGCAGTGTCTAATCTACTATTTTTTTATTTTTATTTTTATTTTTTTTGAGACGGAGTCTCACTCTGTCACCCAGGCTGGAGTACAGTGGCGTGATCTCAGCTCACTGCAACCTCTGCATCCCTAGTTCAAGATTCTCTTGCCTCAGCCTCCTGAGTAGTTGGGATTATAGGCATGTGCCATCACACCTGGCTAATTTTTGTATTTTTAGTAGAGACGGGGTTTCGCCATGTTGCCCAGGCTAGTCTCGAACTCCTGACCTCAGGTGATCAGCCCGCCTCAGACTCCCAGAGTGCTGGGATTACAGGTGTGAGTCACTAGTCTACTATTAAGACCATTGGGTTCTAAAAACAATTTCAGATATTGTATTTTTCATATCTAAAAGTTCCATTGGGCTTGTTTTTTATTTTCCATGTTTCTGTTCATTGTTTTTTATATTTTATTTCACATTTTGAACACATTTTTTGTCTGCTAGCTCTCATCCATTGTTTCTGAATTTGTGTCTTTTGACTGATTTTCATGCAGTTATGGGTCACGTGAGCCTACTTTGTTGCATGTCTAATAATTTTTGTTTGAATGATGGTCATTGTGGATTAAGTTGTTGAGTGATTGGATTTTATTGTCTTTTTTAAAAAAAGTAATGGACTTTTTTTGTGTCAGGTAAGTAACTTGCTGACCTAATTAATCCTTTCAAGGTTTGTTGTACATTTTGGGGAGGTGAATGTAGAGTAGCCTTACTCTAGGGATAGTTGTGCCCCATTACTAAGGTGTGATCTTTTGTGGCTTCACTGACTGTACTGGGTAATCCATTAAATAGTTCCACTCTGGCAGTGCAAATCTGAATATTTCTCAGTCCTCTGTGAGTTTGGGAACTGCTCATCTGTCATTTTGTTTGCCAAGCTTCAAGTTACACACACACACGTCTTCAGCAACAGCCTACGGGATGCAGCAGATTTCTGGTGCTCAATTTCTGAGTGGTTCTATCTTGTGTTGTGGTCTTTCCTACAAATTACAGCTACCTTGGCCTCCACACACTCTGATCTTTGTCTCCTCAAGCCAGTGAAACCACTGTGTTCTAAATTAATTCCAGGAAGAAAGCCAGAATGATTGTGGTGCTCAGCTGTTTTATTTCCCTTCTTGCAGCAATCACAGTCATGGACTTCCTGTTGTCCAATGTCTTCATAGTTTTTTTTTTTTTTCATATATTTCATCTAGTTGTCTAGTTGTTTACAGTGGGAAGGCAAGACAGGTGCCAGTTATTCCATCATGATAAAAAAAAGTTAGAAATAATTTTTAAAACTCACTTTATCTTGAATAAACTCTTAGTGAAGTATATGAAAGATTTATAGTCAAAGCACCCAATCAGTGCCTGGCATGTAGGAGGCATATATTTAATACTAGATATTATGATTATAGTAATTGTCATCAATATCTTTTAGTGGGGACTCTGTTAACCCAAGGATTTACTAACAGCGGTGACTTTGGATGGTTTTGTCTTTTTGCATTTCTTAATTTACCCAAGGAAAGCAAGCAGAATCAGTATGCTTGTAAATCTACATAAGTACTACCAAATGTGATACCCACTGTACTTACATATTGCCTCACAGAAGGTAGTACATTGAAAAAAAATTTGGCTGGGCATGGTGGCTCATGCCTGTAATCCTAGCACTTTGGGAGGGTGAGGTGGGCAGATCACCTGAGGTCAGGAGTTCAAGATCAGCCTGGGCAACATGGTGAAACCCCGTCTCTACTAAAAATACAAAAAATTCACTGGGCATGGTGGCACACGCCTGTAATCCCAGCTACTGGGGAGGCTGAGGCAGGAGAATCGCTTGAACCTGGGAGGCGGAGGTTGCAGTGAGCCGAGATTGTGCCACTGCACTCAAGCCTGGGTGATAGAGTGAGATTTTTGTCTCAAAAAAAAAGAAAAAAGAAAAAAGAATTATAAAAGATTTAAAGTTCAGACCTTGATTGCTAGCCTTAGTCAAGTAGAAATTTCATTTTGTATTTTCTCAATAGATGTTATTCAAGAACAGTGGTTTAAGAATAATTGTTTTTTTTGAACTCAAATTTAAAAAGAGTAAGTGAGCCAACTAAAAGGTCAATTGGCTCAGGGCAGCAAAAGCTTAAAGATTTATTAGTTAACTATTAGCAAAGAAAGATAATACTGTATACTAAGAACTCTTATAATAAAATAAGTTAAAACGAATATTGATTGAGAATGGAATGTTGTGGTGTTGAAATGCATATACAAACATAATGCCGTTAATATGGGGAAACGTAAATGAAGCCAAACTTTTCTATAATTCATAGTGCATCTTCAAACACTTTGCGTAAGACTGATAGCAAAAAGCATGATCACTGTAAGGCAGAGAACAACAGTCATCCTTGGGTGTCTTCTGGTTGAAAACTCCCTTGAGGGGCTCCATCATTTGAGTCACCTCATGCTCCTATTGCCAGCCAGCATAGAACACAGCAAAGGCCTCAAACTGAGAGCCAGTTGAGGAATAACTGATTCAACTAGATGCGTAGGAGGGTTTGTCTATAAAAGAGGCCATTACAATAAACCCAAGGAATAACTGATTCAACTAGATGCATAGGAGTGTCCATCTATAAAAGAGGCCATTAGAATAAACCTAAAGGTATCTGAGAACTGTGCATCACTCCAGGGTTCTGCCAGAGCACATATGTTGCAGAAATAGCTGTCAGCTAAGTGGGGCCCTGACTGGCATAGGGTTTATTTCATTAATTTGCGTCATTTAATCCCCAGTGTAACTGTAAGAATGTTATGGTGATGAAAACCAGAATGAGATAGGTTTGGCCCTAGTTGGATTTTAGATACTGTATTTGATAAATGTCTACAGAAAGAGGTCATCCTATTTTTTTCCCCACCATCTCCATTCTTACCAAATCCGTCCAATCTAGTGGATCCCAAGAACAGACAATTCTAGGGACCTTGGGCTTCCCCTGACTATGTTAGAGCCCCTTAGTGATCCAAGTGATTTAATACGTGCATGGGGGCTGCCCTGGCTCCTGAATGTGGCATTTGCCTTTTTGGAGAAGCTCTGGACTGGAGCAGGCCTGGATGGACTGAACTGATAGCCCTGGGACTGCATAGAGTTTAGGAAATGAAAAGCATATGTCATTGACATTGGACTTCGTGAAGCAGAGTGAGGCTTTTGAGTTTTGCCAGACCATAGCAGTAGGGAAATGTGGGCTGTTTCTGTAGCTATTCTTGTAAAGGTTACAGAGCATCTCATTTCAGAATTTGCAGTGTTCAGATTGCCAGCTAAAGAAAGCTATTGTTTAGTAAATATCTCCAATTACACTTATCTTCCTAGATGGTTGGAAATTAGTACTGACATATATACTTGTTAAGGTCTTTGATTTCATCCTTTTAACATTTCTCAGCATGTTCCTGATCATATGTCCCTTCAACCAGTCTGCCATGTAATGCCATTTGTAATAGTTTAATCTATGACTATTTCTACTAAGAGTGATTGCCCCATTAATGGAAAGACAGCCTTTGAAATAGGCAATCAATTTCATGTTTTTTTCTATTGATGTAAGTGACAATATTTGTTGCAGGAAACAAATTCACGTATATATTACTGAATTATAATCAACCTAGTAGGATCTAGAAGTTGTAAATGTTTTGTTCAACAGATTTTATTTAAAAATAAAATAGTAAGATGCCAGGTATAGAAACAGTGTGAGATGAAACAGACATGGAATATATTAGTGTGAGATTCCTCCTCTAAAATGGCCTGAGTGACATAAAGTGGTTTTATAAACGTAAGGTAAACCAATAGCAGATAGAAAAGCAATTTAATGCTAATTAAATGAGCCCAGAAGTAATCACTTGAGTGTACACTGAAACATTGCTTTTGAAAATGGACAAAAATATCTGATTTTGTCCATATGCTTTAGTCCATGACCATAGCCATGCTAGGAGTTTTGTTCTCATCACTTTCTGCATTTATCTAAGCAAAGGAGGGCTTATTTTGAAAATTTCTTTTTCTCGTTTTCAAACTTTTGACAGAGGGAGTGCCTCAATTTGAAATATCCTCTTCTCTTCAGCTTTAATGAGATGCCTTTAAATTTAAGAGGTGTATGCGTTTTGTAATGACTCTTAATGATGGCTTTAAAATCACTTGAAGATGGCTTTGTTCTAAGGTGGTGTTTGAATCACCGTGACATTGGCTCTGGACCCTGGTTTGTAATTTCTATCAGGTTCTCTCTGAAGCACGCAAAGGTGTCCTGAAAAGTTGGGTCTAGCCAGGGTCAGGAGCTGAAGATCACATTCTTCCTTATGGGAGAATGACAGACAGCTTCCCTTGGACCACCATTTCTCAGAAGAGATTAGGTCAGGTTTAGACTAACCCCAGACTTCACAAGTTCTCTCCTTAGGTGGGCCTGATGCTCTTCCTGAGCATTTCAGGTCCCCCAGCTTCAAGCAGAATCACATCCAGGGATTTGGGAAGTGGAGTAACCTCTCCAAATTGCCTCAGGCTGGGTGCACAGCTATGTCCTAGAACTATCCAGAGAAGAGTCAAATGTCCACTCTCACATACTCAAATACTTGGCTACAGAATAATCACGAACTGTGAGTTTTCAGCTTTCTGGAGTTTCAGAAAAATAACGAGATGCAGCTGATGAAATCCAAAATAAAATAGACTTCTTTAATAATATCAAGATCCCGACTTCACTTTTTCTGATCAACCCGGAAAGATTTATTCAGACATGGGAATCAACCTCACTTAACTAGCTAAATGAAGCTAGTTAACTAGTTAAGTACACTAAAGGAAAGATTCTTTTTACCAGTGCTATATATATATATATATATATATATATATATATATATATATATATATATATATATTTCCTTTTTAGTTTTACTGAAGTAAAAGATCCCTCGTCTGGAATTTTCTGAGAGTTCTGCACTTTATACAAACAGCAGGTTGGGCTCTATTGCTAAAGGTTATGACCCCTAGCCTTGGATCTTTATTTTTTGGCCAGAAAAATGACAGGAACCATGGGTGCAGCGGTTTCACCACTGCTTTTTCTTATCTCCCTAGGTGAAGAGTGCGACATTGACATAAATGAATGTGACAGTAACCCCTGCCACCATGGTGGGAGCTGCCTGGACCAGCCCAATGGTTATAACTGCCACTGCCCGCATGGTTGGGTGGGAGCAAACTGTGAGATCCGTAAGTATTTCTGCAGCTCAGCCACTGTTATTTAACATTTATAGCTGTTACTTAAGCATTTTCCTTCATGAAGAAGATGCCGACTGTGACCAGAAAGCCCCCGAGTCACTGGCAGATGAGGCAGTGAGTCCCAGAGGGACAACCGGAGCTACACTTGCCCCATTTTGGTGCTCAATACCCAGTTTAGCATGTTTGCCCCCTGCATTCTGCTGCCCCCACTCCCTCCTGAGTCTGAAGCCAGCCTTTCCCCAGGATGAGAATTTTCAGATGTCATCCAGAGTTCACTGCTACTCATGCAGCCAAAAATGTGCTGAACAGAAAAGCATTAGAATCGTATCAAAAAAATAGAGTCTTTGTGTTGAAAATTAAAAAACACACACACACACACACACACACACACAGAATGCAAATTACCTTTTTATTTATGTGTTCAAGTGTCTTCAAATGTATTAAGTTCCTTCTATTGCCTCGAGAAAAGTTCAGTGAAGACAAGCTTAAAAGAAAGGCTGAAAAACATTTTGGGCTGCTTAAAGCTGAGTGATCTCTTAGGGTGAACTAATAGAAGTTTGATAAATGTCTTAATCAAGATTTTATACCTTAAAACAATATATCTACTAGGATTGAAGTGAAAAATGAGAACTAACATGGAATCGAGCTTGCTTGCCTTTCCTTCTTTCCTTCCTTCCTTCTTTCTTTTCTTTCTTTCTTTCTTTCTTTCTTTCTTTCTTTCTTTCTTTCTTTCTTTCTTTCTTTCTCTCTTTCTTTCTTTCTTTCTTTCTTTTTCTTTCTATTATACTTTAAGTTCTGGGACACATGTGCAGAACGTGCAGGTTTGTTACATAGGTATACACATGCCATGGTGGTTTTCTGCACCCATCAACCTGTTATCTACATTACGTATTTCTCCTAATGCTATGCCTCCCCTAGCTCCCCACCACCTGACAGGCCCCAGTGTGTGATGTTCCTCTCCCTATGTCCATGTGTTCTCATTGTTGAGCTCCCACTTATGAGTGAGAACATGTGGTGTTTGGTTTTTTGTTCCTGTGTTAGTTTGCTGAGAATGATGGTTTCCAGCTTCATCCATGTCCCTGCAAAGGACAGGAACTCATCCTTTTTTATGGCTGCATAGTATTCCATGGTGTATATGTGCCACATTTTCTTTATCCAGTCTGTCATTGATGGGCATTTGGGTTGGTTCCAAGTCTTTGCTGTTGTGAACAATGCTGCAATAAACATACGTGTGCATGTGTCTTTATAGTAGAATGATTTATAATCCTTTGGGTATATACCCAGTAATGAGATTGCTGGGTCAAATGGTATTTCTGGTTCCAGATCCTTAAGGAATCACCACACTGTCTTCCACAATGGTTGAACAAATTTACATTCCCACCAAGAGTATAAAAGCATTCCTATTTCTCCACATCCTCTGCAGCATCTGTTATTTCCTGACTTTTTAATAATCGCCATTCTAACTGACGTGAGATGGTATCTCATTGTGGTTTTGATTTGCATTTCACTAATGACCAGTGATGATGAGCTTTTTTTTCATATTTTTGTTGGCTGCATGAATGTCTTCTTTTGAGAGGTATCTGTTCATACCTTTTGCCCACTTTTTGATGTGGTTGTTTGTTTTTTTTTTCTTGTAAATTTTTTTAAGTTCTTTGTAGATTCTGGATATTAGCCCTTTTCCAGATGGATAGATTGCAAAAATTTTCTCCCATTCTGTAGGTTGTCTGTTCACTATGATGATAGTTTCTTTTGCTGTCCAGAAGCTCCTTAGTTTAATTAGATCTCATTTGTCAATTTTGGCTTTTGTTGCCATTGCTTTTGGTGTTTTAGTCATGAAGTCTTTGCCCATGCCTATGTCCTGAATGGTATTGCCTAGGTTTTCTTCTAGGGTTTTTACAGTTTTAGGTCTTACGTGTAAGTCTTTTATCCATCTTGAGTTAGTTTTTGTATAAGGTGTAAGGAAGGGGTCCAGTTTCCGTTTTCTGCATATGGCTAGCCAGTTTTCCCAACACCATTTATTAAATAGGGAATCCTTTCACCAATGCTTGTTTTTATCAGGTTTATCAAAGATCAGATGGTTGTAGATATGTGGCATCATTTCTGAGGCCTCTGTTCTTTTCCATTACTCTGTACATCTGTTTTGGTGCCAGTACCATGCTGTTTTGGTTACTGTAGCTTTGTAGTATAGTTTGAAATCAGGTAACATGATGCCTCCAGCTTTGTTCTGTTTGCTTAGGATTGTCTTGGCTATGCAGGCTCTTTTTTGGTTCTATATGAACTTTAAAGTAGATTTTTCCAATTCTGTGAAGAAAGTCAGTGGTAGCTCGGTGGGGATAGCATTGAACGTGTAAATTACTTTGGGCAGTATGGCCATTTTCATGATATTGATTCTTCCTATCCATGAGCATGAAATGTTTTTTTCATTTGTTTGTGTCTTCTCTTATTTCCTTGAGCAGTGGTTTGTAGTTCTCCTTGAGAGGTCCTTAACATCCCTTGTAAGTTGTATTCTTATGTATTTTATTCTCTGTCGCAATTGTGAATGAGAGTTCACTCATGATTTGGCTCTCTGTTTGTCTATTATTGATTTATAGGAAAGCTTGTGATTTTTGCACATTGATTTTGTATCCTGAGACTTTGCTGAAGTTGCTTATCAGCTTAAGGAGATTTTGAGCTGAGACAATGGGGCTTTCTAAATATACAATCATGTCATCTGCAAACAGAGACAATTTTACTTCCTCTCTTCTTATTTGAATACCCTTTATTTCTTTCCCTTGCCTGATTGACCTGGCCAGAACTTCCAATGCTATGTTGAATAGCAGTGGTGAGAGAAGGCATCCTTGTCTTGTGCCAGTTTTCAAAAGGAATGCTTCTAGCTTTTGCCCATTCAGTATGATACTGGCTGTGGGTTTGTCATAAATAGCTCTTATTTTGAGATACGTTCTGTCAATACCTAGTTTATTGAGAGTTTTTAGCATGAAGGTGTGTTAAACTTTATCAGAGGCCTTTTCTGTGTCTATTGAGATTATCACGTGGTTTTTATCATTGGTTGTGTTTAAGTGATGGATTGCATTTATTGATTTGTATATATTGAACCCTTGCATCCTAGGGATGAAGCCAACTTGATTGTGGTGGATAAGCTTTTTTTTTTTTTTTTTAGATGGAGTCTCGCTCTGTTGCCCAGACTGGAGTACAGTGGTGGATAAGCTTTTTGATGTGCTACTGGATTCGGTGTGCCAGTATTTTATTGAGGATTTTTGCATCAATGTTTATCAGGGATCTTGGCCTGAAGTTTTCTTTTTTTGTTGCGTCTCTTCCAGGTTTTGGTATCAGGATGATGCTGGCCTCATGAAATGAGTTGGGAAGGAGTCCCTCTTTTCTATTGTTTGGAATAGTTTCAGAAGGAATGGTACCAGCTCCTCTTTGTACCTCTGATAAAATTTGGCTGTGAATCCATCTGGTCCTGGGCTTTTTTTGGTTTGTAGGCTATTAATTACTTCCTCAATTTCAGAACTTCTTATTGGTCTATTCAGGGATTCAACTTGTTTCTGGTTTAGTCTTGGGAGGGTGTATGTGTCCAGGAATTTATCTGTTTCTTCTAGATTTTCTAGTTTATTTGCATAGAGGTGTTTATAGTATTCTCTGATAGTAGTTTGTATTTCTATCAGATCAGCGGTGATATCCCCTTTATCAATTTTTATTGTGTCTATCTGATTCTTCTCTCTTTTCTTCTTTGTTAGTCTGGCTAGTGGTCTATCTATTTTGTAAATCTTTTCAAAAAACCAGCTCCTGGATTCCTTGATTTTTTGAAGGGTTTTTCTTGTCTCTCTCTCCTTCAGTTCTGCTCTGATCTTAGTTATTTCTTGTCTTCTGCTAGCTTTTGAATTTGTTTGCTCTTGCTTCTCTAGTTCTTTTAATTGTGATGTTAGGGTATCGATTTTAGATCTTTCCCACTTTCTCCTGTGGGGATTTAGTGCTATAAATTTCCCTCTAAACACTGCTTTAGCTGTGTCCCAGAGATTCTGGTACATTGTGTCTTTGTTCTCATTGATTTCAAATAACTTATTTATTTCTGCATTAATTTCGTTATTTACCCAGTAGTCATTCAGGAGCAGGTTGTTCAGTTTCCATGTAGTTGTGCAGTTTTGAGTGAGTTTCTTAATCCTGAGTTCTAATTTGATTGCACTGTGGTCTGAGAGACTGTTTCTTATGATTTCCATTCTTTTGTATGTGCTGAGGAGTGTTTTACTTCCAATTATGTGGTCAATCTTAGAATAAGTGCGAAGTGGTGCTGAGAAGAATGTGTATTCTGCTGATTTGGAGTGGAGAGTTCTGTAGATGTCTATTAGGTCTGCTTGGTCCAGAGCTGAGTTCAAGTCCTGAATATTCTTGTTAATCTTCTGTCTCGTGGATCTGTCTAATATTGACAGTAGGGTGTTAAAGTCTCCCACTATTATTGTGTGGGAGTCTAATTCTCTTTTTAGGTCTCTAAGAACTTGCTTTATGAATCTGGATGCTCCTTTATTGGGTGCATATATATTTAAGACAGTTAGCTCTTCTTGTTTCATTGATCCCTTTACCATTATGTAATGCCCTTTTTTGTCTCTTTTGATCTTTGTTGGTTTAAAGTCTGTTTTATTAGAGACTAGAATTGAAATCCCTCCTTTTTTTGCTTTCCATTTGCTTGGTAAATATTCCTCCATCCCTTTATTTTGAGCCTATGTGTGTCTTTGCATGTGAGGTGGGTCTCCTGAATACAGCACACCAATGGGTCTTGACTCTATGCAATTTGCCACTGTGTGTCTTTTAATTGAGGCATTTAGCCCATTTACATTTAAGGTTAGTATTGTTATGTTTGAATTTGCTCCTGTCATTATGATGCTAGCTGGTTATTTTGCCCGTTAGTTGATACAGTTTTTTCATAGTGTCAATTGTCTTTACAATTTGGTATGTTTTTGCAGTGGCTGGTACTGGTTTTTCCTTTCCATATTTAGTGCTTCCTTCAGGAGCTCTTGTAAGGCAGGCCTGGTGGTAACAAAATCTCTTAGCATTTGCTTGTCTGTAAAGGATTTTATTTCTCCTTCACTTACGAAACTTAGGTTGGCTGGATATGAAATTCTGGGTTGAAAATTCTTTTGTTTCAGAATGTTGAATATTGGCCTCCACTCTCTTCTGGCTTGTAGGGTTTCTGCAGAGAGATCTGCCGTTAGTCTGATGGGCTTCCTTTTGTGGGTAACCCGACCTTTCTCTCTGGCTGCCCTTAACATTTTTCCTTCATTTCAATTGTGGTGAATCTGATGATTATGTGTCTTGGGGTTGCTCTTCTCGAGGAGTATCTTTGTGGTGTTCTCTGTATTTTCTGAATTATGTTGGCCTGTCTTGCTAGGTTGGGGAAGTTCTCCCGGATAATATCCTAAAAAGTGTTTTCCAACTTGTTTCCATTCTCCCCGTCACTTTCAAGTACACCAATCAAACAGGTTTGGTCTTTTCACATAGTCCCATATTTTTTGGAGGCGTTGTTCATTCCTTTTCATTCTTTTTTCTCTAATCTTGTCTTCATGCTTTATTTCATTAAGTTGGTCTTCAGTCTCTTATATCCTTTCTTCTGCTTGATCTATTTGGCTATTGATACTTGTGTATGCTTCACAAAATTCTCTTGCTGTATTTTTCAGCTCCATCAGGTCATTTATGTTCTTCTGTAAACTGGTTATTCTAGTTAGCAATTCATCTAACCTTTTTTCAAGTTTCTTAGCTTCCTTGCATTGGGTTAGAACATGCTTCTTTAGCTCAGAGGAGTTTGTTATTACCCACCTTCTGGAACCTACTTCTGTCAATTCGTCAAACTCATTCTCTGTCCAGTTCTGTTCCCTCGCTAGTGAGAAGTTGTGATCCTTTGGAGGAGAAGAGGCATTCTGGTTTTTGGAATTTTTAGCCTTTTTGTGCTGGTTTTTCCTCATCTTCGTGGATTTATCTACCTTTGGTCTTTGATGTTGGTGACCTTTGGATGGGGTTTCTGTGTGGACATCCTTTTTGTTGATGTTGATGCTATTCCTTTCTGTTTGTTAGTTTTCCTTCTAACAGTCAGACCCCTCTGCTGTGGGTCTGCTGGAGTTTGCTGGAGGTCCACTCCAGACCATTTGCCTGGGTATCACCAATGGAGGCTGTGGAACAGCAAAGATGTCTGCCTGTTCCTTCATCTGGAAGCTTCTTCCCAGAGGGTCACCTGCCAGATGCCAGCCGGAGTTCTCCTATATGAGGTGTCTGTTGATCCCTGCTGGGAGGTGTCTCTCTGTCAGGAGGCACCCACTTGAGGAGGCAGCCTGTCCTTTAACAGAGCTCAAGTGCTGTGCTGGGAGATCCACTGCTCTCTTCAGAGCCGGCAGGCAGGAACATTTAAGTCTGCTGAAGCTGCACCCACAGCTGCCCCTTCCCCCAGGTGCTCTGTCCCAGGGAGATGGGAGTTTTATCTATAAGCTCCTTACTGAGGCTGCTGCTTTTCTTTCAGAAATGCCCTGCACAGAGAGGAGGAATCTAGAGAGGCTGTCTGGTTATAGTGGCTTTGCAGTGCTGCGGTGGGCTCCGTCCAATCCAAACTTCCTGGCGGCTTTGTTTACACTGTGAGGGGAAAACCGCCTACTCAAGCCTCAGTAATGGTGGACGCCCCTCCCCCCACCAAGCTTCAGTGTCCCAGGTCGACTTCAGACTGCTGTGCTGGTAGTGAGAATTTCAAGCCAGTGGATCTTAGTTTGCTGGGCTCCGTGGGGGTGGGATCTGCTGAGCTAGACCACTTGGCTCCCTGGTTGCAGCCACCTTTCCAGGGGAGTGAACGGTTTTGTCTCACTGGTGTTCCAGGAGCCACTGGGGTAGGAAAAAAAAAGTACTCCTGCAGCTAGCTCAGTGTCTGCCCAGATGGCTGCCCAGTTTTGTGCTTGAAACCCAGGGCCCTGGTGACATAGGTACCCGAGGGAATCTCCTGGTCTGTGGATTGTGAAGACCATGGGAAAAGTATAGTATCTAGGCTGGAGTGCACCGTTCCTCACGACACAGTCCCTCATGGCTTCCCTTGGCTAGGGGAGGGAGTTTCTTGACCCCTTGTGTTTCCCGGGTGAGGCGACACCCCATCCTGCTTCTGCTCGCCCTCCATGGGCTGTACCCACTGTCTAACCAGTCTCAATGAGATGAGCCAGCTACCTCAGTTGGAAATGCAGAAATCAGCTGCCTTCTGCATTGATCTTGCTGGGAGCTGCACACCAGAGCTGTTCCTATTCGGCCATTTTGCCAGCCTCCCCTCCAGTTTTCTTTTTTTATTTTATTTTATTTTTTTATTTTTATTTTTTGAGATGGAGTCTTGCTGTGTCCAGGCTGGAGTGCAGTGGTATGATCTCAGCTCACTGCAACCTCTGCCTCCTCGGTTCAAGTGATTCTCCTACCTCAGCTTCCCGAGTAGCTGGGATTACAGGTGTGTGGCACCACTCCTGGCTAATTTTTGTATTTTTAGTAGAGAAGGGGTTTCACTATGTTGGCCAGGATGGTCTCGATCTCTTGACCTCATGATCCACCTGCCTTGGCCTCCCAAAGTGCTGGGATTACAGGTGTGAGTCACCGTGCCTGACTGCAATCGAGTTTTCAATTGTTTTGGAACTGTTAAAGATTCAACTTTGAAAGGTATTGTCTTCTTATTTAAATTAGCTGGGGCAATTTGATCTTTCATAGCCGAAGAGAGCTAACCATGCTGGTTGGGTGAAAGTTTCCTCCCTATTCCAGATTGCTTCTTTTCCTGGGAAAGTTGCATAAGAACTCCCTTCCGCGCTCTGTCACCTGCTCACTCACCTTTTGACAGATAAAGAAAACTTGTCTTCTGTGTGAATTTGGAAGGATGCAAATCAGTACCCACAGTCCTGCCTGCCTGCTTCTGCCTGTCTGTCTGTGTCACTTGGCCTGATCTGTCTGCTCTCTCCACTCCTCTCTATGTCACAAGACCAGGCCCTCACTGGTGGTTCTGGCTGCCTATGGCTGGATAGGGTCATCTCATTCTCAGTGTTTTCTAATGTAGAGGGTGGCCGGTATTAGGAAACTCTCTTGTCCAAATGTGGACCACATTCTCTGACATCAACTTGACCAACTTGACCACATTCTCCAACGTCAATTTGATCAACTTGATAAGAGGCTGAGGATATGATTTAGCTTCTTACCTGCTCACTCACTGTCTTTCTTCTTGGTTCATGCAGCCAAAGTGTGAAGTGTGTAATTGTTATAGGCCTCCCCCTTAGCATTCTCAATTGCTCTCATACAGAATGGGCTTCGAATTAACTTTCCTTGCTAAAGATGGGTGAGAACTACTTTCTTGTTGAAGAGAGAGACAAGGGACTGAAAAGGATTTCAATGGTAAAATTCTAAGGGACTGTAGTTATAGGATGTTAAGTCCAGTCTGGTGGAATCTGCTGGTGGAAAGGATTCCAGACTTGGGTCAGCAGGACCTTGGTTCTTATCCTGGCCAAGGCACTCGTTATGACTGCATTTGCTTGTGCTGAGCCTCAGTTTACTTTTCCAGAAAATGGGATCAGTTTTCATTCTAAAGTTTAGTATGACAAATTGACACACTTTGTGCCTTTAGGGCAGAGTAATATCTACTTATAACTTTAAAATGGGATTCATGAAGATAAATATATAGGAGAGTATAGATGAAAAGTCAGGAACACACAGGATATCATCAAGAAATTTTGAAGTGAAATCCTATCATTGTAAAAAATCTAAAGTTTACTTCTTCTGGTGATGATAATGTAGGCAAAATATGGAATAACAAAAGGATCAAAGTCGACTTCAGATTCAAGCTCCATCATATTCTAACTATGTAACCTGGAAAAACAAATTTACCTCTGGGAGCCTTGTCTTTCTCACTTGATTATAGGAAGGCTTCCCATGCTGGTTGCTGTGAGGATTACATGAGGCAAATGTCCAGATTTCTGCTGTTCAGTAGACACTAAATAAATACTGGTTGATCTTTCTTTTATTTTTTCTGTACTACTATACCTCTTATGCTATGAGCTACTCCCAGGAAGGATTAACCTTCAGCAATTGTCTTTTTAGATGCTGCCTACAGCCCAGGACAGTGGCTATTCTGAGTGGCTGGGTGTGATAGGGTACATTACACATCTCAGTGCATACCTGGACGCCGTGTTCACTCAACTCTATCATCTTCCATTTGATGATCTCATTTATATTTCTCTATAGGGCCAAAGGTATCAAAACTAAATTTAATTACAGATTAGGCTCTGCCAGGTCCCAGCACTGGATATTTCTAACCATGACCTGAGTATATGGAAAGGAGACCGTGTGTATGAGGTTTGCGGATGACACATAGCTGAAACCAGTGGCTCGTGTCTAGATAATTGGGTCTGAATCAATGGAATGGATCTGAGGATCCAGAGTGCACACAGAATTCGTACATTTGGTGGGCAGGGAAGCTGTAAGAGGCCTCTAGTCCTGCGTGAGCCATGGGAACCACGGCCTCTGAGGTCTCTTTCTAACTCTGAGCATCTGTGATCCTCTGAAGTATCCAGAAACCAAGAGGAGGATGCCTGGATATCTCAAAGTCTAGTCAGTAGATCTAAACAGAAAAGCTCAGATGTACACAGAGAACCATGGCCCACATAGCTACATGGTGCTGGAGGGCTGCTGAGTCACCTGAGGAAGTAAAGGAGGCTTCCATTAACTCGATCACTGCCTTCAGAGGCCACATTGCTTGCCTGTCTTCCTTGCTGCCTCTGCAGTAGCCACAGTGTCCTGCTTTCCCTTCCTTGAGCAGGTCAAGGTCATCCCTGCCTTCAGGACCTTCACCCATGCTGTTCCCTATGCCTGGAGCTCTCTTCTTTCAGATTTTAGCACAGCTGCCTTCTTCTCATTCAGGTCTCAGTTCAAAGGTGCCTTCCCTGACCATCTGTATTAGTTTCCTCTTGTCACTGTAACAAATTACCACAAATTGAGTGGCTTAAAACAACACAGATCTATCACGTTACAGTTCTGGAAGGCAAAAGTGCAAAATGGGCCTCACTGGGCTAAAATCAAGAGACCAGCAGGGCTGTCTTCTTTCTGGAGGCTCTAGGGGAGAACTTGTCTCCCCTTGCCTTTTCTAACCTTAAGGCTGCTCACATTTCTTGGCTCGTGGTGCCTTCTGCCTTCTTCAAAGTCAGAAATGTCATTTTGACCTCTGCTTTCATTCTCATCACTCAATTGTCAACTCTCCTACCTCCTTCTTTCACTTATTAGGACTCTTCTGGTTGCATTGAGCTTGTCCAGATAATCCAGAATAATCTCTCCATCTCAAGATCTCAATTTAATCACATTAGGAAAGTCATTTTTGCCATATAATGTATTGATAGGTTCTGGGCATTAGGACATCTTCAGGAGACCCTTATTCTGCCTTTCGTACCACCCACCAATGGTATCTCATTCCTCTCTCTTTGTTCTTAAATATTACAATATTTGGGGATGAGGTAGAATTAATTTTATCTGTTAACGCATCACCCTAGTTATTTGCCCCTTTGGGGTAATTATCTGGCCGCCAGTCAGTAATAAGAAGCAGAAATCTAACAGACCACACAGATTTATCAAAACTATCAAGAAGATTGATCCAGGACCATCCTAATAGAATCGATCAAATAGCTGTAGTGATTTACACATGTTTTAAGGCAAATGAAAACCCACAGTTCTGGAAATTAACAGAACATCAGTGAAGTTTTAATTTTCTGCCATTCATTTTTACCACCTTGGGACTGATTATAATTTTTTCTGAATTATAATAAAAGGAAAATATGCCTTCCTAGAATCAAGGTCTAAAAATCAAAATTTCTATGAATCTTGACATAGCAGTGTTGGTGTGTTTTGCTTTGTTTGAGTAAGCTTTATAAAGTTAGAGTTATAGTTAACCTCATTGACTGACAGTTGGCCAGTTTTGTATATTAAACAGTTGAATCTATGGTTAAATACAGTTAAACTATTGAATTAATGATATTTTGCAGTTGAGAAATAGGCAAATAGGCTATTTTAGATTTATGCATTCAATCAGGAATCAGTGGCTCTTTATTGTCAGGCATTGAGTGTAGTTCTGGAATATAAAGGTTAATGAAACATACCCTGCCTTTGGGAGCTTGTAATCTGAGGGCAGGTTTGAATATATGATGAGTCACCGTAAGGCTTTGCACAGCCACCTCTAGACAACCAGGGAAAGGGAAAGTAACTCATCCTGGGGCCAGAGGTATAGATGGATGTCTTGGGCCTCTTCCTTTAACAATAGATGGAATTTAATAATGGTTAAAGAAATGTATCAAATGATTATATTATATGGGCAGTTCTTATTATACAAATAGGTTGGCTCTTTGGTTCTCATTTTTGTATAAACCAAGATGTTTAAAAAATAAAATTAATTAATATCTCTCCTTATCCAGATCCCCACCTCACTCCTTAAAGGTAACTACTGTTAGACATTTATTGCATATTCTTCTAGATGCATCAGTCAATAGATAAGTTCCTATTTTCTCCTGTACAAATGAGAGTTTTATACACACTCTTCAACATATTGCTTTTATTGTAACAGTATATCCTGAAGGTGCACCCACACTACCTTATGCAGATCTACGACACTTTTTAAAATGTCACATGGTATTTCCATTCTTTAGCATCTCCAAAATTTATTTAATCAGACCCCCATTGATAGATAATACATTTGAGGGGTTTTGCTATTTAAAGCAATACTAGAATGAATATTCTATATATGCACCTGTCTTAGTTTGCTTGGGATACTATAACAAAATACCTTACAGTAAGTAATTGCTCACAGTTCTGGAGGCTGAGAAGTCTGAGAGCAAGGCACTGGCAGATCCAGTGTCTGACGAGGGCTCATTCCTCATAGATAGGGCCTTCTGGCAGTGTCTTCACATAGTGGAAGGGCAAGGTGGCTCTCTTGGGCCTCTTTTATAAGGACATTAACCTAGTTCATGAAGGCAGAGCCCTCATGACTTAATCACTTCCCAAAGACTACATCTCTTAATACCATCGCTTCGTTGATTAGTTTATTAGTTTGTTTTCATACTGTTATAAAGAACTGCCTGATACAGGGTAATTTATAAAGGAAAGAGGTTTAATTGACTCACATTTCAGCATGGCTGGGAAGGTCTCAGGAAACTTACAAGCACGGCAAAAGGCGAAGGGGAAGCAAGTCACCTTCTTCACAAGGTGGCAGGAAGGAGAAATGTTGAGTGAATAGGGAAGAACCCCTTATAAAACCATCAGATCTTGTGAGAACTCACTTTCATGAGAACAGCATGGGGGACCCGCCCCCATGATTCAGTTACTTCCACCTGTCTCTCCCTTGACATGTGGGGATTATGAGGATTATGGGGATTACAATTCAAGATGAGATTTGGGTGGGGACACAAAGCCTAACTGTATGGATTAGGCTGCAACATTTAAGCTTGGGAGTCACATACATTCAGATCATAGCAGCATCTTTGTGCTTATGTAAGAATATCAATAGTAGAAATTCTCAAAGATAAAATTGTCAAAGGGTTTTTGCATTTAATATTTTGATTTTGGTTGGTGATTATCTTTTAACTTTTCATGAGCATTTCATTATAAGTTGGCTTTTTGCCTTTTAGAACTTTTCCCCTTGGAAGCAATGGTGGTGGGGTCCAAGGGTAACTTGCAAATCCCACTGAATCCATAATTACCTTTAGTACATACTTGGAACACCAGGAATGCATCCTCTCCTTCTCAGGGAGGGATTGTGGCTAGATGTGGGGAAAGCATACTGATTGAGTGGAAAGAATGCTGTTGTGGAGTTTTGTGGTTGATAACTCAATTCTGTGAGTTGAGCTGTTTTGAATTCTAACTCAGGTATTTATCCCTGGGCCAGAAAACAAGGTCTCTGAGCCTTAGGCCTTGATAAATGGGATAGTAAATGTAACCAATATTGTTCAGTGACTGGTACATAGTAGATACTTAATAAATGATTACCTTAATTATTATCATCAGCTGTCTTTCTCTTTGAACAACTAAAAGTCTCTGGGCATCTGCTGAAAATGAAATTTCCCATCTCTGATGGAACCTGGGTAAACTAGATACTTTTGGGTTAATAACCAATTTGCTGCAAGTACAGAATATTATAGGACCACAGGCATTATACAGATAGGTAGTTGTTATTGATGTGATTCGATCTTGACTTTTTTATTCCAAAAAATCTCATGAGGAGGAACATTCCATTGCCTCTCTGAAGAGCTCTGATGGATGTGTACAGCATAGGGAAATGCTTTTCATGCCTTTTGAGTGCAACCCACAGTAAGTAGTATGTTTTACATCTTGACGCTGCATGTAACACACAGCCTAATATACACACAAACACACACAACATAAAATAATACTTAACTTTTTATAAGTGTACAAACTCTGAAATAGTTCTCTAAATTTTTTTTTTTAAATGTGAGTCTGGCCCCATTACATTGATTTCTACAATCTACAGTTTGCAAAACATTCCTTATTGATTGAAGTGTGTGGCTTTAGAACCAGGGCACCTGGGCTTAAACTCAGGGGCTGCCACTTACTGTGTGTAACCCTGGGCACATAGCTTTCCTCTTAGAGTCTCAGTTGCTTCCTATATAAAATGAAGGCAATAATAGTGTCTACCTCAAAGCATTGTAGGAGGAATAGGTGAGTTAACGCCTTAACACTTAGTGTCCAGCACAAATGGAACCCTCAATAAATATCAGCTCTTACTAACCAAAATGATGAGCTAAACATCAAAATTTAACTATTAGACATAACTACTTGGGTGTCTTAAAGGTACTTCCAATTCATTTATTTGTTTATTCAACTTTTATTTTAGATTCAAGGAGCACATGTGCAGGTTTTTACCTGGGTACATTGTGTGATGCTGAGGTTTGGGATATGAATGATCCTGTCGCCCAGGTACTGACTATAGTCCCCATTAGTTTTTTAACCATTTCCCCCCTTCCTTTCCTTACTCCCTAGTAGTCCCTAATGTCTATTGTTGTGGCCTCTATATCCACAAGTACCTGATGTTCAGCTCCTATTTTTTTTTCTTTTTTAAGACAGGGTCTCACCCAGGCTGGAGTTCACTGGTGCGATCTCAGCTCACTGCACCCTTCGCTTCCCAGGCTCAAGCCATTCTTGTGCCTCAGGCTTCCAAGTAGCTGGGATTACAGAAATGTACCATGACACCTGGCTACTTTTTTTGTATTTTTAGTAGAGATGGAGTTTTTCCATGTTGGCCAGGCTGGTCTGGAACTCCTAAGATCAAAGCTATCCACCCACTTCGGTCTCCCAAACTGCTGGGATTACAGGTGTGAGCCACCGTGCCTGGCCAGCTCCCACTTATAAGTGAGAACATGTGGTGTTTGTTTTTCTGCTCCTATGTTAATTCACTTAGGATAATGGCCTTCAACTGCATCCATATTGCTGCAAATGACATGATTTCACTCTTTTTTTATGGCTGCATGGTATTCCATGCTGTATATGTACCACATTTTCTTTATTCAATCCATCTTTGATGGGCAGGCACCTTGGTTGATTCTGTATCTTTGCTATTGTGAATAGTGCTGCAGTGAACGTGCAAGTGCCTGTGCTTTTTTGGTAGAACAATTTGTTTTCTTTTGGATACATACCCAGTAATGAGATTGCTGAGTTGAATAGTGGTTCTAAATTCTTTGAGAAATCTCCAAACTGCTTTCCACAGTGGCTGAACTAATTTACATTTCCACCAACACCGTGTTCCCTTTTTCCCTCAGCCTTGCCAATATCTGTTGTTTCTTGACTTTTTAATCATCGCCATTCTGACTGGTGGGACGTGATTATCTTATTGTGGTTTTGATTTGCATTTCTCTGATAATTAGTGATGTTGAGCATTTTTTCATGTTTGTTGGCCACTTACATGCTTTCTTTTAAGAAGTGTCTGTGCATATCTCCTGCCCACTTTTGAATGAGGTTATTTGGTTTTTGTTTGTTCAATTGTTTAAGTTTCTTACAGATTCTGGGTATTAGACCTTTCTTGGATGCATCATTTGCGAATATTTTCTCCTCTTCTGTCGGTTGTCTGTTTACTCTGTCAATAGTTTCTTTTGCTGTGCTCTTTAGTTTAATTAGGTCTCACTTGTCAATTTTTGCATTTGTTGCGATTGCTTTTGAGGATTTAGTTATATGTTCTTTCCCAAAGCCCATGTCCAGAATTGGTACCTCCAATTTAACATGTATAAAACCAAACTCAGAATCTTCCTCTCAAATCTGGTCGTCTCACTCGGCTACAGCACCTCATCCATCCAACGATAAAAGCCAGGAAACCAGGAATTGGCCTCCTGGTTTCTCTCCCCTCATTGGCCTATCTGTACAAGCTGCATTTAGTCTGGTTGATTCCCCCCTAACACAGCACTCACATCCATTCCCCTCTCTCTGTCTCCATGCCCATCACCATAGGTCAAGTTACCACTAACCCTGCCCCGTCCTACAGGAGCCTCTGAACCAGCCTCTGTCCTTGCTCCTCAAACCCTTTCTTCATGCACAGCCAGAAGGATCTTTTCAAAGTGCAAATTGGAACACTCAGACCCTCCCTCCCACTGTTTCCAACACTGACTGTGCCAAGCTCCTATTAAAATAAATAAGTTACTAAAGACCCAAGGCCACACTGCCCTATCCTTCAAGGAGATCCCTTCTCCTTGCTGCAGCCACTCTCTGCCTCTCTCTCAAGCAGTCATGCTGTTCTTCCAGCCCTTGTTCTTCTCCCTCACCCCCCTCCCACAGGCCTGTGCTCACTCTGGTTCTTTGCCTGTGCAGTCTCCCCTCTGCTCTTGCCCGTCCCTGGTTAGTGCCCACTCATAACCTAACTCCGTAAGGGCTCCTGTTGTGCAAGCTCTCTTGGCAGTCAGTGAGGTAAAATATCTCCTGTCCTCCTGCTGCACTGAAGAGCTCGTCCCTTGTAGACATAGCACAGTTGTACTTTTACTTTGTTTTGGGGATCATTTGCCTGATCCCTGCATCCCTCAGAAAACTGGGGACTACATGAGCCTACTTTTCTCTCTATTTTCCCTTGCTTTCCATCCCTGTCACTCAGCACTGTGCCTGGCACATAGTAGGTCCTTAATTAATGTGCTCAGTGAATGGATCCCCATAAAGGAGACGATCTCTTTCATTCCCTTTTCGCATTCATTCCTCTTCCAGAGATTAACAAGAGTTGTTAATCTTTTTCAATCTCACTGACTGCTTTGATTGTCCTGCTAACCTTTAACTATAGAAAACAAAGTAATTTGACATCCCTCCTCACAATTGTTCTAGGCAACAAGTAGTCTTAAAAATTCTTAAGCTAAGTAACATCTTCTTAAGAAACAGTCTTTTTAAAAATAACATAGGTATTTTTAACTTGCTCTTTTTAAAAATAACTTGCTCTTTTTAAAAATAACATAGGTAAGCAAATTAACTAGTGTAGCTACATTCATCTAGGTAAATTAAAAAATAGATATGGGCTATGTATTTTAGATGCAATATGTAAATTGACTGGAGTCTCTTTTTGGCAGAGTGGAGGTGGGTCTGATTTTATTCTCAGCTTGGCCACTGACTGTCTGCCTCACCTTGAGCAACTGCTCCAAGTTTAGCACCTCTGCCTAGCTCAAGGTGTTTGTTTAGGGCCAACTGAAATGCTTAATGCAAAAGCACTTTGGAAAATACAACACCTCAAACAAATCTAGTTTAAAAACATGAAAATGATCTGTCAGACTCACAAGCGTGACATTTTTCTTGAGCAGCTCGTGCACATGCATTCCTGGTCATGCACCTGCTGGGGCTGATGAGATGAACCCATCTGGCATATTCTGGTTCACAATTCTTCCCAGTGCCATGCTGTAGCAAACATAGTCAACAATTCATGTGATGAGACTCCTGGGATGCAGCAAAGCAATGACTTATGAGGATAGCATCTGGACTGAGAGATGGTGGTTGCAGGCACCTGGCATAGATAAATTTGCTGTCTCTCAGACCTAGCGTTGGACTTAGCCAGATCCATCCCAGCTACTAAACCAATTAGCCTGTAAAGCAGCCACAGTCATTTGTATCAAAAAAGTTTTAGATGACAGTGAGGTGGAATCTAGCTTTAAAGAAAAGGGCAGGGGGAGAGAGGAAAGCAGAGCTTTTAGGAGAAATCTTGAGAAAGTTTTTCCAAAAGTCCGAACAGCTTGGAATACAGAGTTTTGGGAAACGGAGCAGATGGTCATAAATGCAAGCAGTCAGACCTGGGACACTGCACTGAGCACATAGCCCAGTATGGTTGTTTTTTTCACTTTAGTGGCCATGTGGTTGTGCACTCACTGTGTATACACAATTGATGTGATGTGTAGGTTAATGCTATGAAGCTTATGCGTAGACTGCAAGAACTCATCAAGAACTCATGTGATCTTCCATAGTGATCAGATCTGAGCACTCTACCGAGTTGGAGGAGAAACATAGTACTGGCTGCCCTTGTGTTGATGCTAAATGGATGTTATAACATACTCTGCTGAGTGTTGGACTCCTGCCTGCAACTGAATTTTTTAGAGAATGTTATAATACTTGGAAATGAAGTGAATCACGCTTGCTTTTTCAGCCAGAAAAATGAGTTGTCTCTCTCAGTGCACACCAGGTATTGCCAAATGAGATGGCTGCAGATTTGGGGATTGAGCCTTGGTTCTGCTTTCCCCAAACACCTTCTCCCTTCCATCGTGACTGTTTCTGGTGATTTATGTTACTCAGTCTGCCTGTATGTGAGTTGGCTTAAATGAAGCAGTCAATGCAGTAATGGTCATTTAGTTTTACTAAGCTCCGTGGGCCTTATGAGCTCAGGCAGGCAGACTCAAATGACAAACCAGGCTTCAAAGGTTTTGGTGAAATATTCAGGAGGGTCTGGATGCAAACTCAGAAATCACATTATTCATCTGTTCTCAGATTCTCAGGAAGCATCCAGGATGGGCACGTGGGTCATTTTTCTGTTAGCTTCTAGAAAGTGGGTCTGCAGGCCTGGCCCCCTGTTTGGGTGTCTATCTGTGCTCTTCTTCAGACTGACTGCAGCTTTTCAAGGTAAGGAATAGCTAATTGTGATTCTTAGATCTATGATGACTGAAGATACAGCTAAGATGAAGGTGTGAGTATCCAGAGGCCACAAATACTCTCAACGATAATGGACAGTGAGAAGAGTCCTGTGGATTTCATGGAAAGACAGGCTCATTTCCATTTCCACTAACCTCTGAATCTCATTTGCAGGCACTTGGAATTCTACCATGAAAATGATGTCCTGGTGTGGGTGGGGAAGTGTGGAATGGTGGTGGTGGTGGTGTGAGTAAAGTAGAGAAAGCATCCTTTTTTCCATATGAGTTCAGCTTCTGTTTGGTCTTACCTAGCTCTTTAAAATTTCCACAATTTCTTTTCAAATCTTGTATACGCTATCTAGATAGTTTCATTTGGGTGCAGATCTATAAACAGGAAGTAACTTGATGTTCTTGACCTACGCCAATCACAGAGATTACATTGTGTCCTTCCAGTTTTTCCTGCTAATACAGGTTGGTGCTTTTAGGAAGGACACAGGGCCATGCTCAGTAATCCTCAGCTCAGAGCATGTGCCTTAGGGAACAGCATGTGACCCTTTATCCTTCCCTCCTCCACCACCACAGCTGGTCCTCTTTAGGGACCACCACCACATGTCCAGGAGTGGACTCTTTAACTTTTTTAGAAAGTTGAAACTTTTTTTTTTTAACTTTTTAGAAAGTTGAAACTTTTTTTTTGACTTTTTAGAAAGTTGAAACTTTTTGTTTAACTTTTTAGAAAGTTAAAACTTTTTTTTAACTTTTTAGAAAGTTAAAACTTTTTTTTAACTTTTTAGAAAGTTAAAACTTTTTTTTAACTTTTTAGAAAGTTAAAACTTTTTTTTAACTTTTTAGAAAGTTAAAACTTTTTTTTAACTTTTTAGAAAGTTAAAACTTTTTTTTTAAACTTTTTAGGAAGTTAAAACCTTTTTTTAACTTTTTAGAAAGTTTAACTTTTTAGAAAGTTAAAAAGTTTTAAATGTTTTAAAAACATGTTTCCTAACTCATGCTGCAGCAAGCCAATGGGGTATATGTTGTTATTTCCATTTTACAAACAAAGAAACCGAAGCTCAAGGAGATCAAGTAAATGTAGGAGCTGGATTGAAAGCAAGGTTGGTGTGATCCCAAGGCTGATACTATTTCCACTCTTATGCTGGAAGATGATCCTACAAATGTCTTCTTTAAATAATGTATTGCATATTTCTTTATTGGAAAAGGAATACATTCTTATTTTTAAAAATCTGGAAAAGACTCAGACATATACAGAGGAAAATAATCATTTTTAATCCTGTCTTTTAGAGATCACTGTTGTTAGTATGTTGCTGTGCAAAGGCCAAGACCTCAGATTCTGACTTGTATCAGAGGCATTCACTCCAAGTGATGTCAGTTCTCTAGGCCTCCTTTGTAAAGTGGGGAGAGAGAATAATGTATCTTCTGGTGGTTATAATGATTAAATGAGCTGTTTTTAAAGAGCTTAGTTTATAATAAGAAATCAATATATGTTTGCCATCATTATCATACTATCCTTTTGACCTTTTCAATGTGTATATAGACATTTTAAACTCATAAGATATTGTGAAATTATTGTACTGTCCAAGTAGATCCTGTTTGGTAACATGCTTTTATTCTTTTGTTGTTTAGTGGATATCTTTTCATCTCACTGAGTGTTAAATATTTAGATTTTTATTTTTTGACTTTAATAAATTATGCTGTTGCTGGTGGAATGGAGAGAGAGTATGGGGTGAGGGAAGTCTAGCTATATTTGTGTGTGTGTGTTTTTTCTTCTTTTGAGACAGGGTCTCACTCTGTTGCCCAGACTGGAGTGTGTTGGTGTGATCTTGGCTCACTGCAACCTCCATCTCCCAGGTTCAAGTGATTCTCTAGCCTCAGCTTCCTGAGTAGCCAGGACCACAGGCATGTGCCACTATGCCTGGCTAATTTTTGTATTTTTTGTAGAGAAACGGTTTTGCCATACTGCTCAGGCTGGTCTCAAACTCCTAAGCTCAAAACAATCTGCCTGCCTTGGCCTCCCAAAGTGCTGGGATTACAAGCATGAGCCACCATGCCCAGCCATATTTTATTTCTTTTTAAAAAACTATCTGAAAAAAAATCTAAAGAAAAATGGTAAAATATTAACATTATTAACTGAGCAGTGAGTACATGGTTGTCTGTGTGATTTTCTGAGCCTTTTTCTAAATATGGAATAGGTGATAACATTGAAAAATTGTGATATGAAGATAAGCATCTTCACACATAAGGCTTTATGCATTTCCTGAGCTACTTCCCCAGCATAAATCCTAAAATGGGAATATCTGGGTCAGAGCATATGCTAATTAGTAAATGAAACGGTTATGTATCAACTTGTAGTCCTTATTTCTGGGTACCCTTCCAACTGTGGTTATAATTTTAAAGTAATATTTGGGAGCTGATAGAGGAATTGTACTTTTTTGTAATTCTGAAGCCAAGTAATTTTCTATTTGTATTTTTTTGATGAATTCCTCCTTATATCCTTTGTTTTTCTGTGGCATATTTCTGGTTTTTCTTTTTTTGTTTGATGGAGTCTCACTCTGTTGCCCAGGCTGGAGTGCAGTGGTGCAATCTTGGCTCACTGCAACCTCCGCCTCCCGAGTTCAAGTGATTCTACTGCCTCAGCCTCCCGAGTAGCTGGGATTACAGACATCCACCACCACGCCCAGCTAATGTTTGTATTTTTAGTAGAGATGAGGTTTTACCATGTTGGCCAGGCTGGTCTCAAACTCCTGACCTCAAGTGATCCACCTGCCTCAGCCTCCCAAAGTGCTGGGATTACAGCCGTCAGCCACTGTGCCCGGCCTGTAGTTTTTCTTAGTTATTCTTAAGAAGTCCTTATGTAGTAAGGATATTAACCCTGGGTCTGGATAATCCGTAGAAAATAAGCCTTCCAAGTTTGAATGGCCCTTAGGTTTTAAGTTATCTATGCAAAGATGAAAAAGGCCTTCTCATTCTCAAAGGTGACAACTCATACCCAGCCATTTGCTTATTTTTGCCTGCAGACCTCCAATGGAAGTCCGGGCACATGGCGGAGAGCCTCACCAACATGCCACGGCACTCCCTCTACATCATCATTGGAGCCCTCTGCGTGGCCTTCATCCTTATGCTGATCATCCTGATCGTGGGGATTTGCCGCATCAGCCGCATTGAATACCAGGGTTCTTCCAGGCCAGCCTATGAGGAGTTCTACAACTGCCGCAGCATCGACAGCGAGTTCAGCAATGCCATTGCATCCATCCGGCATGCCAGGTTGGCTGTGGGGGCGGCGTGGGGAATGCTGCCTTCACATGTGCATTCTTGGGAACAGGGTCATATTATACACAGGACTTTCCATTTGCAAAGAGGAGATTTTAAAGAATGGAAAATAGGTTCCACATTGTATTTGGGGATAGATCATTCGACCACTTGATAAGCAAACTCCTTTTAATTTGCTGCTAGCTTTTCCTTTTGCTTTGTTTTGTTTACATTGAATATATTTGTTCATCTAATTTGGGTTGCTCTGTGACTATAAATATCTGATTCGTAATCGCTGTATATTGAAAACTTTTTTTGTTGAATTTTTTTGGGGAATGTCTTTTGCCCTGTTGCTCTTCAAACAGTCAACATATAAATGATTTCATTTGACGTAAGGGCCTAGCAAAAGAAGGATAAAGAGCTATCTTTCTACTTTTAGAGTGAATATTTATAAATCAGTATCCTTTTCTGGAAGAAGGACTCCAGAGGGACAAGGAGTTAGTGTGGTGTCATAGAAAGAGTGTAAGTTCTGGTGAGGTATAGCTTTGAGTCTTAATGACTCCGTTACCTGACTCGGTAGTTTAGACGGATCTTTTAACTTTCCACAAATATAGCTCCCTCAACTGTATAAAGGGATAACTCTCCCTCCTTGGAGAGTCATGACAGTCATATTAAATTACAAATATATATACTTTTTCCTTCAACTTTTGTTTTAAGTTCTGGGATACATGTGCAGGATGAGCAGGTTGGTTACATAAGTAAACTTGTGCCATGGTGACTTGCTGCACAGATCAACCCATCACCTAGGTATTAAGCCCAGCATCCATTACAAATATTAAAGATGGTATGAACAGAAAACCCCATATTTACTTCTCCAAATCTATTATATAACATTAAACAATCAACTAAGATAACATTTTACTGACTTTTGCAGAGTATGTGTTCCAAAAATAGCAATATTGTTTGTTGAAGTAAGCCATCTCTTCTTTTGTTAATTGAATAATCTCAAGCACACAATTCAGAAAGTAAGTGTGCTGTAGTGAAAAGTGGGCTGAGCTTGGTGCCTTAAGATTGGGGCTCAAGGGAAATGGGTGCTATATGATCTATCTTGGGATGTCCTATGTTGGTATCGGTCAAGACATGAGAAGACCTGGCTGGGTGTGCTGCCTCACGCCTGCAATCCCAGCACATTGGGAGGCCAAGGCAGGTGGATCACTTGAGGTCAGGAGTTCTACACCAGCCTGGCCAACTTGGTGAAACCCTGTCTCTACTAAAATACAAAAATTAGCCAGGCATGGTGGCGGGTGCCTGTAATCCTAGCTACTCTGGAGGGTGAGGAAGGAGAATCGCTTGAACCTGGGAATCGGAGGTTGCAGTAAGCTGAGATGGCACCACTGCACTCCAACCTGGTCGACAGATAGAGACTCTGTCTCAAAACAAAAACAAAAATCCCTGGGTTTTCTATCTCAACAGCACATATCCACATCCTTTCTCTTTTCTGTCCTTTTCATCTCCGTCTTGTTTCCATCAAGGACTTTTTATTATCTGACCTGGGCAGGCCCGTAGAGGTTGAGCATCCTTCCTGGGTACTGTCTCTGTGACTCCTCCTCATTTCCAAAGTTCCAAATCAGGCAGCCTAAGAGTCAGCTGCAGTCACCTTCACAGCTGTGCTCCTTTGGGACACGTCTGCCCTTCTTCACTGAGATTTTTATCCTTCATCAATGGGTTCTGTGTTTCTTTTGAATTTCTACTTAGCTTTTACTAGGTACATATTGGGAAAGTGTAGCTTCAGATTCTGGTTACAGTGGGAATGATAAGAAGTAAAAGTGAAATATCATGAATGTTTTCTTATATCTACCTAAATGTATCATAACAGCAACGACAAAGATAAGCACTGTAATCCCAGCTACTCTGGAGGCTGAGGCAGGAGAATCACTTGAACCCACGAGGTGGAGGTTGCAGTGAGCTGAGATGACACCACTGCACTCCAGCCTGGGTGACAGAGCAAGACTCTACCTAAAAAAAAAAAAAAAAAAAAAAAAAGAGAGAGAGAGACATGAGAAAACCCAAATTATTCTATCTGAATGGCATAGAAGCTAAGAGGTTCGAAGAGTTTGCTTTCTCCAAAAGAAATTCCCCAAACCCAATTCTCAGATCTTACAGTGATCTTGTCATTCTAATAGAAGCAAAAGCCAGAACTCAGCTTCCATGGGGAGGAGCCAGTGGGAGGGAGAACTTGGGAGACCCTGAGCATCTGCACCAGTGCTGAGGTGGGAGCTGCACCCAGTCTTGCTTATGTAACTGCGAGGGAGGACAGAGAACTCAACCCTCCTCCAGCTTGGACCCTGCATGGCTGCTCATCTTAGCGCCTTCCTTTCAGAGCGAACTGAGGCAATACAACAACCAGGAAGCCCTGATACCAACCCTTGCAAGCCCCACCTTAATTGTTTATTTGACTCTTTATGCCACTACCCTGTAAATAAAGGGTAGTAGCTTTTATTTCTATGTCTCCAGTGGGTCCTGGCAGGTAGTAGACCTCATTAACATTTGAGGTTTGAAATGAATGGATGATCTCAGTTAGGGGTTGGAATAGGGTGCCTTGACCGGCTTGAGAGGTAGACTCATCCCAGGGCACCAACTCAGTAAGTGGCCCCAGCCTAGAGGAACATTTGCAGTATCCTGAAATTACTGGATTGGAGATGAAGAACTTAAAAAGGAGCAGAGGAGGCCAGGCATGTGGCTCACACCTGTAATCCCAGCACTTTGGGAGGCTGAGGAGGGCGGATAATGAGGTCAAGAGATAGAGATCATCCTGGCTAACAAGGTGAAACTCCATCACCCCAGCCTGGGCGACAGAGGGAGACTCTGTCTCAGAAAAAAAAAAAAAAAAAAAAAAAAAAAAGCAGAGAATTGACAAGTTTCTTTGGTGCCCAAGAACCTTTTCTGTCCTCATCATTCCTGGAGGGGCTTTTTTACCAGGAGGGAGCAGAATCCATGGCATTGTATTCTCATGTGTTGGGAGACAATTAGGATTCCCTCTGCCCCTACAGGCATCCATGGCTACGATCCTTCAGGGCTCAAGTGGTGGAGTGTTTAACTCAGCCCCAAAATAGTTTAAGATAGATTCTGCTGAGCCTTCTGCTCATATGGCCCATGGGGAAGATATTTAACTGAATACTCTTGGAAGGAAAGAATAAACTTGAAAGCATTTACAAACCTGGCTCTTATTTGGTGCTGATTTATATCAAAAATATTTACTGCGGAATTCCTAACGGGCAAGCTCCTGCATGCACCAGTGACTGCAGATAAAACTATTGACATTAAAACAATACTTTCCCTTTAGGAAAACTTCTCTTCTGAACGTTTATTCAGCTCCAACCTGGGGTTTCTACAGCATGGCTGTGTAGAGGCCATGGCTGGGTCTCAGGCTGATTGGCCCTCTTTTCCTGGAAACCCTAGAAAGGCATTGGCAAAAACTTAGACCTTTTGATGTTATCCTCTCCATAGTTTTCAGCAGCCAGTGTCCATTTTATGGGCTGTCTCACTGCTACTATCCTGGAGGTGACATTGGATCAGAATGACTGCAGCCCAGCAGCCACACAGGGCACATGGAGTGGGTCACACGAGTGACTGAGGCTGTGTCGGGTGATTCTGATGTCAGAGTCTGTTGGTTGTAACTCCTAGTAGGGTTGAGAAGGAGACCCCTCCCTCTCTTCCTCATCCCAGGAGTCATCTGCAACATGCTTGCTTTGCTTGTACTCAGGCAGGGAAGAGCTTGTAACTGACCAGCAGGAGCAAAGCCAGGGTTCTCCAAGTTCTGACACTGAGGTCCCACTCAGTTGACTGCTCTACGAGCTAGAAGTGCCTGATCACGGGAAAAAGACAATGGAGGACATGTTCAGTTTTTTTCCCCAATAGCTCAAAACCTTCCAATTTTGGCCTTTCTCAAGATCTGACATTCTTTCTGCGGCATTGTTTTAGTGGTTGACTTTCAGAGGACCATGAACTAGCGGCTCTTTGACCTGCCTTATAACTGGTTACAGTATCTTTTGTTTCTTTGAAGAAATAGACACACAAGACTTGTCACCAAATAGGATGTTTGAGATGTCCGTGCTAACTGATATTACTGGTGCTGTCATTTCTGTTAGTGCCTCTGTGATGGCCAACACTTACTGAAAGCTTCCCGTGGGCCAGACACTGTGCTAAATCATTCACAAATAACTCATTGGCAAGCATCTCACAAGAATGTAGGGGACCATGTATCATTAGTCCCCCATTATAGGCAAAAGAAATTTGGGCTTAGTGAGATAATACAATTTACACAAGGGTCACAGAGTTTGTGAGAAAACCAGGACTTGTAAGTGAGATTTGTAAGCCAGAGTTTGTTAATGAGAAGGAGGATGTGCTGATTTGAAGGTGATGCCTTTCAATGCAGAAGTACATAGCCTCTTGTCAGGCACAGGTTAAGTGAGAGCTTCAGTTTATGGGGTCGTCACATGCATGAAGGTTGCAACGAAGTGTTCAGCATCTAGGCTTGGAAGCCAGAAAGCTCCACCTCCCACCAGGTGTGACCTTAGGAAAATTATTCCTAAGTGTCTGTTTCCTCATCTGTAATACAGGATAAATGAGATGTACTCACTTCACGAGGTTGTTATGATGATGAGATGAGATGATCAATCAGTGAAAACAAGACAATGGAATGTGATGTTGAGTGAGCACCAAGGACAATGGATGCATCACCCCTCGAGGGGCTAGGAAGGAGCCGCAGATGGAGCCACCACATTAGGGTATTTGAGCTATTTTTTCAGGAGGAGGGGGAGTGTGTCAACTCCTTCCCATCTTTTAAAGATCTGGCTTCCTCATGGACCATCAGCAGACATTTCCCAAGTGTCATGGTCTGTGGTCATGTCGTGGGCCATGAGCTACTTCAGGTGGGAACATGTTACTATGAACACTAAGTGTTCCACCCAGCCCGCCCCACCCAGCACAGAAGAAACATTTTCTTATTAATGTTTTAACTTGTAGGAATTTTTTTTTTTTACTTAACAAGAATGCTGAGTAAAACATTACACAGACTATCGATTGAAAAAAGTCAGTCTCAATACAGTATTCAGAGTATTTTCTCAATTTTGTTAAAATATGTAATATAATTATTATATATAATACTTTCAGAGGGGCTTCATACATATTTGTAAAATGAATGGAAGGGATGTGGGATTGAGGGATGGGCAGACTGAAGAATAATGCACAAAACATTGACACGTCCTTTGGAGAGCAGCACTAAGGGCGATTCTTGTGGTCTTCATCAGGGACCTGTAAAATGTTTTAGACTTTGCAGGCCATATTGTCCTGACTACTCAACTCAGCCTTTGTTGTGCAAAAGCAGCCAGAGGAAGTGTGAATAGGCTTGACTATGTTCAACTAAGACTTTATTTGAAAAACAGGCATCAGGCTGGAATTGGCCTGTGGACTATAGTTTGCTAACCCCTAGTCTATTTTATAATTTTCTCTAGCTTCCAATTTTATTTTGGTTTTTTTTTACATTTAAAATGTACCTTTATGATAAAAAGTAGTAGTTATTTTTAAAATGAACACTTGCATGAAAATGCCTGCAATAAAATAAACAGCCTCTGACATTGATTTAGTGCCTGAGATATTAAAAAAAAAAACACTGTTAGTCTTTTAAATGTAGACATGAATGCACATTCGTTTACCAACAAGTGTAAGCCTGCTACTGTGAGAGGTGTAGGAGATTCAAACAAAGTCTTTTCATTGTACTGTGTGTTTTAAAACTGTGGTGTTTCTATAAACGACGTCATTTTAGCTTCCATATGGTAGATACAGCATTTCAGGTGGAAACCTCCAAAATTCTCCTAAGGAATTTGGACAAAGTTCTCAGCAGCTAGTAAGTTGAAATGCAGGGATTCCAGCTCCAAGCCTGCCTGCTCTCTCTTCTGGTGCTGGGGCTATTAGTCTTATTTTAACCACCTTCGTAACTAGCATTATACTTTATGACCCATACTTGTTTGGAGTTAATCCCATTAGGACCGGGCCACACAGCTCAGTTAACCAGTGTGGACACAGAGTGGTGCTCCTTGCTCTTCAGTTGACCTTGAACATGCATAGGTGGCCATGTGGCTCACTCTTGAGAGGCATCAGCCCTTGCCTTGTCATACTCAGTGGATCTGTGGCTCACGCCTGTAATCTCAGCACTTTGGGAGGCCGAGGCGGGTGGATCACGAGGTCAGGAGATTGAGACCATCCTGGCTAACACAGTGAAACCCCGTCTCTACTAAAAATACAAAAAATTAGCTGGGCGTGGTGGCGGGCGCCTGTAGTCCCAGCTACTCGGGAAGCTGAGGCAGGAGAATGGCACGAACATAGGAGGTGGAGCTTGCCGCGTGAGCCGAGACCACGCCACTGCACTCCAGCCTGGGCAACAGTGCGAGACTCTGTCTCAAAAATAAAAAATAAAAAAAAGGATGTTTTAAAGATATATACAATTGGGTTTTTCCTTTCAGCCAACCAATCGAATAATTAGTTAGTTAATATAATTTGTTGGCCCTCAAGTCAAAGCTCTCTATATCCTACTATGTTAGATATGGAGAGCTCTTCACTGGGTTGCTGGATATTTTTGGTTAAATTATTATTAGTGGTGGTGTATCTAGGTATTTTATGAGAAATAAATTGTCAAAATGTTTGCATCTTAAAGCAGCCTAGGAAATTGTCAGACTTGGGAGAAAGTGTAAGACCCAACAGGCCTGTTGACACTTTTACTCTGTTGACACTTTTCCTATCCTTAGATTATGCAGGCCTCACTCAATTTAGGTGAACAAACTGCAGGCTAGAGCCTGACCCACATCTATGTGAGCACAATGGTGGACCTTCAGTGAGGCTTCACATTTTAGAAAGTATTTATTGAAGTCTTTTGTCATATTGCAGTAATAGCTGTGGGTTTTTCTGAGGGTAGAATGCTTTAACTCTTTAACCCCGTGTTTTGCCTGGTGCCTGTCTGGCATAGCATATGCCTTTGTGCTCTTCAAGGCCAGTAAAATTTGAGAGGATTGGAATACAAGATTGATGACTGTTTAAAATGAAAGATCACATGAAGAACGCACTGTTTTCTCATTTCCCGCTTGATTCTACTTCCCATCTCCATACATGAGAAGACAGACTTTCAACATATCAAAGGAAAAAATAGGAAAAGAGGAGAGTTGGGACAGGAGCCATGGCAAATAAGCCCCTTTAATTCCTAGGGACCCCATCCTAGGAACCTTGTAAAATTTAAGGTTCTTTTAAAATGTCTTTTTAAAGAGCCCTGGTGGAATTGAAACAATTAAAAAATGTTGTCCAGACAAAGGAGGAGGGAGGATGGGTTAGTGTGGAAGATCGTTTGAATCCTGTTGCACTCCAGGGCTTGTAGGGAAGGTGAGGTCTTGAATGGGAAGAGACCACCCAGAAGTTGAATTGGCTTTATTTTAATAATTGCCACCTTACGACAGGTTTGACAGGAAGTCCTGAAATTGGATTTTGACTCCCTTGGCTTCTGAGAGGCAGTCCTGCTGTCGAGGCAATTTTGATACATACAAATCTGTTGGGACAATGGCTTTGTGCTCTGAGGAAAACATTGGCTTCTGTGTCCATAAGGTTGGGAGGTGATAGGTGGGTGGGATTCAATGGTGAGTTCTGGCATAGTTTGTGGACAGACACCTCTGTATCTGAAGTCATTTCCCACCTCTGCCCTTTTGTGTTGGGATCTCAGATGACCTTAAACCTTCACAGCTTATCCCCTGAAAATCCCACAGGAAAGGCTGTCTGTCCATGGCCCGGGGAAGACTGCCCTGGTGTTCTATATTCCAGGCACTGGAGTAGATATAAAATAAACTCACCTCTCCAAATATTTATGGGCCTCAGAAGAAAAAGACAAATCAATACACATTTTCTTAAAATCTATTGTGGAGCTGTCATGCTTGACTGCTTTGCCAAGATTTAACCTGCAAGCTCCAACTTTGAGCTCTACATTTTGTGAAATATGTTTTTTTGCCTCGAACACCAAAGACTAATGTTTATACACATTCAGTGTTAATATTAGGATGTCTAAAGTTTCTATGCTTGCTATAGAATATGTTTTTACAGTTTCATTTAATTCATGCATATAAATTATTCTCATCACTTGCTTTAATTAAACTTGAGATCTAGTATTTATCTAACCAGAGTCCTTTCTCTCTGATTTCAGGTTTGGAAAGAAATCCCGGCCTGCAATGTATGATGTGAGCCCCATCGCCTATGAAGATTACAGTCCTGATGACAAACCCTTGGTCACACTGATTAAAACTAAAGATTTGTAATCTTTTTTTGGATTATTTTTCAAAAAGATGAGATACTACACTCATTTAAATATTTTTAAGAAAATAAAAAGCTTAAGAAATTTAAAATGCTAGCTGCTCAAGAGTTTTCAGTAGAATATTTAAGAACTAATTTTCTGCAGCTTTTAGTTTGGAAAAAATATTTTAAAAACAAAATTTGTGAAACCTATAGACGATGTTTTAATGTACCTTCAGCTCTCTAAACTGTGTGCTTCTACTAGTGTGTGCTCTTTTCACTGTAGACACTATCACGAGACCCAGATTAATTTCTGTGGTTGTTACAGAATAAGTCTAATCAAGGAGAAGTTTCTGTTTGACGTTTGAGTGCCGGCTTTCTGAGTAGAGTTAGGAAAACCACGTAACGTAGCATATGATGTATAATAGAGTATACCCGTTACTTAAAAAGAAGTCTGAAATGTTCGTTTTGTGGAAAAGAAACTAGTTAAATTTACTATTCCTAACCCGAATGAAATTAGCCTTTGCCTTATTCTGTGCATGGGTAAGTAACTTATTTCTGCACTGTTTTGTTGAACTTTGTGGAAACATTCTTTCGAGTTTGTTTTTGTCATTTTCGTAACAGTCGTCGAACTAGGCCTCAAAAACATACGTAACGAAAAGGCCTAGCGAGGCAAATTCTGATTGATTTGAATCTATATTTTTCTTTAAAAAGTCAAGGGTTCTATATTGTGAGTAAATTAAATTTACATTTGAGTTGTTTGTTGCTAAGAGGTAGTAAATGTAAGAGAGTACTGGTTCCTTCAGTAGTGAGTATTTCTCATAGTGCAGCTTTATTTATCTCCAGGATGTTTTTGTGGCTGTATTTGATTGATATGTGCTTCTTCTGATTCTTGCTAATTTCCAACCATATTGAATAAATGTGATCAAGTCAAGGATGCAGTTGTCTCTTTTGTTCTTTGAAAACTATATATAAAAAGTTTTGGATGTGATATTGTTTGCCAAACAATCCCATGGTTGATACCATATTAAATAACCTGAGGAGTGCACCTCTGTGGCTGCCGGAGCCCCCTCCTTTGCCTCTGCAAGGCTTTCTGACCTCCTAATTGTCAGTAAGCTCACCCTAGCTGCTTGTCAGTGTGAAGTGTGGAAAAAAAATAAGAATTCTTATCTGAAGTTTTATATCCGAATTTGCCAGTGAAATGCAGCACAAGTGAACGGTGGGCACACTGGAATCCGGAGATGCTTCCAGGCATTGAGGGCAGGCACCTGTGGCCTCAAGAAATACCTTGCGTGCTGCTATCCTGTGGAGGCGCTGCTATCCTGTGGAGGCTAAATGAAATTGCCTTAGCAAATAGCTCCATGGTTCTTAGAAACTTGAAGGCCGTTTAGAGCCACCCTATATTCAGTTCCATTTTGTATCCAAATGCTGCTCTGAAGTCCCAGAGTTATTTTTAAAAATGCATTTTTAACTGTACACAGGAACGTCAGGTAAGGCCAAGAGGAGTCCTGGAACCAGGTGTGAGGGAGAGTTTTAAGCAAAAAGAATTATTTAAGGTTCTTTTCCTTCCCGCTCTACCCTCAAAACATCTGTTCCTAATCCTACAAATGACACAGCAGTACACCCACATTCTGATTATTAAATGATACAGTGCAATACATTAATATTTTCAGTTAAGTGGAAGTAAGGTAAGTACAAAATATTAACTTGGTTGGTTAAACAGTCATGGGAACATGCAGCAGAGTGTTGTGCAGACATACTTACTCCCATCTTCCTATAAAAGACCCTTTGGTTGTGTGTTGCTCAGACACTTCTTGATCGATGATAGGAGAGGGCCATGAAAAGGTGTGAGTTGTACTCCATTTGCCTCTTGACCCCCACGAGCACCTGGACATTGTCTGAGCCTCCGTGTCTTTTTTGCTTATTGGTCTTCATTTGCAAGCTGCTTCAATCACACCCTCTGAAATCATTTTCAATCTCCCAAAGTCTTAAATTCATTATATGCGATGTCTCTTAAAGGACTTGTTTAAAAAACTAAAGTCTTTTATCAATCACAGTTTGTCCCTTGAAAGCCAATTAATGGAGCTTGCAAATTCAGATCTTGGGCAGAGCCTTCTGACCATCTGAGAGTGGCCACCAAATATATCTAAAGACATTTGCTCATTCATTTGGACATTCAATGATAAGAATTCATCTCATCGAGCACTTATTCTTTGTCAGGCAGATGCTGACCGACAAGAGCCCTACCAGAGGATCCTGCCTCCCGAGCTTATAGCTTGTTTTGAACCAGACCTTCATCTAACAAACAAATAAATATAGAATTACACTTCATAGAGCACCATGAAGGAAAGGTAAACTCCACTATAGGGCAGCTTATTTGTAGCAGAGTAGATTAAAACCTTACTTCAATTGTTTACTTGGTAATGACTTTGGACAAGTAGCTCTCTGGGTCTAAGCTTCAAAATTTGAAAAATGGGGATCATGATAGGGCCTCCCTTGAAGAATCGTTGTGAGCATTGGATGCCAGACTGTGTGTGTATCACTTAGCCTCCCTCCAGCGCCCACCAAGATTCAGCACGTTAGCTATTGTTGTTGTTGCTGCTGTTCTTGTTTTACATTCAGACATGATCACAAAGTAGGATAGTACCCTCGCTTTTATGATTAATGATTGGGATCTGCAGTTAGTACATTGTGATATGTGTGAGGAATAGTCCTTCTAGAGCAGGGAGCACATTCTCTAAGGGTGTCAAAACTCCACCGTCTCAAGTTGTTACTTTGCACTAGCTGTGAAAATAGTACTTGATAAGCCAGAGTTAACTACTACTCCAGAATTCTTGAACTGATGGTGGTCTTATAACTCAGTGTAGCCATAATTAGTTCTCTAATATGTGAGTCTTCACAAGCCAAAGCAACTACATGTAATGACAGGGATCCCTGCCATCTAGAAATGGTACAGCAGTGTCTCCAGCTCATTCGGGAGTTTTTTTCAAAGCTTTTTACTCTTGCCACAAAATGACACATGCAGATAAGTTATTTCCAAGTGGTCTTAACCGTTGAGTTGGCCTCTTTGACCAAAGTCTCCACTTAGCACAGTGGGGCCTGGGCCTCCCACCCTGTCACTTAGTAACTCTGCCCTACTGGCTTCTGTTTCTTCATTTCATGAGGCTATAAATTTTTTGAACAATTTTGTCTGGCTGTGATTTTCTCCAAGAACTGAGAAGTGTCTGGGAGTCTGAACTGATCTTTTCTTCAAACAATGTTGTAAGTCCAGGTAAACAAAACCAAACAAAACTAACTTTTCAGGTATATGATAGTTTAAGTCATAGTTCTTTCTGTTAAAGTGTTTTGTAGTTTACTTATAGGGAAAACATTAACCATAGAAAAGAAACATATGTATGAAATCACCTTAAAATTATAAGTAACCACTCACAACAACCCTGGCAAATACCACTGGGTGCCTCCACCACAGCCGTTTCTCTGCCCTTCTTGTGATGCAACATAGAATTGAAAATGTCAGCTGTCACCTTCTCCAGCTTCCCTTGCTTTTAGGGGTGATTGTGGGTCAGTGTGGCTCAGTGGGCCCTTCAAGAAAATCTCCCGGGACCTCCTAAAAATACATTTCTTCCTGATTAGAGAGTGATGGAGTCAATGAAGAATCATCAGATGCTTTCAGGTAGGGGGAAGAAGAGTTCTCCTATGCTACAATAAAGAGCATAGACTTTGATATTATTCACACTATATCACAATTATCACAATTATTACACAATTGATCACAAGGGTTTGATGAACGCTGATGTGATTAGAATTAGTCCTTGACCTCAGTTTTTTCAGCTACAAAATGGAAATGGAAGTAGCCTATTTGAGCAGGTATCGATAAACTATGGCCCATAGGCCAACATATAGCCCAAAGCTTGTTTTTGCACAGCGCTTAAACTAAGAGTGATTGTGCATGTGTGTGTGAATTTTTCATACACTTTTTTTTGATGGATATAGAAGTTTTTATTTTATTTGTGTTTTCTGTATTTTTTTTTATGCTTTAAGTTTTAGGGTACATGTGCACAACGTGCAGATTTGTTACATATGTATACGTGTGCCATGTTGGTGTGCTGCACCCATTAACTCGTCATTTAGCATTAGGTATATCTCCTAATGCTATCCCTCCCCTCTCCCCCTACCCCACAACAGGCCCCGGTGTGTGACGTTCCCCTTCCTGTGTCCATGTGTTCTCATTGTTCAGTTCTCACCTATGAGTGAGAACATGCGGTGTTTGGTTTTTTGTCCTTGCGATAGTTTGCTGAGAATGATGGTTTCCAGCTTCATCCATGTCCCTACAAAGGACATGAACTCATCGTTTTTTATGGCTGCATAGTATTCCATGGCGTATATGTGCCACATTTTCTATTTTAGAACAGATTTTGATTTACAGGAAAGTTGTGAAGATATTACTAAAAGTTCCCATATACTCCATGTCTGGTTTTCCTCATAAACATTTTACATTAGTTGGGCACATTTGTCACAATTAATGAATTGATGCCTTACTATTGACTAAAATCCATACTTCATTCAGATTTCTTTACTTTTTACCTACTGTCTTTTTCTGGTTGTTCCAGGATCCTGTCTAGGACACCACATTACATTTGATCATCACGTCTCCGAGGCCACTCTTGGCTGCAATGATTTCTCAGACTTTCCTTGTTTTCATGACCTTGAGGAGGACTATGTATTTTCTAAGATGTTCCTCTATATAGATTTTTATGACGTTTGACCCATGATCAGACTGTAGTTACACGTTTTGGGGAGGACAACCACAGAGATAAAGTGCCATGTTCATCATGTCTTATCAAGGTTACATACTAACAACATGATTTATTACTGTGGATGCTGACCTTAATCACCTGGCTGAAGCATTGGTCAGGCTTCTCCACTGTAAAATTACCTTTTCCCTCTTCTCTCCAGACTGTACTCTCTGGAAGGAAGTCACTATGTGTAGCCCACACTTAGGGAGCGGGGAGTTATGCTTCTCCACTTCCTTAAGGATAAAGTATCTACTTCAATTATTTGGGATTCTGCATGAGAAATTTGTTTATTCTCCCACGTTTATTTATTCAATAACTTATTTATACTAGTATGGACTAACGGACATTTTTGTTATTGTTTGGAGTATAATTTAACACTTTTTTTTTTTTGCTCAAAATTTTCCATCTTTGGCCATTGAGAGCTTTTCTAGTCGGCACCTTTGACATACCTTCATCATTGTGTATCTCTGTGTGTGTGTACATGTGCCTGTGTGTGTGTATGTACCTGTGCCTGTGTGTGCGTGCATTTTAGCACTTTCTTGCTTTCTGGCAATACAGGATGCTCCAGGCTCATCTTGTGTGTTTCCTGCTTCAGACTTAGAATCAGCCATTTTTTTCCAGGGAGATTGGTTCCTTTCATTGCAGTGAGAGTGGTTTATAACAAATGAGCATTTGAAATTGATTTGACAATAGCCAACTGTCTTACTCCATTTGTGTGGCTATAACAAAATGCCTGAGGCCAGATAATTTATAAAGAACAGAAATGTATTTCTCACAGTGCCGGAGGCTAGAAGTCCAAAACCAAGATACCAGCAGGTTTGGTGTCTGGTGAGGACCTGGTGTCCACTTCTAAGATGATGCATTGTCGCCGCATCCTCTGGAGGGGAGAAACACTGTGTCCTCACATGGTGGAAGGGACAGGGGGTGAAAAGTGAGGAGTGAAAGTCCTCCTTCAAGCCCTTTCAGGTGGGCACCTAATCCCATTCATGAGGGCACAGCCCTCATGACTCAGTTCTAAAGGCCACACCTCTTAATAGTGTTGCATTGGGGGTTAAATTTTAACCTGAATTTTGGAAGCAACAAAGAAAGACATTCAAACCATACCATACACACTCACTTGGAAGCCCAATTAAGTGAAATATTTTCTACCCCACAGAGTTTTATTCTTCTCCTTAGTAGACTTGTATTACAAAAATAAATCGTATTCAATTATTGTTATATTTTGACTTCCATTAATAAAAAATGTGTGGAATGTTATCTCCTCTCATGTTATACAAGTATCTATATCATATGCTCAGTTTTATATCTTGGCCAGCACAAGACTAAAATGTTTAATATCTGGTCTTTTACAGACAAGGTTGGCTGACCTCTGCTTGAGAGCAACATTCTGTAGTGTAAGTGAGGTAACATACTTAAGGACCAGCATAGTGATGGCACATGGTAGGCATGTGGTATGGGGGAACACATGTCTCCATTCTCCCTTGAGAAGGCGAACTCTTTCAGGACGACTCTGTCTTATTCAGCTGTATAACTCTAGTGCTTGGCATGTTGGTTGACCTTTAGCAAACCTTTATTAAATGTTTCCATTGATTGAATAGCAAAATGCATGATGATTTAATGCAGAAGGAGATAGAAGGTTGTATGTGAGAGAACAATGAAAGATGACATGGTTGAAATGGAAGGCAAAGGCACACATTAATATGGAACCAGTGGGAATGCCTTCTAGAGTTTTACACATTTGTTTGCAAAATATCTGCAAGATTTCCATCTTATGTATCTGTTGACCTGGCCTGGCTATTTGAGAACCTGGACTGGTCAATAAGATATATTATTTTTTCAATCATTCAATTTATCTCAATCCCTTACAAAATGCAATACTTAGAAGGCTTTTATAGGCTTTATTGAGGGCCTTGGGGGAGAGTCACAGAGAGGTTCATATTGCATGGAGAAGGTGACCTTCCACCATATGCAGATTCTGCTTCCTCTCTTGTTCTTCTGTTGTTCTCATCTCCCTCTCCAGAACCATAAGAAAATTAATCTCTTGTTTTGTTTTGTGCAGAGCAGTCGTTCTCACCCTCACAATCCTTAGGAAAGAATCTTCTATCTCAAATGCACCTTAAGTATATTTCCAACAAAATATTGGTCTATTCTTGAAATGACTCAAGTAAAAGCTCCCAAGAAAATCAAACTCTCTATATGTCATTTCATTTAATATAATTATTAGAATGCCTCTGGCTGCAGGTCACTGACAGCAAACCCAATACATACACTGACTTAAAATATAAGAAAATCTTGTAACTGGTAGTCCAGAAGCGAGGTAAGCTTCAGGAACAGCTTGATCCAGAAGCTCTTATTCCATTTATTTGCAGTTTCCTTGGTCATGCTCTCCTCTAGGTGATGGCTTCATCATCAGGCTGCTTCCCTTGTGATGGCAGAATGGCTATGACAATTTCTACCTTCACATACTCAGGCTACCCTATATTTTTGTGTACCCACTCATTCCACTCTACTCCATTTTCTCTTATTCTGCATTATTATTTTCAATCATACTTGCTAGTATCTATCTGCCATGTCATTGAGTTACTTTTTCAGTCATTTTTTTTCTGTTTTCCCAGTAGTACTTTAGCTCCACTTTGTGATCACTACTGTATCACCAGTGCTAGGAACAGTGCTTGGCACATAGTAGCTGCTTAAGAAACATTTGCTGAATGAATGAATGTCAGGACATTCAGAGGATGAACTAGAGATTGCCTCAGAGGCTCCCTCTTAGCAGCTAGGGGATTTCTTCCTCAAATATTTAGTAACTCTTATTGGCCCAAACTGGGTCATGTACACATGTTGGAATTATCCCTCATGGCCAGCTAAATGCTACACCCTCACTAACAAAGGCCTGGATTCCTGAATCAATCACTGCTGAGGGGGCATAGGATTATCCTGAGGCTGGGAAAGGGGTCATTGGCCCTAGAAATATATGGAACGTAGAGTGAGAGGTGGGGCAAGAGCAGTACGGATGCAAAACTAAAGGGCAGTTGAGATGGGGAAGGGGAGTGGTCCTAGGAGGCAACCACGCATGTCTTCTCCAACTACACATAGATATAGGAGTGAGCAGTGTGGGTGGAGAAGGTGGAGAGGCACTGAGCTGGGAGTTAACAAATTTAGATTTTTATCTTAGCTCTTTCTTGAATAAGCTGACAGAAACTTGGTGAGTCATTCACCTCTCCCAGCCTATGCTTTGTCATTTATATTTTATACATATTTTTATTTTTTGAGGACAGAGTCTCACTTTGTTGCCCAGGCTCGAGTTTAGTGGTGTGATCTTGGCTCACTGCAACCTCCACCTCCTGGGTTCCAGTGATTCTCGTGCCTTACAGGCTTGCACCATCATGCCCAGCTAATTTTTGTATTTTTAGCAGAAATGGAGTTTCACCATGTCCGGCCAGGCTGGTCTCCAATTCCTCGCCTGAAGCGATCTGCCTGCTGTGGCCTCCCAAAGTGCTGGGATTACAGGTGTAAACCACCATGCCCGGCCTGTCATTTTTAATACTGAGCAATTAAACTATGGTTATAACTTGGCTTTCAGCCCTAGATGAGCCACAGATGTGCTTTTGTTTGTCCTACACCATATGTTTAAATGTGTAAACCAAAATTAATAATTAGGATCTCTCTGTCTCTCTCACACACACACACACACACACATACACACTCCACTCACACAAATCAGTTTTCTGGCTTACCTTGAAAACTCAGAAATGTGATTGCACCATCCATATGGAGACAGGAGAAAGGAAAAAAACAGGCAGACAGTTAAGACAGGTCACTGGTAGAATTGTTTTAAACAGAGAAATAGGCTGAAAAATCAACCTACAGCTACACAGATAAGGGGACAAGCCCCAACATAGAAACACCTTTGTTCATTGTATAATCAGCGGACTCCCAGGAAAGTTTCCTCCCCTTTTGTGGACATGTACCTGGTGGCTCCGTGGGAACTTTCTTGGCGGGGGAGGCTTGCCTGAGACATGTCCACAGCTGTACAGATAAGGGCAGTTACACAGGCCACTACATAGACAAGGACAATTTCTTATAAAAACATTTATATTCAACTGTAAAATGGCAACCCTCTCCACTGCAGAGAGCTTTCCTCTTTTGCTTATTAAACTTTCACTCCAACCTCACCCTTGGTGTCCGTGCTCCTTAATTTTCTTGGTTGTGAGACAAAGAACTCAACACCTCAGACAATAAGATTGCTTCATTGACCCTAGATGGCTTCATTATTACCACATGGCAGCAAGTGGCTGAAATGGAAATGAAACTGCCCCTTTTAGATAGTTGGGCACAAACCCCACCACTCCCTATTGTCTCACTGACACTAAAGGTGAATGTCAGTTACTACTTATAATATTTTTTGCCCAGTTATTTTTGTTTTAGTTTTGCTTTATTTTCATTTTGTGGATAAACATTTCTCTATATCCATGCCATCAAAACAGGTATATGAGCATTAGTTGAGTGGGCTGTGTGTTTCAAGGAAAATGAGCAAAAGCATAGTTATTGTGGAAGTGAAGACTATTTGTATGTGTTTAATACCCCCCAAACCCCTGACCAGTTGACTAAGTCACATTACTTTCCTGTCCCTAGGATCTCAGCACTAGATCAGTAACTTTTAAAGCTGTTTTTTAATAAAAGTATGTTGTCTTCCAGTGAAATACTACATGGATGTGTGGTATATAAAACAGATTAAAATGAACAAGATGTTCTGATCAAACCTGGATAAGAGGTCCTGGTGGCCAGGCCCTTTGGCCTCCTCTTCCCACCACCCCTAACCCCAATGGTCTCTGAGGGGATGTGAGGAGCCATGAGTCCCACAAAGAACAGTTTGAAGACCACTGGTCTAGCTGATCCACCCCAAGACTCTTCATCTTCCCATCCTTCAATCTGTCCATCTGTCCAGCAGATTGATAATGAAGCACTCGGCGTGTGTAAGTCGAGTGCTAGGTGTTAACTGAATTAGCTGTCGTTATTTGTTAGGCTTCTCCACTGTAAAATTACCTTTTCCCTCCTTCTCTCCATACTGTACTCTTTGGAAGGAAGTCACTATGTGTAGCCCATGCTTAAGGAGAGGGGAGTGATGCTGCTCCACTTCCTTAAGGACAAAATATCTACTTAAACTGTTTGGAATTTGGCACGAGAAACTTGTTTATTCTTCCTTAGTTACTTATTTAATCAATAACTTGTTTATACTAGTATGGACTCCTGGACATCTTTGTTATAGTTTGGAGTATAATTTAATACTTCTTTATTTTTTTGCTCAAAATGTTCAGTACAGCATTTGCCCTGTGGATGCTAGATGCTAGAATGAAGACAGATGTTAGGAACATGTCATTGCATCAGGATGTTGCAATGTTACAGGGTGTTGTGGGAAATTCAAGCAGAGAAAAATCTAATAGATTCCATAGAAATCAAGGAAGGTTTCATGACGTGTCATCTTAGTCAGGACCTGAAGGATGGGTAGGAATTACCCATGTGAAGGGAGGGGAGGGTGTGTGAAGCTGCAGAGGGTGAGAGCGGACACTTCTGAGGGACTAAAAACAATGGAGTCAGGCTGGAGCTTCATTGTGCAAGGTTAGGGTGAGCATGCACAACGCTAGGACCCAGCAATTTTACTCCTCGGTAAATGCCCAAGAGTGACAAAAGCATGTGTTTGTTTAAAAGAGTTTTGTACAAGAATATTTATGGCAACCTTATTTATAATTGTCCCCAATACAATAGAATACCATTAAAAAATAAAAAGGAAAGAAGTACTGAAATATGCAGTGACACGTCTAAATCTCACAGGCGTTAATGTTGAGGAAAAAAAACAAAACAACACAACAACAAAAAAAAAACCAGACACAGCAGAGGGCCTAAGGCATGATTCTATTTATGTGCAATTCCAAATCTAGGAAAACCAATTTATGGTGATAGAAATCCAAACAGTCTTTGCCTCTGGAGGGTGGGGGTATTAACTGGGAAAGGGGCACAAAGGACATTTCTTGGGCATGAAAATGGTCTGTGTCTGGATTTGAGTGATTGTAGCAAGAGAAAAGCATCTGTCCAATGACATCCAATTATAGACTTAAGATCCATGCCTTTTACTGTATATAAACTTTTAAATAATGGAGCTTAAAAAACAAGACCACCAAAGAAAAGTACAAGAGAGAGGGTGGGTAAATGGAGAATTGGGAGTCGGGCAGGAGCTGAAAAACTTTTGGGTAGGGTTGGGGTTGTTTCCATGCCAGGGAGAAAGCAAAGGTCATGTGTTGGTCAGGGAGGAAGACCCTGCTGCAGGGATTCAGGCAGAAATAAATTATAGTGTCTTATAAACCTCAGCTTCTGGACTGAATCAGCAGCTCCATGATTTTGTAATGTAGGTTTTTCTTGGATGAATTTCCACGCTAGTCATTTATAATTTTCTAATCTGCAGATTAAAATTTAACCCACAGACACATTCCCAGGCTACTGTGTGGCAGAAGAGACCCATAGACAACCAATTGTTGTCATTTTTCTGCTGGTTTATTTGAAAATCTCCAAATTACTAATGAGAATGTTCACAACATTGAAATCCTTTTATTATTAAATGAGTCTATGCAGAAAATACTTTATGGTTAAATTATCTTTTAATAAGGCAATTTCCTGCTTTCCCAACCCAAAAGGCCCCTTAACAATTTGAAATTCAGATATTGTGGTTGCCTTATGTCAGAGCCAAGCAACTCTTGCATCCTTTCAGAAAAGTGACTCCCATGGGGAATTTCAATTTAACTCATTATAGCATGATTTTTCTTACAGTGACGTGTCTGTAAATCCCTTGTCATAAAGAGTATAATAAACATACAATGTGGTCCTGAGATCAAGCTTTTAGGAGGATCTATTTCAAAACACACACGTACGTTACACAGAGTGTGTGTGTGCATGTGAAAGAGAGAGACAGACAGACATTCTATGGTAGAGCAGAGTTTTAAAACCAATGAACTAGACCAGGGTTTCTCAAGCTCTGCACCATTAATATCTTGAACTGGAAAATGGTTTCCTGTTGAGGGCTGTTCTGTGCATTATAGGATGTTTAGTAGCATCTCTGGCCACTACCCACTAGATGCCAGGAGCACCTCCCAGTTGTGACAACCAAAAATGTCTCCAGATATTTCCAAATATCCTCTGGGGGGTCAAAATTACCCCTGAATGAAACTATTGAGCTAGACAATCTGTTTTTCCTTCTATGCTTTTTATTTCTTCCATCTGTCCATTCATTCATTCATTTGTTCATTCATTCATTGTCTCACTCATGCAATTCATTCCATCCATTCATATGACAAATCTTCCCTGAGCACTCACTGTGTAAGGCGCAGGTAGTGTTCTCAAATGCTTCCTCATGACCCACCAGTGTCTAATGACTGGTCTAGGGGTGTGGAGTCAGCAGTGTGCTTCTAGATCTAAAATACTGAATTCTGTAGATGTCTTGCCTTTTCATGATTTAGAGTGATTCAAGAACTCTAATTTTTTTTTTTTTTTTGAGATGGAGTCTCACTCATTCTGTCACCCAGGCTGGAGTGCAGTGGCACAATCTTGGCTCACTGCAACCTCCGCCTCCCAGGTTCAAGCAATTCTCCTGCTTCAGCCTCCAAAGTAGCTGGGATTACAGGCGTGTGCCACCACGCCCAACAAATTTTTGTATTTTTAGTAGAGATAGGGTTTCTCCTTGTTGGCCAGGTTGGTCCTGAATTCCTGGCCTCATGTGATCCATCCACCTCGACCTCCCAAAGTGCTGAGATTATAGGCATGTGCCACTGTGCCCGGCCAAGAATTCCTTCGTAATAAGATAACCTGTGCTCACTATTCCAATAAAAGTAGTTGACATTTATTAAAGGTAACAAAATACTGGCCACAGTGTTGACCAATTTGTCTAAATTGTCTCCTTTAATCCTCACAACAAACTTCTGAGGTAGGAACTTTTATCACTGCCATTTTTAAGGTGGGCAAATTCAGTCCTAGAGTGTTTAAATAGCTTTCCAGATTTCCATTGTTTGAAAGACACAGGCCAGAGCTCATGTTCCCAATCTCCCAGTCATCATCTGTCCATCCACCCCCACCCATCCATTTAGACCTTCATTAATTTATCCATTCAGCAAATGTTTATTAAATGCCTACTATGTAACAGTAAGTTGTTCCCTCACAGCTTTTCAAGATTGCTATGTGAGGGAAGGAAAGGAGTGCCACGGCAGCAGGACCAGGAATTGCCCATGGCCCTGGATAGCAGGAGCTACACCAAGGGTCCTTTTTCTGCTTAACAACAGTGGTGAGGCAGGAGAATAGGGAAAATGAGGCAGGAGAATAGCAAAGGGAATTAAAAGTTGGATAAAGGGCAGAATAAGTAAAAACAGAGAGCAGAAGCAAGATGAAGGGGTGGGTGAGCAAGAAGCAAGATAAGAGGTGGATGTTAAGCAGCCAAAACAAAGAGTAAGATAGAGAAGTGAGCAAGGACCTCATGGCCAGCAGGATCTGGACCAAACCAGGAAGGGGCAGCGCTTCAGAGACAGGCATGCACATTAGAGAGAAAAAGTATCCTTCACATAACCCTGTATGATAATTGGCTACTTAAGATTCATGCATATGGGCTGCGTATCATGCATGTACTTAAAATTATGGGATAGAGGCAGCTTGCAAGTGCATGGAGGCCGAAGTAACTAAACAACACACCTCTCAATCAAAAGGCAGACACTGGCTAGAGATTAGGCAGCCTTGGGAAGAGAAGAAAAAAACACGTAAAAAGACTCAAACTTCACCAAACTGACGCTGATCTCATCTCACAGAGGCCAGTCCATTCTCCTGCCCTGAAAGTGTAATACTGTGCTTAATGAACTTCTGTTGCTTTGCTTTGCTATCTGTTTGTCTCGTCCAATTCTTTATTCGGGACACCAAGAGCCTAGAACTGCGTGGCACCCTCCGTTAACAGTGGGTGCACAGAGAAGCTCCTTCTGAGTCTTAGGTCAGAAGATGAAGAATGAGAATTAGCTCTGAGCTTTGTGTGCAGGGTGTGTGGGAAGAAGGCACTTTCAGAAAGATAGCCAAGCTTTTCATACCAACTCAGGCTTCCTGTGGTTGAAGGGTGGAGGCAGTTTGAAAATTACTCTTTTCACTTTACAGATGGGATGATTGGAGCCCAGGAAGAATGAGAGATGACTCTCCCCGGGTTAGTGGGACATCAGTGCTATGAAGAAACAGAAGATGGGATCACATAGCTGGAAGCACTTGCAGCACGTTTCCTGGCCCATTGTTCACACTCAACACATAAGAACTCATTCTTATTCCTAAAGAGCCCTGGTCTCCATTGGCCATGCAGTGGTCAGCCATGTGCTCAGAAGACAGAGCTGGAATGTAGACAGAAAAAAATGGGCCTCGGAAGAGATGAGTAACTCTGCTTGTTTACCACTTCAACATGTTAGCACAACTCAAGTTACAGAGACTCGTGAGTGCTTCAGCTCTGAATTCAGGGGATTAAGGGAAGAAAGCTTTCGGCGCAGGATAATATTCACTCGGAAAGGCTTCTGTTCCTCTGTCAGGTAGCAAGGGACATGACTCATGCATTTTGTCTTTTATAGGAGTCTTACGGTGTGCTATAAATGGATTTACTTTAATTCTCAAATAGTCTCAGAGGCTAGTGATGATAAATAATTACGTAGTTGAATGTGAACTGTGATCCAAACAGCTTTAAATGTAGAATTAACTCTACATTTAGTGGGTAAACCTGAGGCACTAGGGGGTTAAGCTGATGGTTGATGTACAAGTGGGTCGTTTGCTTTTCAAGGCCTTATTTTCAGGGTTCAGCAGAGTGAAACTTTCTTGAAAGGCTGCGACTGGTTGGATCGCCTCCATCAGGATGGGTATGGCCATGCCATTCCTCAGGTATTTCCCTTGAAGGCAATCACCATTTCACAATGACAGGACCAATTTCCAGCTGTTTTCTTCCAAGGCAGACTCATCCCCAGAAGCATTGCTCCCAAGGCATAACTAGCTTTTCTTCCAGCCCCTTCTGTTTTGTTTAGATGCTTGCTCTACTAGATTGTATGGCCTTTCTGGGTGGAAACTCCACCTTCATTCTTGCCCCACTCACCAGAGGCATCCATGATTTGTTGAGTGATTGACTTCCACACTGTTTCCTATCCTTCTCCCCACCCAATCACATCTGAGTGATTAAGAAGCATCAGTGAACTCTTTCCAGTCCCAACACACTCCCTTACCCAATTCCTTTATTTCCATTATTCCGAATGAATGTGTCTGTATCATATCAGAATTTCCCAAGCTTGCCCGATTGTGGGAATCACTGCCATGCTGTGAAAGTGACAGGTTCCAAGACTTTGCTTACTGGAGACTCTGATTCAACCAACAACTGTTCTGTGCTTGCTTTGGGCTAAGTTTTGAGCCATGTCCTAACAGTTCAGGGTGAATAGATTGATTCAGGTGGATTGTCTTTAAGGAACTGAAGTTGAGGAGGGAGTTCATTGGAGGCTTTGGGTATCTGATGGTAGGAAGTGGGAAGACGGTGTAGAAGGCAAAAGAGCCAGACACCACTTGCCATGTGCCCAGGGCTGAGCTGGATCCATGAACAGGACATTCAGGCCAGCTCAGAGTAGGAAGGCTCTGATCTTGAGGGAGAAGGTAATAAAACAAATAATTGCTGATTAATTCTGTTCCCACCCTGACTATTGTCCATAAAGCCTATCCATCAATTTGCCTGCTGTCAAACCATTGGCACAACAATTTAAGAATCTGAATCCAAGAATCCAACAATTGGGGCTGTGTACTCGCAGGGACTTGGGCCCTTGCTGCATTTCCAAGAGTTCTCTCCCTCTTGCAGTGAGCTCACAAGTGCGCAAGTCTAGGCTCAAAATAGAGCAGTTTTGCAAAACAAAATAGAGAAGTTTTACAGCACAGTTGCACATTTAAATCTAGTTGTGACTGAAAATAACCCAAATCTAGCTCCTAGAGGATGCCAGAACTTATCTATTAATTGTACATTTATTTGTATTAAGAATAGATCTTTCTGTGCAAAATGCTCTCAGACTGAAATAACTAATTTCAGATTCCTCTGGGAAATCAGGGGAAACAAGGCTGCTTACCTGGGTTTGCCTCTTTCAGACTTTCGGGGCGCCCTCCAGTGGCTGGGAGCTGGCTGACCGAGGAGGACCTGAGGATTTGGTGTGGGATCTGCCAGTCAGGTTTGCCTCCAGATTCTGCTTCCCTTGGCTTCTCTTGAGCTTTGCACTGGACATGGGTTCGTTTCTAAGCTATTCATTAACTAAAAAGGGCTGGGAGCCATTGCTCTCTCATCTTGCCTTTGCTGCACAGAGAGAAGCAACTTTTTGGCTCTTGCTTCCACAAGAAAGTCTTCTCCTTCCTAAATAGCAGGGATGCAGTGATGAGGATGGACATGTGCTGTGCTCACTCAGATGGATTTCCCAGCTCCCAACTGCATCCTCAGAGAACTGCCCAGCACAGAGGTGACCCCTGGGGCATCATTTTGCTCTTCTTGGGCAGCAAGCTCTAACTTGTATAAATCATCATATTCTTCAGGGATTTGCCCTTCTGCCTTCAGGTTTATATTATTAAACTATGCTCCTATTTTTACAAAAGGCCTCCTTCTCCAAAGTCAAGACATACAGACCATTTATCACCATGCACAGATCTTGAAATTCCTTTGAAGACCTTGGTAAGGGCTCCAATCCCATACTTATCCCTTGTGTCCTTCCAGTGGCATTCTGGTTGTTTGTGCAACTGTTTCCAATAGAGGTCTTTAGGGGCTATTGATCAATAAAAGTCTACTCTGACTGGCTTATCTAAAGTTGCGACACACACACACATGCACACACACATCTCCCACTAAACTATAAGCTGTGATAAGGGAGAGTTCTTCTTTTATTCATATCTGTGTTCCTAGGGCTTGGATTTCAGATAGGCACAAAGTAGGTTCTCAATGAACATTTGTTGAATGAATAAATAAGTGAATGAATGCCACATAGCAAGCTATCAGATAGTTTCTCTCTAACCTTTTCATCATGTGTTTAACATTCACGATTGGACATTCAAGGGATTTCTTCTTTCTTTCTTTCTTGCTTGCTTGCTTGCTTTCCTTTCCTTTCTTTTTTTTTTTTTTTTTTTTTGAGACAGAGTCTCACTCTGTCACCCAGGCTGGTGGGCAATGGCATGATCCCGGCTCACTGCAACCTCCGCCTTCCAGATTCAAGCAATTCTCCTGTCTCAGCCTTCTGAATAGCTGGGATTACAGGTACCCGCCACCACACCTGGCTAATTTTTTTTTTTTTTTTTTTTTGAGACGGAGTCTCACCGTGTCACCCAAGCTGGAGTGCAGTGGCACCATCTCGGCTCACTGCAAGCTCCACCTCCCGGGTTCATGCCATTTTCCTGCCTCAGCCTCCTGAGTAGCTGGGACTACAGGCACCCACCACCACACCCGGCTAATTTTGTGTGTGTGTGTATTTTTAGTAGAGATGAGGTTTCACCATGTTGGCCAGGCTGGTCTTGAACTCCTGACCTCAAGTGATCTGCCTGCCTCAGCTTCCCAAAGTGCTGGGATTACAGGTGTGAGCCACCGTGCCTGGCCTGGACATTCAAGAGATTTCTAACTTTTCACTTTTATCAGGAAAACTCTAATGATCCTCTCTCTACATAACCTGGGCCAGTTTCACTGAGGCTTTCCTCTGGCCAGCTCACTGGATGTGCCTCGCCAGGTGAGTGTACGAAGACTCTTGGGATGCAGTTATTTTTGGTACTCCTGACATTGTGGTCTTTCCACGCTTTCTGTCTCCCCAGATGTCAGACATGTCTTTTTGTCTTGCTGCAGGCACCATCCTCTCCAGCAGGCCTTCCTGCCTTCCTAAATACCTTCTTTGAGGTTTGTGAACTGAGATTTTTGAAGGTAGAGTTTCATCTTCAATTGCCTAGCATAGGGTCCAGAATGCATCAGAACGTAACAGGAGCTCAAGAAATGTTTGGTGAGTGAATCAGTTATGTAGCGAGTGGAGCAGGGGTGAATTTGTATCCATGGGAGCTGGGCCCCTGTCCCACTGGCCCTCCAGGCTGGCCTGGTGCTGTTCCTGCTGCTCCTGGTGACCATATGGTGTCCTCGCCACAGAGGTCTTGTGGGTGTACTGCTGCCACATGAGTCATGGTGGCCTCTGAGAGCTGCACTGGGAGCTCAGGCAGCCCCATGAAATGGGCTTTTTGCTCCAGGAAGGATTTTGTGGCTTCCAAAGTTCAGAGGGGACTTCAGTGAAGAAAAGTAATTTCATAGTCTTAACTTCAGAAGCAACCAATGCCTTCAAGAGTTTTTCTGGGCTGTAATCGATCATGTTTGGAGCAAGACCACAGGGCCGTCTTGGCAAAGGCCATCTGGAACTCAGGGAGTGGGAAAGCAAGGGCTAATTGGTTGTGTGTGTGTCTGGTGGGAGGCTGGAATCTCTGACACTCATGGAGAATGGGGGTGGCAAGGCCGCTGGCTGGCTCCCTGGGCTGGGAGTCTGGGACACCAGGCAGGAGGAAGCCAGCCTCCTCTCTGCTTCCTCCACATGTGCTTTTGCGAAAAGCCCCGTCATCACCTTACACTCCCCTAGCCCACATGTTGCTTGTCCTGGATTTGGGGTCTGTTTGAATGGGAGCTGGTCTTGGTTAAATGGTGCAAAGTCGGGCCCACTTCGGCTTCCCGTGGATACCACTTACAGGTGTGAAACCAGAGAGAAACAGTGATCAAATAGGAAAGTGTGTGCTGGAAAGGACCCTCTGTTTACGGAACTGTCTGGTTAAAATATAAGGACATTAGCACTTTGACAAACACGGTGGCTCACAGCAATGTTTCCTGGTAATAAGTTCGTTGTTTGTGAGTCACGATGGATTTGGAAATTCTTGAGCTCTGGGAGGTCTGGCCCATGGAATGACTCCCTTAGACAATTTTGCATGGCCAGCAGCTGCTGGCTTCCAGTGGAGGCCACCTGTCAGCATTTCACCTGGCACCCTCACCTCCCAGTTCCAGGAAGAAAACAACTGGCTCCCAGGGCTAGTCTCTCTCTCTCTCTCTCTCTTTTTTTTTTCGGGGTAGGGGAGGGGTGGTGGAGAGACAGGGTCTCCCTCTGTAACCCAGGCTGGAGTGTAGTGGCATGATCTCAGCTCACTGCATCCTCGACCTCCCAGGCTCAAATGATCCTCCTGCCTCAGCCTCCCAAGTAGCTGGGACCACAGGCACACGCCACCACGCCTGGCTATTTTTTTGTATTTGTGGTAGAGACGGGATTTTGCCATGTTGCTTAGGCTGGTTTCAAACTCCTGAGCTCAGGAGATCCACCCACCTGGGCCTCCCAAAGTGCTGGGATTACAGGTGTGAGTCACCATGCCTGGCTGTCTTTCTCTTTTCATCATTTCAGTGTTTGCCATTCTAACTGGTTTACAAATATTTTGTTTCTTGCTGGTTTGGTGCATTTTTTGAAAGATATAGGGTCTTGCTATGTTGCCCAGGCTGAGGTGCTGTGAGTATTCACAGGCACAAACATACTGCACTATAGCCTCAAATTCCTGGGCTCAAGCAATCCTCCTGCTTCAGCCTCCCAAGTGGCTGGGACCACAGGTATGCAACACTGTACCCAGCTTGGTTGCATTTTGAATCCTGAGAGACTTCAGCAAAAGTAGGCAGAGGGCTTCTCAGTGTCCCGGTCACCAGGTCTAGGAGACAAGAAGTTGGGGGGAAGAAGGGGGGTTCCAGTACCAACCTGTAGTCACTTTCAGAAAACGCAGAGATGCTCATGGCAGGAAATTGGTGTTTATGAGAAAGGACTTTCTCCTGCTGGGAGCATTTAAGCTTTTTTCAGGGTCTGGTCAGAGGCTCAACTGTTTGCCCTGTGTATACATCTGCAGAACCAGATGAAAAGAGGCTTTGGCAAGCCGTAAACTACATGCAGCAGAGCATCGTGAACCACTAATATCTACCACCTGCTTCACTCACTTTTCCATAAATTACACCGTGTTTCTGTCTTTGGAGAACAGTCACAAGTGTCAGGCCCAGGACCCTGTTGATTCGAAAGATGCCATCCACCTGGTTCCTGAATCCTATCTCAGACTGGGCAAATTTGGATGGAGGGTTACCCATCAGTGTGCAGAGCTGGGCACCTTGACCTTGAAGTGCTGCCTGGGCCCCCTTGCAGTCAAAGACTTCCCCTAAAGCCTTGCTCTCAAACTTGCCTGCATCAGGGAGGGCTCAGACAAAATTCAGGAGGCCTAGTCACATTTTAATTGAGATAAACAATGAGTAACTCTTAAGTATGTCTCAGGCAATATTTGGGATGTTCTTAGAGTAAAAAATGTATTAGTTATCTGAAATTCAAATTTAATTGAGTCTTCTATACTTTTATTTGCGAAATCTGGCAACCCTGGCTCAACACTGCAATCACATGGGGGAATTTATAAAAAAGACTGATATCTAGGTCCTACCCCCAAAACCTCTAATTTAATTGGTGTTGATTGGACCTGAACACTGGGGACTTTAACAGCTTCTCTACTGATTTTAATATGCAGAAAGGTTTGACCACTGCAGAACTAAAATCGTGATTTATAAACCATTCTCAGCTCTGCAAAGCTTCACAAGCTTTTTCATCTTAACAGTCCAGACTACCTTATTCACCTGCTGTAATTTATCAGCTGTCTAAGGTTAGTCAACCACCCTGAGCCTCAGTTTTCTCACCTGTAGATAAGGGTGTGGCACCAAGTTAATGTCTGATTCTCAATGCTACGTTTACACTGCTCTTAAGTGCAGAGAGGCATAAGCTGTATTCCAGAGAGTCTAAAGCAACTGGCCACAGGCAAGAAAATATTTTGGAGCTTTCATGATTTAATCAAAAAATTTCTGTGAATTTTATGTTTTATTTTTGATTACACATGTGTGTTTTAATATGAAAATAAGGAATTGATTTGCCTCCACGGAATTCAAGTAAAACTGGCCACAAAGGAAGATGAACTCTGTTTATCCCGTGATGTCATGGGCCTCCTAGTTGACCAGCAAGATCTCTTGCAGGAATCATACTTTGGCTGGAGAATCAGAAAAGTTATGCTCCTGTCTGCTGTGGAGTTTGGTTCAATTATTTCATTCTGAGACATTCTGAACTACCTTTCCTCACTTGGAAGAGTACAGAGCTTGGTGTGAGGCCCAGGTAAGCTTGCTAATTATGTCCCTCTCTCAGCTACAGAGAAAGAAGATGAATATGGGTGAGCTTAAAAATGGCTCCAAACTTAGAAACATCCCCCCTCTCAGTAAGGGGCAAAGTGAATAAATCATGGCATTTTGCCTATGGAATTCTGTGCATACAGTTAAAAGAATGAGTTACATTTTTGGCATTGACCTGGAAGGATGCTCATTCTCTATGGTTAGTAAAGAACACAGATTATAGAATAATAGAACCTGACATAATATAGCCTTAAATATAATCAGAGAGATGGGTTGTGAGTGGGTTGGTGATAGAGGGAGACTGTTACATTTTCTAGACCCAAATTTATTAGCCTCATTGTATTAGGTTGGCACAAAAGTAATTGTGTTTTTTGCCATTACTGTTGTGCCAACCTAATAGCATCATCTGCATTATCTTGGAGTTGGTTTAAAAAATGCAGAATTTGACCAGGTGTGGTGGCTCACGCCTGTAATCCCAGCACTTTGGGAGGCTGAGGTGGGTGGATCACCTAAGGTCAGGAGTTTGAGACCAGCCTGACCAATATAGTTGAAACCCTGTCTCTACTAAAAATACAAAAATTACCTGGGCATGGTGTCGTGCACCTGTAGTCCCAGCTACTTGGGAGACTGAAAAGGGAGAATTGCTTGAATCTGGGAGGCGGAGGTTGCAGTGAGCCGAGATCGCACCACTGCACTCCAGCCTGAGTGACAGAGCAAGACTCAGTCTCAAAAAATAAAAAATATAAATAAATAAATAAATAAATAAATAAATAAATAAATAAATAATGCAGAATTTCAGGCCTCACCCCCAGACCTTCTGCTTGGAATCCACAGTATAACAAGATTCTCAGGTGTGTTGAATACACATTACATGTTGAGAGAGGCATTGTTTTAGACAAGCCTGGGTTGACTGAAACATTAAAATCACCATGTATTACTTTCATAACATGTGAATGAAATTTTTAAAAATTATCTGAAAATGTAAGTGTTTATAAATAGTAATTATCTATATAATTTTTGCTGTAACTGTTACTTTAATCCAAGCAAGTTTCTACTGCCTGTGAAATATCTCTGCAGAGAACCAGAGAGCAAGTTGGGCCTGAATTGCGTCTGCTGAACACATTCTAGGTCTAGCCATTTCCCTGATCCACATCAGTCCCAACTCTTCCACCATCCTGTGTCTGCCTGTCCCTCCCAATCCGTCCCCACAGAATCAGGACTGAGTGTGCCTGCCAGATGTGTGCATGTCGCTTGGGGCCATGGTAGCTGCGTGCTCAGGCTCAGATGATGACCTGGAATATGAGCAGCTCTTCCGTGAGCTGACCACGTTTGCTGAGCACTAGAAAAGCTTTGCAGAGTTTGGTCTGGTCAGTTAGAAATCTGGCTAGACCAGGGAAATGCTATGGTTTACTGGATTGTAAATAACATTGAACAGATCCCTTCTTCTAGCAGTTTCCAAAATAGTCTGTCATAGGCTGCTCAGTGCCCTGGGGAATTTTCAGTGCAGGGCGAAGCCAGGCTCTGTTGGTTTTGCTAATAGGATAAACAGTTCTCCTCCGACTTGCAGACTGGCAGCAACCCCACTGCAGCTCCCCCTGGGCCCTCCCACATCCTGTGAACCATCCTCCAGGAGAGGTAGAGGGTTCCAGAGGTAGGGGCATAGAGTGGGATCGGAGAGTTTGTAAGTCTGGATCTCATGCAGGAATCTTACTTTTAAAGAGAGAAGAGGGGTCCTTAAAATGAATAATGGAATATTATTTTAAAAGTCCAGGGCTGTATCTGTTGAGCACCCTTGAAAACCAACCCCACACTTACCTGTATGGTCCTTAATTCCCGGATCCTGGTGAGAAACAATCCATAGTGAAATGCTGGGGCTTAATGGAGTGTTAACCACTCACAGGGTTAAGGCGGGCCCAAGCCCGATTAGCAGAATGCAGGATGAAATCTTCACCTCCATGGAGAAGGAGACTGTCACCCTGGATGACCTAGCCTGGCTGCTCCTGCTGGTCTGACAAAGATGAATGAGAGGACAAGTTCTGCTTTTGATGAGACTCAGTGAGGTGATGTCTGCATTTTATTTAAGGTCACAAGCAAACACTTTGCTCTTGCCAGAAACCAATGTGTAAACACGACCGCAGAAGAAACACGCATCCTAGGAAGGACCAGTCTGTTGACGCTTGGAAAACTGATCAGACCCCCACATCGAGAGCTCTGTTCTCTCAGATTCTGCAGGGTTTACTTATTATTTTATTTTATTTTATTTTGAGACAGAGTCTCGCTCTGTTGCCCAGGCTGGAGTGTGGTGGCATGATCTCGGCTCACTGCAACCTCCGCTTCCCAGGTTCAAGCGATTCTCATGCCTCGGCCTCCCAGGTAGCTGGGATTACAGGCCGATGCCACCATGCCCTGCTAATTTTTATATTTTTAGTAGAGATGGCTTTTGCCATGTTGGCCAGGCTGGTCTTGAACTCCTGGCCTCAAGTGATCCACCTGCCTTGGCCTCCCAAAATGCTAAGATTACAGGCCTGAGCCACTGTGTCTGGCTCTGCAGTGTTTATTTTTAACCCAGTTTCTGATCTGAATGTTCTTCAATTAAAACAAAATGCCCTTTTAATTTCAAAAAGTTGCATTTCCCTCAAAGAAAATGTCTGTTGTCCTCTGGTTCATTGCCTGAGAATAAGCCACATTCTCTGAAGTAAGAGCAGAAAGTGAATGCAGGCAGTCTCATTCTGGTGTGAACTGAGGGTTGGTGCGGAGAAAAGAGGCACTAACATGGGGAAGGGGCAACCGCTGGCATCTTCCAGCTCCGTCCCACATGAGTTCCTGGTGGCATTTTGTTGGGACATGGTCTCTGGGCTAATCTGGAAGAGATGGAAAATGAACTCAATTCTGTCATCATGTGTTACAGAGAAATTCCCCAAACAGCAGGTTGTCCCATGTCCATGCATAGGCTGCCCCTGCATCCCTGGAACACCCAGTGCCCTCCTCTGTGTCACTTTCTCCCTAATCTGGCCACCTCTGTCTGAACAGTTTACACTCTTCTCATACTGATTGCTCCCCTCACTCCCAGACAGTGCTAGTCTCAGCAGGGCATCACATTTAAAGAAAAACTAGCTCAGCAGAATACGAAACCATGGGAGACAACTTATATCTTTATTATAGCCTGTTGAGGAAACACCTAAAGCTGTGATGTGTGTTAGGGGCAGGCATGGGGGCAAAGAAATAGCAAAGTTTCTTAAAAATTATCTGTTGGAGGCCGGGCGTGGTGGCTCAAGCCTGTAATCCCAGCACTTTGGGAGGCCGAGGCGGGCGGACCACGAGGTCAGGAGATGGAGACCATCCTGGCTAATCCGGTGAAACCTCGTCTCTACTAAAAATACAAAAAAATTAGCCGGGCATGGTGGCGGGCGCCTGTAGTCCCGGCTACTTGGGAGGCTGAACCTGGGAGGCAGAGCTTGCAGTGAGCCGAGATCGCGCCACTGCCCCACTATCTGTTGGGGCTGGGCTTGGTGGCTCATGCCTGTAATCCCAGCACTTTGGGAAGTCAAGGCTGGTGGATCACTTGAGGTCAGGAGTTCAAGACCAGCCTGGCCAACATGGTGAAACCCCATCTCTACTAAAAATATAAAAATTAGCCAGGTCTGGTGGTGGATGCCTGTAATCCCAGCTACTTGGGAGGCTGAGGCACAAGAACCGCTTGAACCCGGGAGACAGAGATTGCGTTGCAGTGAGCCAGCATGGTGCCACTGCACTCCAGCCTGGGTGACAGAGTGAGACTCAGTTTCAAGAAAAAAAAAAGTCCTCTGTTGGCACTTTGGTTACTCTCAGTATCTTTCATTTGCATTTCACCCCTTCCCCCTCAAATGCAGCTCTCAATGAAAGCATTCGCCAAATGTGGCCGGATAGTTCCTTTACTGTAGTTTCACAGTTGTCAGAATAAAGAACCAGCAGGCCTGAGTTTCACTCTCTACCCTCCCATTCCCAGCGGTGTGTTTCTGGGTACATTACCTAATCTTTTTTCCACATCTATAAGATGGGGACAAAGATTACATGAGCTGATACCTGTAAAGCACTTAGAACCACGCCTAGCATCTGGTAAGTGTGGTAATGTGTTTGCTGTAATTATTATTCATTTGGCCTCCCGCCAATCTATTCTTCTCACCAGCTAGTCTTATCTTTCCTTTCAAAAGTAAAATCCCTTGGGCACTCTATCTTCTTATTTTCCACCTCCCAGTACCCTAGATATGTCTACTAACGTGGGGGTGAGAATGCAGAGAAGAAGAAGCAATGGAGCCTCACATAGCAATACTTTTCCTCCAGTCAATCTGCATTCTAAACTCCTATTCATTCTTTAAAAGGCAGACAGACATCACCTTCTTTGGGTGACCTCTTTTGGTCTTCCAGAGAGAGCCCCTTCCTTCCTTTTCTTTTTCTATTTTTTTTTAGAATCAGAGTCTCACTCTGTCACCAAGGCTGGAGGTGGAGTGGAGTGGTGCCATCATAGCTCATTGCAGCCTCCAATTCCTGGTCTCAAGCGATCCTCTCACCTCAGCCTCCCGAGTAGCTGGGACTACACGTGTGTGCCACCACACCTGCCTAATTATTTTTAGAGATGGGGTCTTGCCATGTTGCCCAGGCTTGTCTGAAATTCCTGGCCTCAAGCAATCCTCTCTCCTTGGCCTCCTGAGTTGCTGGGATTATAGGCGTAACTCCTTTTTAATGAACCATATCTGCACATCTTTCTCCTACTGCGCATGTTACGTGGAGTTGAGATTATTTGCTTGCCTTTTTATCAGCAACGCTAAACTGTGAACACCTTGAGGTGGAACATCTATGTTTTTTAGCACAAGGGCAGCATTTGGCACACAGAAGGAGGTCCATACATTTGGTTGAATGGAATTGAATGAGACCCTTAGTTACTTAGGGGAAAGGCAGAGGTGCTGTGAATTTGGTGGGGTGTGTGGCTACAGAGGATGGCATCACATAGAACTATGGGGTTGTCTATAGGGGAAGGTCACATGGAATTGCTTGGCACTTGGGATAGAGATGTTTCTAACTGCAGCAATTATGCTCTGAAGGGCTCCTCTCCCTGAACACGAGATTAATGAGTGCTATTGACAGCAAATATGATAATTATCTAATGATATTCATAAGTGTCTGAAATACTTGGCACTGTGCCTGTGACAACTTGGGAGCCATTTTCCATTTACATCTTAAAGTGAATCTAACTCATTTAAAAATAATAACAAACCGACCACCGTTGATAAAAACCATAGGTTAGATAAGCATTTAGTCTCCTCTACTGCCCCTCTGCAATTATGCATATGGAGGCTTCCAATCCTAAGCAGAGGCAAAGCCTTCCCCCGCTGACTGAATTTAGTCTCTAAGAAGACTGGCAATGGGAGCAAACTAAGGCCTCTTTAGAACCTGCATTGTTAGAGAGCCAAGCTTTTAATTAAAATACAACTGGGTACAAACCTGTACAGAAGCCATACTTAAGGGAGACACAAGTTTTGCAACCTCACCCCAGCAGTCTTACGTTGGGAGCAGGTGGTGCTGGAGGGCAGACACATTGGAGGTGCTGGAAGAAGGTGGTCGTGACTGGTGGGGCAGGTAGGGGTCACCATTCCACGTTGAGGTCCAGGATGATAGAAGTGCTTCAGGGGCAAGGAGAGGTCCTTCACTAAGGTAGACCATGCACTCAGATGTTGCCCACGGAGAAGGTAGTATGGGGTCAACATCTGCCAAAGGACTATCTAGCTGGAGTCTCAGAAAGACAGGAAAGTGAGTTCTCCAGAAGAAGAGGGTTAGGCCACAGTTCTTACGGATTCAGGTGCAAAAGATGTGATTTACCCCTCGATACTTAAGTACAAAAACGTCAGGTGTTTTCCTGAATCAAATTTAGCCTGACTTAGGTCTTAGCCTTCTCTTTTTGATAATGTACAAAATGCCAGAACTTACACAATCTTGAAATGTTGATAAAGAGCCTGGGGTCTCTGGTGGCCACTGAGCTACTCAGGAAATAGGCAGCAAGGCTCATCAGAAGATGTGGGAAGAGAGGGACCAGGTGATTTGCCCAGAGTCTCACAGCAGGTAGGTGGGCCAAGACTCACACACGGCACTTTTGTCTCTTACCAGCCCAGGCCATTTGTCTTCTCTCCTCCTCCTTGTGCCAAATCCATTCAACAGAATAGGTGCTCTCAGTGAGTCTCTAGTGGAGAAGTTTTCAAGTAGCCACACAGCAATTACGCAGTGCCAGCAATTGTCATATCAGCCCTAAGAAAGGTTTTGAAAGCTGCAGTGAAAGGACTCCACGTCTCCAAGTCTCGTGCTCAGAGAGTTCAGAAACCAAATAGGAAGTGAAACCACAGGACCATCTGCAAGAGAAAAAAATAAAGAAATGAGGAAGCCAGGAGGGGGAAGCATGGAAATGAACCCTGACCAGGGTACTGATGACAGTTAAATAAGGGCAAGACTTGATGAACGATGGGAAGTCTTGGTTGTATTAAGAACCAAAGGTTACTTCAACAAGCATTTACGGAGTGACTTTCCTGTGCCAAATCCTATGCGAGGTGCTGAGGATATAAAGATTAATTAGACCTCCAGCTCATTGCTGAGTCCAGAGACTATAGTATTTCACAGATTCAATCACAGATATCTGTACAAGGCACAGAACCCATTAGGAAGAAAGAGTGATTTCATAGCTCATGGGGTGAATGAAGGCATAGCTCATATGCCAGCTGTCTGCTGTCCTTTGAAATAAATAAAACATTTTATTTATTTCAAAGGACAGCTGGAAATATTTTATTTACTTATTTTTATTTAATGTACTTCATCAAAAATAATTAACTCCAGGCCCCTAGCTCATGATTAGGGAACAGCCAATGGACTCTCCAAAATTTCTGGCAACTTCCAGGGTCTCACAGGCTCACAGTTCCTTCTGACTCTGAGAACCCAACAGAGGTCAGACTCACAAGACCATGTGTCTCACTTTCTACAGCTTTTCTTTCCTGTGCTCCATTCTGACCCAGATATGGATCTCATCCTTTTTCTACAAAAAGCTTTCACACAAGCTGGAGTTGGATTAAAAAATAATAGTATGGCGAGGCACGGTGGCTCACGCCTGTAATCTCAGCACTTTGGGAGGCTAAGGCAGGCAATCACTTGATATCAGGAGCTTGAGAGAAGCCTGGCCAACATGGTGAAACCCCATCTCTACTAAAAATACAAAAATTGCCAGGCACAGTGGTGCGTGCCTGTAATCCCAGCTACTTGGGAGGCTGAGGCAGGAGAATCACTTGAATCTGGGAGACAGTGGTTGCAGTGAGCTGAGATCGCACCACTGCACTCCAGCCTGGGCAACAGAATGAGACTTTGTCTCAAAAAAAAAAAAAAAAGAAAAGAAAAAAAACACCCAAAAAAGTATGGAGATGAACACTAAAGAATAGGAATAAATCACCCCCAGTCAGAATTGGCATTGGCTGTTAAAAGTTTCATGTGACTACTTTACCAGCTGAAAATCAGCTCTTCACACAAGGCACATGTAGGTCAACTGAATTTAATGAAAATATGTGAACATGGCTTTTCCACTTAAATGACTGAAAATCTAATATGACTTAGTCCTATCTTTAAAAGTATTTCAGCCTTCTCACCATGGGAATTCTTCACTGGCCAACTTGCCCAGAAAACTGCTACCTTCCTCCATCGCTGCTTGATCATCTTTCCTCCAGAGCCTCTTTACCAATCCATGACCAGCATTTTTCCAAAATTCATTTTAATTAGGTACAATTTCTATACAATAAGATAAGATGCACCCATTTTAAGAGTGCAGTTTGATGAGGTTTGACAAAAGTATAAACCTATTTAACCAACACAATCAGTATCTAGAACATAGCCGCCATCCAAAAAGCTTCTTTACGTCCATTTGTGGTATCTTTCCCACCTCTGCTTCCAGGCATGCATTGATCTGTGTTTGGCTGTCTACTTAAGTCTATGTATTTTATGACATACAAATGGGATCATACAGTATGTACTCTTTTGTGTCTATGAATCACTTTATGAGTTTTAACAAAGCAGTTGCCCATGATTGCTCCTTTTTATTATTTAGTAGCATTCCATTGAACAAATATACTACAATTTGTTTATCCATTCACCTGCTGATGGACATTTGAGCCTTTCCCCTTTTTGATGATTACAAACGATGCTATGAACATATTTGTACAAGTCTTTGCATGGAAATACGTCCTTATTTCTCTTGAGTGAATACCTAGCAGTAAAACTATTGAGTTGTATAGCTAAGTGTGTATTTAACTTTATAAGAAATTGTCAAACTGATTTCCAAATAAGTTGTTCAATTTTACATTTCCTCAAGCGATGCACAGCATTTCCAAATACTCTACGTCCTCATCAAAATTGGGTATTGTCAGTGTTTTTAATTGGGTATGTCAGATACCATACTTATCACCCACTTGGGTGCACAACTATAGTGTCTCATTATTATTTTAATTTGACTAATGATGTTGAGCATCTTTTCCAGTGTTTCTTGGCCATTTATATATATTCTTCATGAAATGTCTGATCAAATCTTTGCCCATTTAAAAAATTGGGTTGTCTTTTTATTATTAATTTATAGCATTTCTTTATATACTCTGAACACCTGGCCTTTGTCATTTATCTGTTTTGTATCTATTTTTTTCCAGTCTGTGGCTCACCTTTTCATTTTCTTGTTGCAGTCTTTGGAAGGCATATGTCTTTATTTTTTATACAGTCCAAATTATATTTTTTTCTTTTATGATTTATATGCTCTGTCTTCTCTCCAAGAAATCTGCCTTCCTCCAAATCATGAAGATTTTTTCTTGCATTTGTTTCTTATAGATGACTTTAATAGATTAGCCTTTACATTTAAGTCTACAATACTGTGATTGAGTTAATATTTGCAAATGGTGTAAAGTAAGAGACAATGTTCATTTTCTTCCAAATGAATATATAGTACCATTTGTTGGAAAGAAAATCCTTTTGAATAGCTTTGATATCTTTGCCAAAAACCAGCTGATGATCTGATTGGTTCTCTTTCTTGACTCTGTTTTGGCCACGTTGATCTAAATGACCATCCTCACACCAGTGCCACTGTCTTTATTACCGTAACTATACTGTTTTGAAATCAGCTGGTGTTAGTTATATAACTCTGCCCATTCCTTTCAATATTATTTTGGCAATTCTAGGTACTTTTGTTTTTTATATACATTTTAGAATCAGCCTGCCAATTTCTAAAAACAAAACCTTCTGGGGTTGCCTTAAATCTATGGGTCAGTTTGGGTTGAAATAACATATGACCAATATTGAATCCTCAAATCCACAAATATGATGTATGTGTCCATTTTTCAAAGGTCTCCTTTAATTTCTTTCAGCAATTTTATATAGTTTTCAGAGTATGAGACTTCCACATGTGTTATTGAATTTGTCAGTAATGATTTCATGTTTTGATGCTTCTATAAAACTTCATGTTTGACATTTCATTTGCAAACTATTTGTTGTGATTATATAGAAAGATAATTGATTTTTATGTATTTCAGGCTACACGTTTTCTTGAAATTTTAAAAGAATTTTCTGTACTCATCATTATGTCATCTTTCAGTAAATGCAGCCTTCTTTGTCTCCATTCTTTCTGCTTTTTAGTTCCTACTGAACTCTCTAGGACTTCCAGGACAATGCTGCATGGAAGTAGTGTTGGTATATATCCTTGCCTTATTCTTCATCATAGAGGAAAAAGCATTCAGTGTGTCACTGTTAAGCATATTATTGAACACTTTTCATATATTCCTTTTATCAGGTTTAAGAAATTCCCTTCCATTTTTAGTTTATGAGAATTTTGCCATAAATAAGTGTTTAATTCTGTTAAAAGTCTTTTCTGCATACAATAAGGTGGTCATATGATTTTTTTTAACCTTTATTCTGTTAATATGGTTGAATTTATATTGACTGGTTTTCTAATGTTAAACTACCCTTTTATTCCAGGGATAAACCATATTTGAACATGAAATACTTTTCTTTTTATGTATTGATGGGTTTTTTTGCTAATATTTGGTTAAATATTTTTGAGTCTACATTCATGAGAGCTACTGGTTTGCTATTTTCTTATAGTATTTTTCTTGTTTTTCTCTGATTTTGAAAGATTTCTGTAGAATTGGTATAATTTACTGTTTACTTTTATGATGAAATTTACTGGTAAAATCATTTGGCCTTAAGTTTTCTTTGTAGAGTTTTAAAATGATAAATTCAACTTGTTTGATAGCTATAGGCTATTCAGGTTTTCTATTTCTTCTTTGGCCCTGGTCCTATTTAATTTTTATATATCTTGAGATTAGCTATCTAGAAATCTTTTGGTTATTGGGTTCTGATTTCAGTTCTCTGTAATTAATCTTTATTATTTCAGCCTATTACATTTATTCAGAATTTTAAAATGATTCAGCATATAATCTATATTGGAAAATTTTCTTTAGGCATTGAAAATAATGTGTATTGGAAAGAATGTGTATTCTACTATAGTTGAATAAAATGTTCCATAAATGTTAGTTAGGTCAAGTTGCTTGATAAGATTATTCTCATTGATTTTCTGGTTTCTTGTTCTTTCAATTACTGAGAGAGCAGTATTGAAATCTTTAACTATAATTGTGTATTTATTTCTACTTTTAGGTCAGATTTTGCATCACTTATATTACATCTCTTTAATTAGGTGTATATACTGTTAGGAGTGACGTCTCTTTAATTAGGTGTATTCACTGTTAGGAGTGATATGTCTGCCTGATGGATTGATTCTGCTTATCATTATGAAAACAATTTTTTACCCCTGATAATTTTTTCTTATAGCCTATGTTGCCCATTACTGATACAGCTATGCCAGCTTTCTTCTCATTAGTGTCTTAGTCCATTCAGACTGCTATAACCAAATACCATAGACTGAGTGGCTTAAAAACAACAGAAATTTTTTTCTTATGGTTCTGGAGGCTGGGAAGCCCAAGATCATGGCATTGACTGATTCAGTGTCTGGTGAGGATGCACTTCTTCATTGAAAGCCCTCTTTTTACTGTAACCTCACATGGCAGTAGGGAACAAGGGAGTTTTGTTGGATCATTTTTATAAGGGCACTGATCCCATTCATGAGGGCTTCAACTTCATGACCTAATCACCTCCCAAAGGCCTACCTCCTAATATCATCACTTTGGGGGTTAGGATTTCAACATGTGAATTTTGGGAAGAGACATATTCTAGCATTTAGAGTTTGTATTGTATATTTACTTCTATCCTTTCATTTTTACTTATCTATGTAATTACATTTCTTTTTTTTTTGTTGAGATGGAATTTTGCTCTTGTTGCCCAGCTGGAGTGCAATGGTGTGATCTCGGCTCACCACAACCTCCGCCTCCCAGGTTCAAGCGATTCTCCTGCTTCAGCCTCCTGAGTAGCTGGGATTACAGGCGACTGCCACCATGCCCAGCTAATTTTTTTATTTTTAGTAGAGATGGGGTTTCATCATGTTGGCCAGCCTGGTCTGGAACTCCAGACCTCAGGTGATGCCACCACCTTGATCTCCCAAAGTACTGGGATTACAGGTGTGAGCCACCACACTCGACTTGTATTTCAAGTGAATTTCCAGGCAGTATATATTTGGGTCTTCCTTTTTTATCCAATATGAAAATCTACCACTTAGAGTGTTTAAAGCATTCATATTTCATGTGATTATCAATAAACTTATGTTGAAATTCTATACCTTTCTAATTTTTCTTTTTCCTACCCTCTTTTTAATTAATCAAGTATTTTTTTGTATTTCACTTCGTCTCCTCATTGGTTTATAATTCGTTGTTTTATTTTAAGGCTTGCCATATGTCTTTTCAAAAATCATACTCTATCTTCAAATATATTGTATCACTTTACATCATGAAAGAGACTTACAGCAGTGGTGTTTCTGGTTCCCTCCTTCCATGCACTGTGCTATCGTATTTGTCATAAATTTTCCTTCTGCATATGTTTTAGTCCACAAAATATTATTCTTTTTTTTGTTTTAAATAGTGAATTATCTTTTAAGTAACTGGAAAATGATGAAATTAATTTATATTTACCCACGTATTTCCCATTTCTGGCTGTCCTCATTCTTTTGTATAGTTCCAACTTTCTATCTGGTTTATTTTATCTCTGCCTAAAGAACTTCCTGTAACATTTCTCTTTCTACAGGTCTGCTGGTGATAAATTATCTCCATTTTTATTTTCCTGAAAAACACCTTTATTTTCAAAGGGTATTTTTACTGTATATAAAATTCTAGCTTAAGAGTATGCACTTATTTCAACACTTTAAAAATGTCATTCTATTGGGTTTTTTGGGGATTTATATAGTGTTTAAATGATAAATTTGTGGTCATTATTATCTTTGTTTCTCTAAATGTAATTTGCCTTTTTTTCTCTGAAAAATGTTAATATTTTATCTTTATCACTAGGTTTCAATAAACTGATTATGTGTCTTAGTGTAATTTTCTTTGTGTTTGTCCTACTTGGGGTTCTTTAAATTTCTTAAATGTGTAAGTTTATAATTTTCGCATAATTTAAAAATTTGGGCCATTTGTTCAAATACTGTTTTCTGTCAACTTTTTCTGTAGTTTCAATTATGCTTACGTTACTCATAGGTCATTAAGGCTTCATTCATTTATCAACTTTGTTGTGTTTCACCTTGGATAGCTTCTATTATGTCTTCAAATTCACTGATACTTTTATCTGATGTGCCTAATCTACTTATACTATCCAGTGAATTTCTCATTGCAGATATTGCATTTTTCATCTGCAAAAGTTCCTTCTATTATCTTTGAAAGTATATTCATGTTGTTTTTAAAAATAGTTGAACACACTTATCACAACTATGGTAACATCTTGTCTGCTAATTCATCATTTCTGCCATTCTGAATCTACTTCTATGGATTGATTTTTCTCCTGATTAAAACTCAAGTTATCCTTTGTGTGTCTAGCATTTTTATGTTATTGGGTATCTTCCTTATGTTATTGGGTGTTGCCTTCCTTTATAGAGTGTTGCTCTTTGTAATGGCAAGTGATTAAGTTACTTGTGGATAAGTTTGGTTCTTCTTCTTTTTTTTTTTTCCAAGACGGAGTCTTGCTCTGTCACCCAGGCTGGAGTGCAGTGGTGCAGTCTCGCCTCACTGCAACCTCTGCCTCCCAGGTTCAATCAATTCTCCTGCTCAGCAATTCTCCTGCCTCAGCCTCCTGAGTAGCTGGGATTACAGGCGCCCTCCACTGCACCTGGCTAATTTTTGTATTTTTAGTAGAGATGGGGTTTCACCATCTTGACCAAGCTGGTCTCGAACTCCCGACTTCATAATCCACCCACCTCGGCCTCCCAAAGTGCTGGGATTACAGGCGTGAGCCACCAGGCCTGGCCAGTTTGGTCCTTTAAAGTCTTATTTTTAAACTTCTTAAAGATAGCTTTAGAATTATGTTTCCTCTAGGTTTAGTTTGTCCTTTTGCTAACATGTATCCCTTCTACTGAATGTATGGCTGGTCAGAACTCACAGGTTTCCATGCCCTTTGTGTGCTCTAGAAATTGTTCAGCTTCCATCTTTCATAATTGTTAACCGGCCTTGTAGAGTTTCTCCTTACAATATGCGACCTACTTTCCATCAGTAGACTCAAGAGGAGTTGTGATGACTTCTGGAACTCCCTCTCTGCTGGCTTCTTTCTTTTTGGTACTTCCTTCCACAACTTCCAGCTGCTTCTCCGAACTTTGATTTCTGTCTCCTCTGCTCAGTAAGATGACTGTCCTCTGCTTAGGATTTTCTTTCAATTCCCAGCATCCAAAGACTGTCCATTATTTTCTTAATTTTAAATTTAAAAACGTGTATATGTAACACATTTTCTTTATCCAATCTGTTATTGGTAGGCATTTAGGTTGATTCCTTGTCTTTGTTATTGTGAATAGTGCTGCAATGAGCATTTGTGGGCATGTGTCTTTATGGTAGAATGATTTGTATTTTAGGAAGCTAATTTTATTTTAAATTTTAGATTCAGGAGATACATGTACAGATTTGTTACATAGATATGTTGTGTGATGTTGAGGTTTGGGCTTTGATTGAACCCGTCACCCAGATAGTGAACATAGTACCTAATATGTAGTTTTTCCACCTTTACTCCCACCCATCCTCCCCCTTTCTAAAGTCCCTGGTGTCTACTGTTCCCAATATTATGTCCGTGTGTACCCAGTGTTTAACTACCACTTATAACTGAGAACATGTGGTATTTGGTTTTCTGTTTCTGTGTTAATTCACTTAGGATAATGGTCCCTAGCTGCATCCATGTTGCTGCAAAGGACATAATTTTGTTCTTTTTTATGGCTGCATAGTATTCCATGGCATATATAAGTATTTTCTTTATACAATCCACCACTGATAGGCACCTAGGTTGATTCTATGTCTTTGCTATTGTGGATAGCACTTTAATAAACATGCAAGTGCAGCGGTCTTATTGGTAGAATGATTTATTTTCTTTGGGATATATACCCAGGAATCATCCAGAGAGTTTCTCTAGGTGGAAAACCAGGGCAATCCTTTCTCTTAGGGATCACAGTCCTTTGCTGCCTGTTGTCCAATATCTGAAAATAGTTGTTTCACATATTTTTATCAAGCTTACTAGTTGCTTACCAGGGAAGGATAAGTTTGATACCAACTATTCATTGGCTACAAGTGGGGGTTTACATTTTTTATGGAGTAATTTAATTCCAACACCACTTAGGAAACATTTTTGCATACCCAAATCTCTCATGTTTGACTAAAATAAAAGGTCATCTACTCAACCTTTTCCTTTAGCATCCCAGAAACAGCAATCAATTTCCTTTTTTTTTCTTTTTTCTCTTCTTCACAAGTTCCTACCCTAACTCTATTTCTCAGCCCTTTCCCGTTGAAGGAAGCCAATTTTATTTTATTTCATTTTTATTTGTAATTTTTAAAATAAACTTTTATTTTAGGCTCAGGGGTACAAAGGCAGGTTTGTCATATAGGTAAACTTGTGTCATGGGGGTTTGTTGTACAGATTCTTTCATCACCCAGGTACTAAGCATAGCACCCAATAGTTATTTTTTTTCTGTTCCTCTCCCTCCTTCCACCTTCGACCCTCCAGTAAGGTGTCTGTTGTTCTCCTCTTTGTGTCCGTGAATTTTTATTGTTTAGCTCTCACTTATAAGTGAGAACTTGCTGTTTTTGGTTTTCTGTTCTCGTGTTAGTTTGCTAAGGATAATGGCCTCGAGTGCCATATATGTTCCTGCAAAAGACATGATCTTGTGCTTTTTTTATGGCTGTATAGTATTCCATGGTGTATACGTAACACATTTTCTTTATCCAATCTGTCATTGATGGGCATTTGTTGATTCCTGGTCTTTGCTATTGTGGATAGTGTTGCAATGAACATTTGCATGTATGTGTCTTTATGGTAGAATGATTCATATTTTAAGGAAGTTAAATTTAATTTAAATCTATCTTTTATTCTCTTATCAAAATTTTTACAGAGGAAATAATTGAGCAAAGTTTTGAAATGTGAGGAGTTCTCTGGCCTGGTAAATTGAGAAGGCTTTTCAGGCATAAGGAAAAGCAAGTAAAAAGGGGGGTATATAACAAGTCAAATGTGCAATAACTCATAGATTATTCAGTGTAGCTGCAGCATTACATTCAAAGAGGATGGTTTTAACGGTGGGTTTTAGAGGATTGGTTCCCAAATTAGATGAAAGAGATTTGGAGCGACCAGACTCTGGAAGGGCTTTAGTGTCACCTTACAGACTTTAGACTTTACCTCCAAAGCAGGGCAGGTTACCTGATCAAATCTGCATTATAAGGGCAATCACCATGGCATTAGTGAAAAAATTTATTTGGCCAGGCACAGTGGCTCACGCCTGTAATCCCAGCACTTTGGGAGGCCGAGGCGGGTGGATCATGAGGTCAGGAGATCGAGACCATCCTGGCGAACACGATGAAACCCTGTCTCTACTAAAAATACAAAAACATTAGCCGGGCATGGTGGCGGGCGCCTGTAGACTCAGCTACTCCGGGAGGCTGAGGCAGGAGAATGACCTGAACCCTGGGGGGGCGGAGCTTGCAGTGAGCCGAGATCGCACCACTGCGCTCCAGCCTGGGCGACAGAGCAAGACTCTGTCTCAAAAAATAAAAAAATAAATTATTTGAGGAGCTGGAGAGCAGTCAGCTGCCTATTGCAAGAATTCAGGCGAGATTGCAGTGAATTAGAGATGTAGGCCTGGAGTGATGTAATCTCTGTGAAGAGGCAGAGGAAGGGACTGCTTCAGGAGACATTTAGAAGCTAAAATCAATGGCGCTAGGTGGTTGGCTGGCTGTTGGAGGACAGAGCAACAGAGACATTCGGGACAATTTTCAGGTTTTTAGCTCCAGTGATGGGATCAACTGTCATGATGCCAGCTGAGATACAGAGCGTGGAACAGGTAGTCTGAGGAGAGAGATGCTGAGATCAAAACTAAAAACATTGTGTTTGAGCTTTTTCTGGGACACCTACATGGAGATAGATGGATATGGAGTTCTGCATAGAGGTCAGAGCTGGGTCTTTATTTTTGAAAATTATTATTATTATTATTGAGATGGAGTCTTGCTTTGTCACCCAGGCTGGAGTGCAGTGGCACAATCTCAGTTTGCTGCAACTTCCGCCTCCCAGGTTCAAACGGTTCTCTTGACTCAGCCTCCTGAGTAGCTAAGACTACAGGCAAGTACCACCACGCCCAGCTAATTTTTGTATTTTTAGTAGAGACAGGGTTTCACCATGATGGCCAGGCTGATCTTGAACAGGATCCTTACCTCAGGTGATTCACCCACCTCTGCCTCCCGAAGTGCTGGGATTATGGGTGAAATACCATGCTTGGCCAGAGCTGTGTCTTTACAATACAAAATAATACCAGTGACTATATGACAGATGAGACTGTTCACCTAAAACAGAGTTTGCTAAAATGTGTGGTCATGGACCACTTATATCAGATGTGTATGCAGTGCTGACAAAATTTTCAGAATCTTAGGCTGCCTGTAGGCACAAGAACCTGCACTGATAGGCTCTACAGCTTATTCTTATGCTCATTAAATTATAAAACAGAGTAAGAAGAATTTGGATAGATAAGGCTTCCCTCTTATGCTTTTTTCTCACATATGAAAGTGTGTGAAATCACAAGCATTTATGCTGGAAGATGCAAAGTATTAGCCATCGAATGGAAGGCACTGAATAGAAAGTTAGTTAACAGATCTGTACAATCAAATGGAAAAAAAATATTTGTATTGAAAATAGGTTTTTATTCTTGAGCTTCAAGAAGAAGACACTTTGAAGAAGGTGGTAATTATAGAAGGCATGATAGAAGGAGTGACAAACTGCTGATAATTTTAAATATTAGGATAATTTATGAAAGAAAAAAGCAATAAAATTATCTTTCCCTGTAAGACATAATCATAGGTGGGCATAAGAATGTGAGGATTGCCCAACGGATTAAGCCCATTGTGGTTTCAGCACTCCCGTCTCTCATAGTGGTACAGAAGTTGGGTTACTGGGATTCAAGTTGTCCTTCTGGAGGTCAACCTATAAGGTTAGAGTTTCACCTCCTTAAATTCTGGTTATCCCCAATATTTACTGTGACTACATACTTATAGACAGATTTACATAAGTAGTTACATAAAGTTATTTTATGTATTTGTGTTTACATGACGTAATGTAACTTTATGTAACTATGTATGTAGAGATAGGCCGAGAAATATGCTAAATGGAAGTAATAACTTGTGATTACATGACTGTGTTGACTTTATTTATGAAGGAGAAAGAAAGAAACTGTAGTTTTTAGATTGCTTAATTTCAATTATCAATTTTTCCTTGGAATATTTTTGGCGGTTTTAGAAAGACAGAGACCACATTTCACATATGAAATAATTCAACGGAAGTTAAAAGAGGATGAACTATGGTTAGCTTTCAGTGCCTATGGAAATTATAAAAAATATTGAAAATGAAGTAATACTAACATTATTGAACATGCCAATGTCCTATGTTAAGTGTTTTACATGGACAAATTCACTTACTCTTCCCAAAAGCTCTACCTAAGGTAGGTACCACCATGATCCCCACTGTGTGGATGAGAAAGCCGCAGTGCAGGGGTGACCCAGGTCTGCAGGCTGGTAAGAGTCAGAGCTGGATTGAAACCCGTGAACGCAGCCATAGAAACCTGAACACTGTAATGATGAGAAAGACAATCAGGAGTGGAAACCAGGTAGGATGCCTGAGGAAAAAAAGAAAGCTAAAGAACTGAAGATGCTTCAAATAAAATATTTTTTGTCCGACAGAAAATTCCACAACGAGCAGAGGTTAAAAGATAAATCTGATGATACCAATAGCCAAATTGTGCAACAAACTTTATGTTCTGTGAGAGCTCTGCTGTACATGATCCCCTATGATCACTCACTGACGCTTTATCTGTAGACAGACAAGAACACCTTAAGAAGCGGAGGGCATAAAATGTGGTTAAAATAATTGAAAACAAAAAAGAGGATGTGGATGTCGAGATCACCTCAAAAATAAAAATGAGGCATCAAGATCAGAGGATAGGAAGTAGAAAGGCCTGGGAAAGGCTCAGGAGTCCCTTAAGCTGTTTCTCACAGCAGAAGAAACTAAGGATTTACTGAGAAACTATCTGGAAGCATCTGAGTGGTTGAAACCTACTGAGAACTGCTTGCTCGTAGAACAGGTGGGTTTACTGCCAGGTGCTGGGAAGGCTCCCTGAAGGGCTAAACCCATCTGTGTTAAAGGATTTTAATAAAATTTATGAAAAGGGGGGAAATGGCAAAGTCTGTCGTATTGCCCACCTTATTTAGGAAAGAGCTATGGCCCTTCACCTATGTTGGATCTAGCCTATTAAATAGGCCCAGCACGGTGGCTCACTCCTGTAATCCCAGCACTTTGGGAGGCTGAGGCAGGCCAATTACCTGAGGTCAGGAGCTCAAGACCAGCCTGGCCAACATGGTGAAACCCCATCTCTACTCAAAAATAAAAAATAAAAAAATTAGCTGGGCATGGTGGCAGGTGCCTGTGGTCCCAGCTACTTGGGAGGCTGAGACACAAGAGTGGCTTGAACCTGGGAGGTGGAGGCTGAAATGAGCCAAGATCGTGCCACTGTACTCCAACATGGACAGAGCAAGACTCCATCTCAGAAAAAAAAAAAAAAAGATTAAAGATAAAATATTTGCAAGCATTTCTTGCCCTCAAACCAGGAACTAGCTGGCAGTGAAGTACAAGGCCTAGCGAGGCAATGAATGAATGGGGGAAGGCAGGCTGCTTAGAGACCTGCTTCAGAGAACTAGAGAAGTTGCTACAAGAAGGTTGGGGTTGCCACAGGGCCTCATCCACCTGGATGAAGAAAAGGCCATTCCCAGAGACAGGCATGACTTGAGGGCTACAGGAAAGGTGGGTGAGCACATGTCTGTGTTTGTGAACCTGGCTTTCAATGTGGGGGTTTAAGAGGGGAAATTGGGGTCAGATCAGTGGAAGGCCAGGTTTCCAGGACAGCCACAATCAGGAGTAGAAGGCAACAGGTAGATGAAACAACAGTGTAGGGGGTTATACATAATGCCTAATGAAAGCAAAATGTAGCTTCACCTTTAAGATCAATGGAGAGTCACATTCAATACAATTCAATCCAGAGTAATCTCACAGAGGAAAGTGGTAAAAAATATGTACAAATAAAATAAATAAAATAAAAAACAATATATGTACAAATAAAAATATTTTTAAAAAGTTGGAAGACATCAAGGTAGAAGAAAAACCCATTAGGCCGGGCGCGGTGCCTCACGCCTATAATCCCAGCACTTTGGGAGGCTGAGGTGGGCAGATCACTTGAGGTCAGGAGTTCGAGACCAGCCTGGGCAACATGGTAAAACCCTGTTTCTATTAAAAATACAAAACTTTGCTGGGCGTATGCCTGTAGTCCCAGCTACTCAGGAGGCTGAGGCAGGAGAATCGCTTGAACCCGGGAGGCAGAGGTTGCAGTGAGCCGAGATTATGCCACTGCACTCCAGCCTGGGCAACAGAGCGAGACCCTGCCTCAAAATAAAACAAAACAAACAAACAAACAAAAAACCCCAAAAACCCATCAGAAGGCTAATACAAAACTCAAACGATAAAAGAGATAAAGGTAAGAAGGGAGTGTCTGAAAATCTGCAATGAGTAACTCTAGATAGAGGGTATGTGGTCAAGCCATTTAATAAAACTATACAGGCATGAGGCTAGGCAGGCATGTAGCAAGTTTTCTGGGGGATTCTTAAACATTTATTTTCATAACAGTAGGAATAATCTGTTTTAGAACCAGTTAACGTCCACATTTCCTGAGGAGTAATTTTTTTTTTCTTTGAGGTAATGCCTTTAAATTGCATTCTAATGAGAAGATTAGGGAAAAATAAATATGAAAAATTTAATCTTTTAGGGAGGGATAATGTTTGCAATTTTGTTTGTGTCATCCCCACACCTAATGCAGTGTCATGGACTTGTAGGTAGTTCACAAATGTGTGTAGAAATAAATATTTGAATGAAAGATATCTCAACTATTAATGCATAGAAACATATAGAAATCTGAACACATGTTAATTTTCTTGAAAAATCTGTGGAAGAAAGTAGAATTAAAAAATTTAGAGTATGTTTGTATAGTTATTAAAATTAAAATGGAAAAGATTAGGCAAATTGAATTATCAGCATAATAATTCAGTAAAGAAAAACACTGAAATGATTTTATTTAAAGCCAAAACGCTAAATCAAATAATTTTAAATTTCATTATTTTGAATTTGAACATATTTCTAAAAACAAGCAATCTCAAATAGTTCCTGTTCCCACACAAATTGGAAATCTGGACTAAGTGTGCAACATTAGAAGCATCCATCAACTTCTGCCCCTGCTCTAGCTATCATAACCTGATACCAGCAGGCTCAGTCTTGTGCAGGCTGAACCATTGAGAAGCTGGCTTGTACTGGGTTAATTTCTCTTGTATTAAGAGTGAGGAAGGCCAGGTGTGGTGGCTCATGCCTGTAGTTCCAGCATTTTGGGAGGCCGAGGTGGAACAATCACTTGAGGCCAGGAGTTCAAGACCAGCCTGGGCAACATAGCAAGACCTTGTGTCTATAAAAAATAAAAATAAAAAAATTAACTGGGTGTGGTGGCATGTGCCCCTAGTCCCAGCTACTTGGGAGGCTGAGGTAGGAGGATTACTTGACTTCTGGAGGTTGAGGCTTTTGTGGGCTATGATCACCGTACTGCCCTCCAGCTTGGGGAACAGAGTGAGATCCTGCAACAAAAAACCCATCCCCCCAAAAAACAGTGGGATAGTAGGGTAGGGACTGGGGACAGTGTCTGCAAATTCAAAAATTGTCTCCGATCCCATGTCATGATGCCCATGCTAGTGCTAGCCTTCTGGCTTCCTCTGCCCCTCACTGCAGAGGCCAGTCAGTCCTGTGGTCGCTTCCTCCACACCTCTGGCTTTTGGTCCCATTCTTCTTCAGCTCTGAATACAGCCCTGAACTTCTCCCCTTAATCATCCTGTGAGGCATTTCTGCTGAGTAGTCCCAACTTCTAGGGCCTCTTACCCTAACATGTAGGCAACACACAGTCTCTGACTGGGACACTTTATGGAAGTCCTGCCATTCCCACCCCTACAGAAGGATGTCAGCCCAGCTTGGAGTGAATTTTTCATGGACCACTGGCCTTTCTGTCCTGGTGGCATCTCCTGGCTCCTTCCCTCACTTCTGGAGTTCCCAGCAAGGCCTGTATTAGTGCTTATGTGCAGTTTTGGATCACCTTCTAATAGAAAACCAGACTTATTTTAATTCTTCAGGAATCGATAATTTTTCTAAAACACTGACAGGGAAAAGCTTTTCATCAAGGATCTAGAGTTATGGCTGTATTAAATTGTGTATCAGTCAGGGTTCTCCAGAGAAGCAAAACCAGTAGGAGGCTAATATATAATAAAGATACTTATTTTAAGGAATTGGCTCTTATAATTCTGTGAATCTGGGAGCTGGCAAGTTCAAAATATGTAGAGTAGGTCAGGAGAGCAATGGCTGTTGACAAGTCCGATAAAATATATTCATTTTTCCACATTCAGTAGGGTGGCTTGTGGAAAATATGTACAAAGGCAACTACTTACAATCAGATATCAAAAGATATTTTGGGAAAAAATTGTTCTTTGTTAAGAAAGAAAATTCTGGAAAATATTTTCTCTCAGCTCTCCCAATCTAACTCAAACTAGATATGAGGTATAGTATTGACAGGAAAAAAAAATCTATCAAACTAAAAGAGCGAAATATATTAAACTGTTAATTATATAAAATGTATTTGGTTGGAGGGTGTATAAAGCTAAAGCAGTATGTTTATATAAACTTAAGAATAGTCTGTAGGTGATGTTAGGAGAAACAGAATGTATTAAACACATAGATTCAGAAGAACATGTCTGGGTCAGTGAGGAATATGAAGACTTAGGTTAGATAAATAGAAACTGTCAAGAGATTCTGTTCTTGAGTTTGCAACATGTAAGTGAGCCAAGAATTTAGTTTGAGTCAGAACAGGTGGGCAGACCTCATGTAAAAACTGGACTGTGTCAGAGTTATTTCTTCTTGCCCCAGGAATAGTATCCTCTTCTCAGGCTAATGATGTATAATGAGCAGAGCCACCTGAAAATGCGGTAATCAGAAACTAAGCAACAATCCTGTAAGTTTCCACTTTGGAGATGGGATTTGGGATGAAATTTGGAGGGCGTTGGAGAAGAGACTATGGGAAAGGATTTGGGTTCCTTTCTACTGAAGAGCATCTTGGGCGTGGTGGGCGGCTGCTATTTCGTTGTGCAGGTCATACACCTGCACAAACCAGCCCAGCCAACTCCTGCTTGCCTGACTGACACTCCCTTTGGGTGGAAGGAGATCCAAGAGGATTAAACAAGATCCTGGGGATAAGGTCAATGCTATAATGTTATTTTGGGGAGGGAGAGATCTTTAAAAAGGTATTTGTGACATTCAGAAAAGTCAAGGAGCATGGATTTGTATAGCCACACAGGAAGCCTTGGAATGACATCATGCTTACAAAAGACTTGTAGGAGAAGTAGACAGAGCAGCGGGAGCACGTGAAAATACTGTCACAGACCAAAGGTCAGAATTTGTTGAGATCTGAGTAAATGAAGAAGGATAGAGGGTGTAGACGTGATGTCCAGAGCCAATAGGTTGGACGAAGTCCAGTTGCTTGAGGCAGATGATGAGATTGTAACTGACGACAAAGGAGAGGCACTTTTGTTTCTACCATCTCCAACAAGAAGAATGGTAATCAAACTGGTGGGTTCTATATTTTCATCATCAGAGAAGAAAAACAGCAGAGGATAGATATGGAAATACTAAGGCCATCTCCGAATTTCCGATGACTCCGTTTTATAAGGGTTAAAGGGAGCAGACCTGTATGTGAATTCAGAGTCCCTTTCAGGAATCTTTAAACCATCTGACCCTGGAAGGGGAAGGCAGGACCAGGATATTGGTGATGAACAAAGCCTCTCTCACTTTTGAAAAAGAGGAATTCTGCAAACAACACACTAGCAAATCAGATTTCATTTTGGGGAAAGTTTCTAAAATAGAATATTAAACAGATGGCGTGTGAGCAGAGAAGAGGAAGCAGTGACTCACTAGGAAAAGTCATGCCAAACTCATAATCATCCTCTTTCCTCATTACACTTCTACATTGGTGGAGCAGGAAAAATTGACGGAAACGTTTAAAATGCCTGCCTTGATTTCAAAATAGCATTTGCCAAAGACAAATGATAGCCTGGTAGACAAAATAATGAAATATTAGATTGGTATTGGGTCAATCCATTAAAATTGTGGCCAGTTGAACGATAACTTCCAAAAAAGTATTGACTAATGGGTTGTTGTCAACTAGAGGAAATGCTGAAGAGAAAACATCATGTTGTTTGATTCTTGGCTGAGTTCAACCTTTTATCAATTGCTTGGCTAAGACATAGAAGGCCACATAAAATTTGCAGATGATACAGAGCCAAGTGACAAGAAGAGCTAATATAGACAGATGAAAGAACTGAGATTCAAACTTATTTTGACATCTAGAACACTAGGCAGAAACCGATAAGACAAAATTTAACAAAAACAAATGTATAATTCTATACTTAGAACTTCATGGAAAAAGAATAGAACAGTTAATGATCGGCTCAAATTTCTGACCCCTTAGCCTCTTGACCGTGGCTACAGAATTCGTGTATCTTTGTTGGTATGCTCCACTGGCATGCCCCTTAAATTTCCCTGGACTTAGTAGGAATTCTGGTAATCTTTTATCCACATTTTAAGCCATGCTGTTGGACTAGCCCTGAAGTTATTACTGTGTTTTTCACTATAAGTGAAAAACCCATTTATACTTTTATCCACAATACCCATTTATACTTTTATCCACAATAACTCAATCCTCCCTTCTATCCCAGATCCCACAGCACTGATCTCTAGTCTCTTTTTGGATGTGTCCCTGAATCTGTTGCTCCACACTTGGCCATTTGGATCTTCAGGCTAGTTGAGAGTATGGAACCCAGTGAAGTCTCCACTCTAGCCCTACTTCAATAATTGTCCTTGATCTTGGGTTCTGTTCATGCCATTGTTTATGGTATATAACTTCTAAGTTTGATATAATATTTGTACGCACTTCAAGCTCTTTCCTCTCATGGACTGGTTGGAAATGTAGCTTTAGGACCAAGGCAAGAAAGTGGTCAGCTAGGTTGAAGTGGAAGCCACAGGTGTGCCTGTAATCTGCACAGAAGCAGGTGGAGAGTAAATGAAGAAGAGAGCTGAGAATTAGGGTCTAAGAGAAACCAAGAGAGTTGTGGTTAGAATAAAGAAAGCCTGCAAAAGACATGGAGAAGAGGACAGCAGGAGGTGAACCAGGAAAGCTAGTATCACAGGGGGACAAAGATGAGCACAACTTTCAGAAGGAGTTAATATCAACAGTGCTAAGTGCTGCCATGGTGTCAAACAGGATTGAGGATCTAAAGTATTTCGGTTAGATTCAGCAAAAGCTGGATCACCAGTGACATAGGCAAATACAACTTCTGGGGGAGAAATGGAGGGAAGTCTGACTGCCAAAGCCACAGAGGTAAGAGGTTTGGAGAAATGGAGCTGGTGGGGATCACTTGCACATTGGAATAATGGGAGAGGAATGAGGAGAATAATAAGAGTGGTAGCCAGAAAGGGAAACCGGGTTAGATGAGGGGAGGGTGTGAGCGTGCACACTTGCTGTTGTTTATATATGCAACAGGAGTTCCAGATCAGCCTCGCCAACATGGCAAAACCCTGTCTTTACCAAAAATACAAGAAAAATAGCCAGGCGTGGTGGCGTGTGCCTGTAATCCCACCTACTCAGGAGGCTGAGGCATGAGAATCACTTGAACCTGGCAAGTGGAGGTTGCAGTGAGCCGAGATCATGCCACTCCACTCCAGCCTGGGTGACAGATCTAGACTCTGTCTCAAAAAATGAAATAAAATAAGGAGAAAAAAAGGGAGTGATTCTTTTTCTTTAAATGCTTTAAGCACATTCTTTAAGCCTTTTAAACACTTTAAGTTTTGCTTCCTTGAACACTGGCTGGTAGAATTGTCCTTTCCACATTTCTTTCCACTTTCTTTTTTACTTTCTGCTTCTTGAAGTTCATCTTTTCCTCCCTCTGCCTCTCAGAACCCGAAACAGTGTTGAGAATGAGGTAAGATATAGCAGGGATGGTATGGCTAAGGAGTAATGAGAAGAAGGTATATCTCCCTTCTTCCCTGGGCTCAAAAGTTCTGATAAGAAGAAAAAAAAAACATAACATACTTCTTAGTGTGGCTTTATGAATCTGTGTCATATTTTATAGTCAGTACAGGTGTTATTTTGCCTTTTTATTGAAAATGTTACTAACTTTGAGGACTGTTTCCCTTTTAGCCCGTTATCCACTGTTCAGTTGAAATTCTGCTTTCTTTATTCAACATCTATTTATTGAGTCTTTGGTCTATAAATGTGTAGTCACTGATGACCACTGTGGTGAAGGCAGGGCAGCCACACTTCATGGCCCCATCAACACATGTGTCAGGAAGAGATTTGAGTACAGCATCCCATCGATCTGTGATGGCTTAAGCGGTAGGAGAAAAGACCCAAGAACTTTTATGGCTGTGACCTGTTGACTTCTGGCCAACCCTTCTTTATTTATCTGATAGTGCAGTCAACCAAGACTCCATGTGTTGATTGTTCTGGGTGTATAGGCTTACCGTGCAAAAGACCCTGGCCTAGCTCAATTTCATTCCCACTATTAGTTTGTAATGCAACCTCCATACTATGCTTTACCCAGTGACCTCTAACCCTAGTCAGTGTGATTGGTGAACTCTATGCTGGGTCCTGGAGGAGCCAGAACCACAGAAAAATTAGAAGGGAAGGCAGGCTGGGCATGATGGCTCACACCTGTAATCTCAGCACTTTGGGAGACCAAGGTGGATGGATCACCTGAGGTTAGGAGTTCAAGACCAGCCTGGCCAACAAGGTGAAACCTCATCTCTACTAAAAATACAAATATTAGCTGGGCATGGTGGCACATTCCTGTAATCCCAGCTACTTGGGAGGCTGAGGCAGAAGAATCACTTGAACCCAGGAGGCGGAAGATGGTGCCACTGCATGACAGAGAGAGACTCTGTCTCAAAAAAAAAAAAAAAAAAAAAAAAAAAAAAAAAAAAAAAAAGAAAAGAAAAGAAAGCAAGGCAGATAATCTGATCTGACTGCATGTATGAATAATCGGTTATTTCTCTTTTTGGTGGGGGAAGAAAGCCAATTGTCTAGTCACTTCCCCAATTGGCATTCACAATTCTGCTGCTTTCATAATCCTTGGGGTAAATGTAAAAAATATTTTTAAGTTCTGCAAATTTTATTGCTTGATGGAATTCCTTTCTTTTTTCCCCTCCCCCTGTAACAAAGACTTTAGCAAAACCCTTCTCTACAGGGCTGGGTACCACAGACAAGTATCTATGTAAGAAAAATCACAAAAATTAAGTGTAATTTCTATGGCTTAAAGACTCACCTGGGGTCTTTTCCATGCACATATTTGTTTGCTGGATTTGCTACGCTTCCTCTTGCCCTCATCAAGTTGATCAAGAATCACCTTGTTTAATCTTCTGATTTCATTGCTATATACTTAAAACAGTCATTGATCAGAGGTTCTCAAAGCATCAATTTATTGAAATTAATTTTAGTAAAGGCACATTTAGCAGAAGAATCAAATAGAGGCACTTGTGTGCTATGATGCTGCAATGAAGATGAAAAATCTGTACCAATAACAATAACTCTATAAACTTTCAAAAGTTTATGTTGACATAAGAAGAAGAAATGGCTTGATATTTGTCATATCAAGTCAATAATATAAAATTTCTAGGAGGATTTGTTAGTGAAAGAGCAATTTCAGCATTTAACCATAACGCACAAACTTTATATATCTGAGGAAAGACATGTTGAAGTATCACAGCAACAACAACAACAACAACAAAAAACCACACACACACACACACACACACACACACACACCACACAGACACACACACATACACACACACACACACACACACACAGAAAAGTGGATCCTTGTTTTTCCAATAGTTAACGGGTAAAATCTCATGAAAAGATGTCTTAGGTATGTTTGATTCAGCCCTTCCCACCATCACACTTAAGGATCACATACGCTGTGTGCATATGTGTACAGAGGCAAACAGTAGTGAGAATTATCTGAATTTGGTTTAAGCTGATGAATGTTGAAGGGCCAGAGGGCTCACTTACTCATGCCACCTTGTCCCTATTTCTGCTCTACCTTCTAGGAAGCCCTTTCTGACTTAACAGAAAAGTAACAAAGTCCAAGTGACATATAAACCATCACCATCACACTCATTTGTCAATATGTGATTTTTTGTGTCTGTGTACATTTGTTTGTAGAATTTAGAAGTTTGTCACAAAACTATCCTATATGTGACATTTAATCTGGGTGCTTTCTTTCTCTATCAATGTAATTTGGAGGCACTGCCCAAAGTTTAAACATCAGTCAGAATTCCAGTTTCCTGGCCGGGCGCGATGGCTCAATCCTGTAATCCCAACACTTTGGGAGGCCGAGGCAGGCAGATCACCTGAGGTTAGGAGTTGGAGACCAGCCTGGACAACATGGCAAAACCCTGTCTCCACTAAAAATACAAATATTAGCCGGGCACGGTGGCACATGCCTATAATCCCAGCTACTCAGGAGGCTGGAGCAGGAGAACCGCTTGAACCCAGGAGGTGGAGGTTGCAGTGAGCTGAGCCTGGGTGACAGAGTGAGATGCTTTCTCAAAAAAAAAAAAAAAAAAAAAAAAAAAAGATTTCCACTTTCCTATGTGTGAGTATTTACTAATATAATGAATCTACAGATACACCTTTTAAAATAGCAAGTCAAAGTTAAATATATAGAAAGTAACTTCCAAAGTTGATGTTTTACACCCTTTACAAAAATTTTATAAGTAAATAGATAATATAGGCTCTTTGTTTCATTTCCGATGATTAATATTGTCTTCTTTATTCCCTTAATCTTAACATGTCTTGGGTGAATTATAATCCAAGCCAGGCCAGATGGCCTTGAAAGTTTCTCCCCCGTGTCTGTTTGGATTTCCATCTTGTAGGGCGTCATTTCTGATTATCTACTCTATTTATTTTGCTGAGTCAGAGAATGTATATTTTTGAATTCTTTCATCTTTTTTTTTTTTTTTTTGAGACGGAGTCTCTCTCTGTTGCGAGGCTGGAGTGTAGTGGCGCATCTTGGCTCACTGCAAGCTCCGCCTCCTGGCTTCACACCATTCTCCTTCCTCAGCCTCCCGAGTAGCTGGGACTACAGGCACCCACCACCACGCCCGGCTAATTTTTTGTATTTTTTTTTTTTTGAAGTAGAGAAGGGGTTTCACCATGTTAGCCAGGATGGTCTCGATCTCCTGACCTCGTGATCCGCCCACCTTGGCCTCCCAAAGTGCTGGGATTACAGGCATGAGCCACCACGCCCAGCCGAATTCTTTCATCTTTTATTAGGATGATTAAAATTTTGCTTCTTTGTTTTCTGTGTTTCTTAGCACAGGTATTTTAGGCATTGAATTAGGTCTGATTCTAGAGGGTAAAATCTAGGGGGAAATGGGGTCACAGTGACTAAAAATAACTATGAAGCCAAGTTACATACAATCCTCAAGAGCCACCCTGAAGAGCCATTGACAGCTATTAAAAATTAGATGGTTGTTATTTTGCTTAAGCTACTTTATCCAAATGGGAACCAATTCAAACACCTTTTCTTTCTGCCTTTCAGATGTTCAAAATAAAGATTGTAAAGCTTAAATACAATGCTTTTAAAGAATATATTTTGGCCAGGTGCGGTGTCTCACGCCTGTAATCCCAGCACTTTGGGAGGCCGAAGTAGGCGGATCACAAGGTCAGGAGATCGAGACCATCCTGGCTAACACGGTGAAACCCCGTCTCTGCTAAAAAAATACAAAAAATTAGCCGGGCGTGGTGGCAGGCGCCTGTAGTCCCAGCTACTCGGGAGGCTGAGGCAGGAGAATGGCGTGAACCCTGGAGGCGGAGCTTGCAGTTGAGCCAAGATC